>NC_000020.11:38132900-38435931 GCF_000001405.40 Homo sapiens | reverse complement strand
CTGCTTCAGAGACTCTTTCCACCCTCCATCCCGTGTACTTTGAGGCTGGAGTTTAGCAAAGCAGTTACCCGCTGTGCATCTCTCTTGGCTCATCTTCTCACGCTCACATTCCAGTCTCAGGCCATGACTCAGTCATCTCGGTCTGACATTGTTCAGAAAAAAAGGAATGGGGCGGGGGTAGAATTCATTCATTCAACTGTGCTAGTCACTGAACTAGGTACTGAGTACAGTGGTGAATCAAAGACAGATGCCTTTGGACCCTTGCAGAAAGAAGTCCAAACTAAGCACAGTCCCCTCATCGTAGTAACAGCTCCTATCATGGAAAATTGGCCATTCCTACAGATTAATAATGAATCAGTGACCAAGGAACATCTTCAGAACAAACAGAAAAGCAAAGCAAGTGGGAGAAGTTTACTTCTAAACTTCCAGATAGTTTTCGAAAATTATCCCAAGTCCTCCAGAGTCTGGCGTTGAGCCTCCGCTCCGCCAGGGGACGCTGCAGGACTGCTCGCGTCGGTTCCTACCGCTCTAGGCCGCAGCTCGCGCTCTCGTCTGTATTTCCGCCGGCGCGAAACGAGCGTAGCTTCCTTGTCGTGTGGCCTCAGTCCTTCGCCGTCCCTCGCCGTCCTTCGCCATCGCACGCCACCGCACCCCATCTCTCGAAATCTGCAGACATCTTGATTTTTCCCACGCTGTCTGTCAGGTCTCCGCCGCCACTCGACGCCAGGGCGCCGGGTGAGTCCACAGCAGGGCGCATGGTCGGCTCCACTCTCACCATCGGGGGAAACTGAGGCCCCGGGGAAGGCGGCCAGAGAGGTCAGGCCCTGTCCTTGGTGCAGTGTCTCGTCCTCTTTGCCGGAGTGAGCCCCCCAGGATTCGCGTGTCCTCGGGAAAGACACTGGCAGGTGAGTCGCGCCCTTGGCCGCGGCAGTGCTGAGCGGGCCACGTGCGGTCGTCAGACCCCCTGTCCGCGCAGCTACTCTGCGGGGAGGCTTAGTGCCCCTGGATGGCGGGAAACAGGGCTCGGCGACTTTAGCTGCCCGCCCCCGACTCCTGGCATTGGAAGCCTCCAAAGCCACTTGACTGTTGCCTACAAAGTGCCAGTCATTGTGCCACGTCCTTGAGACCGTTAACTCGTTTTCCCCTCAATAACTTTTAAAAGTAGGTGTTAGAACCTTCATTTTACAGACCAGTTAGCTGTGGTTTAAATGGAAGACGCTGCCAGCACTCCAGTGGGGCAGAGTCTGGACTTCTGTCCCCGGGCCTTGTACTAAAGCCCCCTCCCCGTGCTTTTTCCTTGCCTAGGCCTTGTGGGCTGTGCTGCACCTCGGACGGCTTCGCACCAGCCAGCGCCCTCTCTCTCCTGCAGCACTCTGATCTGCACCCCCTGAGGGGCTTCCACTGTCCGCGGGGTGAGAATGCCCCTGGGTAAGTGCCGCTGCTTCTGCGCACCTTGGGGAAGGACCCTTCTGTGGGACGCAGTAGAGGGGACAGTCAATGAGCTCAGCCAGTTCTGAGTTCTGAGAACTGTCTGGCAAAGCGGGTGCAGAGCAAAGCGTGACTTAGGAGACGGGCTGCGCTTGGGGTCACATGCTAGCTAAGTTCCTTCATTCCCCTGAGGTTGACTTTCTGTAAAGTAGGGAAACTGCAAAGGCTCTCTGAGGGCAGAGGCCTTGGCTGTTTTTCTTGATTTTGAACCCACGGTGCCTGTCCACGTGTAGATACTCAGAACTGGTGGGCTGAATGTACAGCCGAGGCATTTTTACCAGAAGTCTGTTTTCCTGTGGACTCTGGGTGGGGACAGATGGAATCTGCCTGTGAAGTGATGATGGCTCTCAGGGTCCTGGGTACCCTTCTCTTCCCTGGGGGGTGAGCCTCCCTCTGGAGATCTGGCAGCTAACACGCTGACGTGGGCTCACCTGCCCTTTTTTGCACCTGTATTCGAAAGTGATCGTGGGCTGCCTGTGCCCTGGTCATTGATAGTGCAGGGAGAGAAATCGCGGAAAGTGCTTCCCCGTGTTTGGAGGGTCCGCTCCTGTCCCTTTCAAACTCTGGAGCTTTCTCACACCTCCTTCTCACCATCTTTCAAATGCCTCCTGGCACTTGGTGTCTTATTAGTGAGTGCTCCCTGTGCAAGGCTCAGTGCAGGGTTCCATGAGGCGTTCACCAGGGTCTATGAGGGGTGAGTCCCTGCCTCAGGATTGGTGGTGAAACCACAGCTGCAGCCCCCACTAGTCACACCCTGTGGCAATTACTGGCTTGATTGTCTTTGCCTCTCTCTATTGTGACCTTGAGGACAGTGTCTTGAGTTTTGTTTAATATTTTATTGTATTTTTTTAGAGACAGGATCTCACTCTGTTGTCCAGGCTGAGGTGCAGTGTGCAGTGGCGTGATCATAGCTTGAACTCCTGTACTCAAGTGATCCTCGCACCTCAGCCTCCCAAATAGCTGGGACAGACAGGGTCTCGCTATGTTGCCCAGGCTGGTCCTGAACTCCTGGCTTCAAGTGATTTTCCCTCAGTCTTCCAAAGTGCTGGAATTACAGGTGTGAGCCACTTCGCCTGTCTCAGTATCTGAGTCCTGTCTCTTGACTTACCTGGTGCTTGGTAGATGGTTGATTTTCAGCAGTTATGGAACAAATGAAAAACAGGAGATGGGCCGGGTGCAATGGCTCACACCTGTAATCCCAGCACTCTGAGAGGCCAAGGAGTGTGGATCACTTGAGGCCAGGAGTTCAAGACCATCCTGGCCAACATGGTGAAACCCCATCTCTACTAAAAAATACAAAAATTACCTAGGTGTGGTGGCACACGCCTATAATTCCAGCTACTCAGGAGGCTGAGGCACACCAGAATCGCTTGAACCTGGGAGGTGGAGGTTGCAGTGAGCCAAGATCATGCCCCTGCACTCCAGCCTAGGCGACAGAGTGAGACTATGTCCCTAACAAAAAACAAAAAACAGGAGCTGGAAAAAGACAACTGTGGCTGGTCGTGGTGGCTCACACCTGTAATCCTAGCACTTTGGGAGACTGAGGTGGGTGGATCGCTTGAGCCCAGGAGTTTAAGACCAACCTGGGCAATATGGCAAAAACCTGTCTACAACACACACACACTAGCCAGGTGTGGTGGCATGCGCCAGGAGGTGGAGGTTGCAGTGAGCCGAGATTGTGCTACTGCATTCCAGCCTGGGCTGCAGAGCCAGACCTTGTCTTTAAACAACAACAACAAAAAAGACTTCAGTTGTAAGGTGACAGGGCTTAGCACATTGATGCATGTCAGGGAAGTAGTTTTGAGCAAGGCAGCCTGTGTGGGGGTGGTCAGAGCTATTTCCCACTGGCCCAGTGGTCATCCCATGGTGTTCTCTTTGACGGTCTTGTCCGTGGGCCACCAGGATTAATTTCCCCACAGGATTGTCATTGTGATGTCAGCGACCAAAGCCAGAGGTATAGCTAGGCATGGCTGATAGAAGAGTGAGATGTGTAATCAGCCCTGACCCGCAGATGACAGATGGGCCATCCTGCCCATCATAGCCCTTACTGTGTATGCTAGACTGCGCCACGCTGGTGTGCCACACCAGAACCTGTCCTAGGTTCAGAGTCCCCTTCAGTGTACTGCTTCAGGATCACAAATTCAACAATATGTGCATAAGATGAGACTTAAGCTGTCCCTGATGACTGGTTCTTCTCTAGATGAACTCTTCGTGTTGCTGAGACCGTAGACCACTGTTAACACTAGCCAACTTTTAGGAAATGTTTACCACCTGGTGGCTTCTGTGCCAGTACTCTCCTTGTCCTTTCCAGAACGGGTTTGACCAGGTGATGTCTAGATAGCTCATCCAGGGCTTCTTGATTCTGGCAGAGGAGGCTGATTGGTGCAGAGAGGCCCATGAGAGGTATCTCCACCCTGCCAGGAAGCAGGTGGACCATGGTGTTCTATGAGGTCTGTCCTCTGGAGATCTGGGGCTTTGTGTCCCACAAGGGTGGGTGCATGCAGGTTCCCTGGGCGTGATGTCTGGGAAGTAGAGAGAGGTGAGGTAAGAGTGTCTTTGTGCTGGCCCCAGTTTTACCCTCTTTGGGGCCATCATGAATACATTGGGTTCCTCTTGTGCCTGCTTGGGTTTAGCATCTTTAGGGATCCCTTATCATTGTTGTGTCTTGGAATATCTGACTCAAAAGCTGGAGGGCTTTGGCATCAAACCTACCTGTACCTTGGTCCCAAACGCTTTACCACTACTCCCTAGCTTTGGTTCTTTTTGTGATCTTCAGTTTTCTCGTCTGGAAAACAGGAGTACGCTGAGGTGATTTTTCTTAGGATCACACCGTCCCTATCTTCCACGTCCGAAGAAGTCTGCCAGCTTTCTCATCTGGAGGGTCTTTCCTTTACTTCTCCTGGTTGGGGCAGGTTCCGTTTATGTGGGACAAGATGGAAGCTGCTTCATCCTGTGCTCTGCTGTGCCACTGTCCTGGCTCAGGCCATTTTTCAGGCTTCTGACGTTGGTCTCCAATTTCAACAAGCCCTGGATCTCTTTCTGCCCCTGTGTGCAAAGTGATTACAGGCTGCTTGTGTCTTGGTTATTGGTAATAAAGGAAAAGTTACAAGGTTTTCCTCTTGTGTAGAGGCACCATTGTCCATTTCAGACGGGATGACCTCAGGGGACTGTGTCAGTGACCAGGATGGGCTAGACAAGCTGTCAGTACATTCACCTCCTGAGACACTGATTCCCCTGGTGTGTTTTCTGTGGGTGAATATCGTGGTTTCCTGGACTTGCCATAAGCAGTGCCAAGTGCATCAGTCACATCTTGGCTTCTTGTGCCCTGCAGGAGTGTCACATGACTGCCGCCCCATGTGTGTGAGAGGCGTCCTCTGGGAGAGCATGGATCCTGAGGTCCCAGGTAAGTGGGGTCCTGCTCAGTCCTCTAGAGCTCAAGTTCTCTGCAGGTTGTGAGGCCAGAGGTGGTTGGGTGCTGAGGAGTGGGGAGTGAGGACACCGGTGAAGGCTGCTTCCCTTTGCTCCTGTCTTTGCTCCTTCAGCAGGCAGGGACAGGCCTGGGCCCTCTTCTGCCTTCGTGGGGCTGCTGCCAAGAAGGTGCTCCCTGAGCTTGATTGGGGCTCTGAGAGTCCCTGACAAAGACCCTGTCATGTTGAGAGGAAAACCATGTGTTGGAATGGACAGAGGGGCTGCGTTTCAGATTCAAGCCTGGATTCATACCCAGTGCCCGGCTGAGCAGTCTTATGTAAGCCTCAGTGGAACAGATAGCCAATATTGATACCCTCCAGCCCAGTCTGTTATTTATTTATTTATTTATTTTTTGAGACAGAGTCTTGCTCTGTCGCCCAGGCTAGAGTGCAATGGCATGATCTCAGCTCACTGCAACCTCTGCCTCCCGGGTTCAAGTGATTCTCCCTGCCTCAGTCTCCTGAGTAGCTGGGATTACAGGTGCCCGCCACCATGTCCAGCTAATTTTTTCTATTTTTAGTAGAGATGGTGTTGGCCAGGCTGATCGCGAACTCCTGACCTCTGGCAATCCACCCGCCTTGGCCTCCCAAAGTGCTGTGATTACAGGTGTGAGCCACTGTGCCCGGCCTATTTTTTTATTTTTATTTTTATTTTCTTTTGAGACGGAGTCTCTGTTGCCCAGGCTGGAGTGCAATGGCGTGATCCTGACTCACTGCAACCTCCACTTCCCGGGTTCAAATGATTCTCCTGCCTCATCCTCCCGAGTAGCTGGGATTACAGGTGCCTGCCACCATGCCTGGCTAATGTTTTTTTGTATCTTTAGTAGAGATGGGGTTTCACCATGTTGGACAGGCTGGTCTCAAGCTCCTGACCTCAGATGATCCACCTGCCTCAGCCTCCCAAAGTGCTGGGATTACAGGCGTGAGCCACTGCACCCGGCCAGCCCAGTCTTTGAGAAGAGCCCCAGGATTCTCAATATTTCTGCCCATGTTTGCCTTCCTTTCTGCTTCTGGCAGGGAGTGGTAAGTGATCTCTGGGAGTCAGAAGCAGCATCTGTAATCTTAGGCTGTAAGTCTGCTCATTGCCCTGTCAGCTGTTCTGTTCCAGGTGAGACCATTGCCCGGAATGCCAGCATTGGCCTCCTTTCTGGGCTTGCCCTCTGCCCTTTCTGCCCCTGCATTCGAAAGTGATCATGAGCTGCCCGTGCCCTGGTCATTGGTAGTGCAGGGAGAGGAACTGCCGAGAGCACTTCCCCGTGTTTGGAGGGTCCACTCCTGTCTCTTCCAAACCCTGGAGCTTTCCCACACCTCCTCCCTCCCACCACGTCTTAGATGGCTCCTGGTGCCTGGCATCATCTAGTGGGTTGTGTTGCTCTTCTCCCTGGCCCAGGGCAGTTATTGTGAGACATGAGGGAAGGGTGTGGGGTGATGGGTTTGGCCTCATGGAGCAGAAGGGCTGGGTGTGGAGCTGAGATAGGGCTGCCCTGCTCCTTCCTCCCGGAAGCTTTCTCTGCCTCCACACCTCTCCTTCCACGTCCTTATCCAGCCCCTGCACCAAGCTGAACCTGTGGAAATTGTTGCCTGACTTGTTTCCTGGCTCTCTTTGCTGTGGTCTCAAGGGCAGTGTCTGAATTTTGTTCCCTACTTTGTTATGTCTGCCAGATGGTCAGTATTCTGACAGTGTGGGACAAAGGAAAAACGGCAGCCTGGGCAACCCCGCCTCTATAAGAACTAAAAAATTAGCCAGGCATGGCGGTGCATGCCCCTGTAGTCCTAGCTTCTCAGGAGGCTGAGGCAGGAGGCTCTCTTGAGCCCGGGAGGACAAGGCTGCAGTGAGCCATGACCATGCCACTGCACTCAGCCTGGGCAACAGAGTGAGACCCTGTCTCAAGAAAGAAAAACGAGAAAGGGAGAGTCCCTCCACTGTAAGGAGATCGGGTTCATTACATTTTGGGGTGTTGGAGAAAAATACTGAGTCAGCACCTGTGTGGGATTGGTGGGAGCAGATTTGGTGTTTTCCACCCCTTCACAGGATTCTGAGGTAACTCATTTCTGTTGGCCTTGGCCTTGTATGGGGAGGATTTCCCTCCAGCCTTGTATGGGGAGGATTTCCCTTGTATGGGGAGGATTTTCCCTCCAGCTTGTGGGAAAGGAATCAAGGACCAGAGACAGGCAGGGGAGAAGATCACTGAGGGATTTACGGCAGCAGCCTCTGCACGGCTTCCCCACGACCTCCCCAGCTGCTTGCTGGACGCTGCTGGAGAAACAGCACATCCCAAGATCATCATGGCCCCAGCATCCTCTTGAACTTAGTAACAGTTGGCCTGACAGATGAAGCGGATATCATCCCTGCCTTAGAAGTTCTCTAGCCCCTTTCTTAGAGATAAGCTGCTATTTCATTCCTAAAAGAAGTCATGGCTGTTCAGGTGAGAAGAACGGTTTAGTCAGCATCTATGCAACACTGTAGAGATGCTTAGTGAGAGGTGTTGCAGGAGAGTGGCAGACCGCAGGGCCCGAGGTAAGGTTTCTTGTCCATCTCTGGAATTTTGGCTTTTTGCACCCTGTAAAGTCACGTCCCCTTTTTTTCTGGTGCTTTGGTGGTGACGTAGGGAGAGGTGAGGATGAGAAGAGGAGCCATGTCCTATGGATTCCCAGATCCAGACTCCTCTTCCCTGGGAAAGCTGGATTGGAGCTGGCCCCTCCTTCTGTGCCTTCAGGGGCTGTGGAGGAGGAGGCCCCTGCAGGGAGCTGCCTGGGGCGAGCGCTGGGGGCTTTTCCTGCAGTGCATTAGCAGCATGTCATAATGGAAAGTGGCTGGATTTCTTTCCAGTTGTAATCAATGGTTAAGATTTAACCTAGCAACATTGTAGGGGTACACAGCCAAATGATTCAGGAAAAAAGATGCAGGTTGAGTCTGGAGGAATCCCTGTGCCAGCTTCCTCATGCTCCCTCCCTCTCTCAGAAATCACATGGAACCCATTCTCCCCTCAGCAGTGAAAATGCATTCAGCCTGTGTGCAGTGTTTCTGCCCAGGGAAGCCCAGTAGGGCCTCCATGCCCGGGGTGTTTACTGGGATCTGGTTATGTAGACACCACCTGCCTAGCACGCACCAAAATTCCAGACTTTCAGGAAAACAGGTGCCTGTGCCACATTATTTGCACGGAGAGACTGTGTCCAGTGAACGGTTCTGATCAGTAAACTGTTGACTAGGAACATCCCGAGAGCCAAGTTCCCAGATGCCAGCCAAGGGCCATCTGACCTGTTTTGAATCTCAATTTCCTGATACAGAAAACAAAGGTAGGGCATAATTGATTTTTACAGACGTGACCCCATGATCCTGCTCTCTAGTCCCCAGATTTTTCCAGGGCTTTTGTCAGAGGTGTTTCCCCTTTGATTCCCCTTGGTGGTTAGGTTTTATGGGATTTTACAGGACAGATGGCAGCTGCAGGAGTCTTGTACTGTCCCTGACTTGGGTCATCCCACAGGCCCTGGCACCATCCTCCTGCCCTTCCTGGCTCTCCTGTCTGTTTCTGCTCCTGCATCCGAAAGTGATCATAGGCTGCCTGTGCCTAGGTCATTGATAGTGCAGGGAGAGGAACGCTGAAAGAGGTTGTCCCCGTGTTTGGAGGGTCCACCCTATCCCATCCGAACCCTGAAGCTTTCACACAACTCCTGTTGCTCTCCTGCCAGCCCTTGAGGAGTCCGGCGCTTGCTTGGCTGCCACATGAAAGTCAGTGCGGGGGGGCATCATGCTTAAGTCTTTCTCAGCTTGACCTCTCTTTGCAGAAACCAGGCTCTGTGTTCTGAGGGGTAGATCAGGAAGGGAATGTGATATGTAATGAGTCATGGTGTGTCGCAGTGGATAGCACAGTTTCGAATAAGTGCAATATTGGCATATAAACATGAGGGAGACTTTGAGGTTGGGGTGAGCAGGGCTGACCCCGTGTGTGTGTGTGTGTGTGTGTGTGTGTGTGTGTGTGTATGTGTAACTTGGGGACAGGATAGGGTAGCATCTTTACATCTTTACATGTCATTGGCCTGGAATAGGGGGTCCTGAAGGGTTTGTCGTAAGAAAGAGAAAGTGCTCATTGCTGCAAGGGGAGCACAGCCGGGTTCTGAGAGGCAAAACACTTCCCTCACTTCCCACCCAAGAGTTTCGCCTGTTCTCTCGACCCTCTGAGGTGTGCATTGGTGTCACTCACTGGCCACCATTCCAGCTCTTAATTCCTCTGCCTTTTGTGCTGGCCTTTGGGGCTCCCCTGAGGATGACTGGTTCTCAGGTTGCCCCTGGAGGAATGGGTGGAGTTGTAAGATCAGGAATAAAGCTAGAGAGGGAGGACCAAGGGGAAGTCACTGATGCAGCCGCCGTCTAGCCCATCCCACCCCGATTGAGAGGTCGCTTTTTCCTGTTGAACATGTTGGATAGTGGAATGTGTTATAAGAAGTGATATGTGTGGCTTCTTGTCATTGCAGGATTGTCAGCTGACCTCTGTCCTGTGTGCCCAGTGGCCCCAGGTGACGTGTCTTCAAGAAGAGGCTGAGCTGCGGTGCTTGTAAGGTATGAATCCTGGGTGCTTCTCTAGAGAATGCACTGGTGTTCAGGCCGCAAGGACGAAGGCTTTGAGGTCACTAGAGGGGAGGCAGAGGCTGCTTCCCATTGCTTGCTCTTCCACTGAGGCCCACAGGGACATGTGACACCCTCTTTTCCTCGAACTCTGCGACTCCACTGTGTGAATCACGGTGGGGCTTACAGAGCTCCCCTTGGGCTCTGAGTCATCCTAGTGTGGATTGGCATAGTTTGTTGAAGTGGGAGGAGTACTGCATTTTGGAGGCAGGCAATTAGCTAGTGGTTTTCTCTGGACTTGGTGGCGATCCTTGTTATGAAGTGATTTATGGATTTTTTTTTTTTTTTTTTTTTTTTGAGGCAGGGTCTCATTCTGTCACCCAGGCTGGAGTGCAGTGGTGCAATGATGGCTCACTGCAGCCTCGACCTGGGCTCAAGTGATCCTCCACCTCAGCTTCCTGAGTAGCTGGGACCACAGGTACGTGCTGCTGCACCCAGCTAATTTTTAGAAATTTTTTGTAGAGGCGGAGTCTCACCATGTTGCTTGGGCTCGTTTTGAATTCCTGGGCTCAAGCAATCCTTCCACCTTGGCTTCCCAAAGTGCTGGGATTATGGATAGTAAGTCCAGGCCTGGCCGACGTGTGGATAGTATCACACAATCCCTGACTTCCTAATCCAGTGAATTCTCAACATTTCACCCAGAGTTGATCTTCCATCTCATTCTCTTATGAGGGAAGCATTTGAGTAGTGGTTCTCAAACTGTGGTCCCAGAACCAGGTACCATCAGTATTACTTGGGAACTTGTAAGAAGTGCAAGTTCTTAGCCCTGTCCCAACCTACTACATCAGAAGTTTTGGATCTGGAGCCAGCAATCTGGCTTAACATGGTCTCCAGGTGATTCGTATTCATGCTAAAGTTTGGGAAATCAAACCATGTTAGAAATCTTTGGGAATCAGAAGCAGCTGCTGCAATTCTAGGCTGCAAATCTGGTCACTGACTTGTTTCCAGGTCTCTTAGTTTGGGCCCTTCCTAAGCTGCTGTCAGTGCCTCCCCTCTCAACTCACTCACTGCCCTATTTTGTCCCTGTATTCGAAAGTGATCGTGGGCTGCCTTTGCCCTGGTCATTGATAGTGCAGGGAGAGGAATCAATGAAAGCGCTTCCCCGTGTTTGAAGGGTCCACTCCTATCCCTTCCAAACTCTGGAGCTTTCGTACATGCCTTTATTCTCACCAGTGATGTTACCTCCTGGTACCTGGTTGTCGTGCCAGACCCCTGTTTACCTCATTAGGGATGGCACCAGGTTCAACAGGCCGGAGAAGAGACCTGGAGCCAGTGAAGGAAACAGGGTTTATCTGGGGAACTTGAGGGCAGTCAGCAGTCTAGTGGTGGGGGGCTGGATGGGGGCACCTCATCCACTTGTAAAATGCATGCAGATTATATAGCACCTTCCCCCAGTAACCTCCACATGGCAACCCTCATTTCCTAAGAAGCTATTGTTACATGCATCTACCATACACTGGTGCTGTATGGTTCATTGAGTGTCCCTTGTGCCTAGCATGGGACTCAGAGGCTCCTGTCAAAGGACAGTGAAGCAGGGACCTGCCACACTGAGTTTATGTCTCTGAGCTAGTTTTGGAGCCACAGTAGTGGTTACCCCTTCCTAGAGCTCCCCCCAGAAGCTCTCTCTGCCTCCCCATCACACTCCTTCCCACCTCTCAGCACTGGTCACACTGTCTGGGAATTGTTGGTTTGCTTCTCCTGCCCACTGTGCTGTGAGCTTCCTCAGGGCAGTGCCTCTGTCTTGTTTCACATGGTGCCTGGTAACTGACATGTAGCACCTGGACAAACAGTAAATGAGAAGACACATTGTTGTAAGGTGACAAGGCTTATCCCATTGAGCAGTGCTGGGGTTAAAAATGTCCTAGAACAAGCCAGCTGTTACAGTCCACCTTCAGTCCTGGCTGTGAGGAGCGTCCATGGTCTACCAGAGGTGGATTTTCCTTCTGGCCTTAGATTAAGGTGGCAAGGGCTAGAGTAGTAATCGGGGGAGACAATATGCTATAGGTATAGTCAGATGTATGAATGCAGCTCTTACACACTAGATGGTAGGTGCGGGGCTCTCCCACCCCACCTGTTCATTACCCATCCCAGGTCTGTGCTGATCACTGCCAGGCATGGCCTGCTCCAAAAGCCTTCTTGCCTTGGCATCCTTTTTTTCTTTTTTTTTTAATTTTTTTTTTTTTGAGACCCAGTCTTGCTCTGTTGCCCAGGCTGGAGTGCAGTGGTGCAAACACGGCTCACTGCAGCCTCTGCCTCCTGGGTTCAGTGATTCTCATGCCTCAGCCTCCGAGTAGCTGGGATTAAAGATGTGCATCACCACGCCCAGCTAATTTTTGTATTTTTAGTAGAGATGGGGTTTCACCATGTTGGCCAGGCTGGTCTCGAAGTCCTGGCCTTATGTGATACAAATAATTGGGACAGCCTCCCAAAGTGCTGGGATTACAAGCGTGAGCCACCACACCCAACCTGTTTTTAAAATGTTTATTGTCTATATTTGAGTTTACAACATGATGTTATAGAATAATGGGACAGATATAGATAGCACAGTGGTTACTATGGTGAAGCCGATGAGCATGTCTGTTATCTCACATAGTCACCGTTTTTAGTGTGTGTGAGGAGCAGCTGAAACCTGCTTCACAGAAATCCCTTATGTTGTGCGTGAGCCCTCTAGACTTACTCATCCTGTATATCTGCTACTTGGTGTCCTTTGGCCTACATCTCCCTATTTCCTTCAGCTCCTGCCCATGGTAATTACCATTTTATTCTCTATCTTTGTATGCTTGACCTTTTTTTTTTTTTTTTAACATTGCACACATAAGTGAGATATGCACTGTTTGTCTGTGTCTAGCTTATTTCATTTAACATAATATCCTCCAGGTCCATCCATGTTGTGGCAAATGACAGGATCTTTCTCTATCTTTTTCTTTTTTTTGGTTGAGACAGGGTCTCCCTCTGTCACCCAGGCTGAAGTTAAGCCCAGGAGACAGAGGTTGCAGTGAACTGTGTTTGCTCACTGCAACCTCTGTCTCCTGGGCTTAAGTGACCCTCCCACCTCATTTCCCTGAGTAGCTGGGACTGCAGGTGCATGCCACTATGCCTGGTTAATTTTTGTATGTTTTGTATAGATGGGGTTTCGCGATGTTGCCCAGGCTGGTCTCCAACTCCTGGGCTTAAACCATCCTTCTGCTTTCGCTTCCAAAAGTGCTGGGATTACAGGCATGGACTGCCATGCCTAGCCCAGGGTCTTCTTTTTTTTTTTTGAGATGGAGTTTTGCTCTTGTTGCCCAGGCTGGAGTGCAGTGGTGCGATCTCAGCTCACTGCAACCTCCACCTCCCAGGTTCAAGTGATTCTCCTGCCTCAGCCTCCCGAGTAGCTGGGGTTACAGGTGCATGCCACCACGCCTGGATAATTTTTTGTATTTCTAGTAGAGATGGGGTTTCACCATGTTGGTCAGTCTGGTCTTGAACTCCTGACCTCAAGTGATCCACCCACCTCGGCCCCCCAAAGTACTGGGATTACAGGTGTGAGCCACCGCGCCTGGCCAAGGGTCTTCTTTTTAAGGGTGAATAATGTTTTGTTGTGTGTGCGTGTGTGTGTGTGCGTATGCCACATTTTCTTTTTCCATTCATCTGTTGATGGAGACTTAGATTGTTTCCGTATCTTGGCGATTGGGAGTAATGCCGCAGTGAATATTGGAGTGCAGATGTCTTTATGAGGTGTGATTTGATCTCCATTGAGTATGTGTCCAGAAGAGGGATAGCTGGGTCTATGTAATGTATACTGATAAGCAGCACAGAGTGGGCACATAGGATAGCATAGATGCCATTTTTCTCACAGATAGTTTGCCGACCTCTTCCTAGAGTTACGTTTTTCTTGTTCCTGAGACAATAATGTGGCTGTAAGTACTAATAGAGACAGTGGCATTTGTGGGTTGCTTATGATCTGCCAGCCCCTGCGTTAAGTGTTCTCTGTGTCTGTTTCAGATGGGTCTGCTGTGTGCAGAGGCTCCATGGGATGTGTTGTCTTCATAGTAGCAGGGCGCTGGACCATGGGTCCGCAAGGTGGGATTTTTGGACTGTTGTCTGGAATATGTTTCTTTGCATCCTGCAGAGTCATGTGCTGTTCCTGGGGCTTGGATGATGTAGGGGAAGCAAGGTGAAAGTGGTATCCCGTGGTTCCACGTTCTGTCCTGCTGTGGGGCTGTCCCTCACATGCTTTCAGTGGCTGTTGCAGAGGAAGAGCCTCCGGAAATCTGCGTGGGTAAAGTGAGCTCCCCGGGGGAACCGTCCTCCTCCCTTGAGCGCTGGTGTGTCCATAGTGTGCTGTGATCTGGATTAGCAGTGAGTTTTTCTTTCAGGGTGTGTGTGTATGATGTTAGGACCATATGCTCCTGACCTTTTCCAACCCAAAAGCGTTTCCATTTTTTTAATGCTGGAAGTGTCTTAACTCCTTTTGGGGTCTTAGAAGGACACACGGTGGCCGTGGCTGGGCCTCTGCTCAGCTGGGCTGCTCTCCCTGCCTCAGGCCCTTGACACCAGCCTCCCTCCCTTGCTGGCTCTCTTTCTGTCCTTCCCTGCTCTTGTATCCAAAAGTGATCATGGGTTGCCTGTGTCCCGATCATTAACAGTGCAGGGGTAGGAGTGCTGAAAGACATCTTCCCTGCGTTGGTCCAGCCTTCCCTTTCAAACCCTGGAGCTTTCCCACGCTGCAGCCTTTTTCCAACTAGGCTTTCAGAGCTTGGGCCTTTGTGGGCCCATGTGATGTGGTGACTAGACCCACCCCCTGACTTCTGAGGGTTCATTTTGTCTTTTCATGTTAGGGATCCTCCTGCCAGAAACCAGTCTGCATTTCTCTCTGGGCCCCACGCTGGAATGAATTCAGATAGCAGTGAAGGGCACACGTGAGAACTGCGAATCACGGGCTTTGCTTCATGAAATGTGAAATCCACATTGTTTCCACAGGCACCATCAGTAATGTCGAACAAATGGAGAAAGTTGCAGGTGGGGCTAGGAAAGCTGTATTCCTGTGGATTACTCTAGCTGGTCATTTGCCCCGATTGTGAACTGCTTGAAAGAAAAACGAAACTTCTAAGATGTTTGTCCTTTCATGTCCTTTCTGTTGGGATTTTTTATTTGGTGTGCGTGAATGAGGAGCTTCGCCCTGCTTGAATGGGACCCCTCTCAGTGGTGTCAGCTTGGGGAGGAGGAGATGGCCCTGGAGACTAAATACTTGTATGCTTTCTTACCCTCTTAGGTCTCAGCCTTAGATCCAAGGACAGTCCAAGGAAGTCCTAAGACCATGGAGTTGGTGATCTGGGATCTGGGTTTGCTGATATTTCTCACCGTGGTGAGTTGATGCCAAGAGCCAGAACCCACAGCCAGAGGCTCAGCTGGTCCGTGTTTATGCAGATGGGAACCTCAAATCACTGGTCTCACTTGTCCTTTGTTTCAGAATCTCTTGGTGGTGTTTGTGGGCACGAGAGGGGCAGAGAATGGAGAGTGAGGCTACCACATGAAGCGTCACCAGAGCTGCTCCCTGCTGCCTGCTCAGAGCACCCCGGATCCACTGTTCAATCTGCACAAGATTCGGGGTCCAGACATGGGAGACTTCAGCTGCCTCAGAGGACCGTGGACAGGGAAGGCCAGCCTCGCATCCCTCTGTCCATGCCTGGAATGACTTTAATAACCAAGAGTTTTATTTTTGAATTTGTAGCTGTCGTTCACTTTTTACCCACCCATTCAATAAACCTTACAGAATTGCTCCATGTGCTTCTTAAATCAGTGACAACCTGTGAGCCTGCCAGGCTGGCTTTGGAGAAGGTAGGCCATAGGCCAGATCTGATTTTCACTCTTCCTTGGCTCAGAGGATATTGTTTGAGGTATACATTTGGAACTAGGAGGTGAACAAGTGCTGGTAGTTGGTTCACATTTAGGCATTTAGGACCCATGATAATTCAGGGCATTGCAGAATAGTCAGGGTAGATTATGGAGTGAGACAGGTCTGATGTCATTCAGGAAGGCTGGAGTGTCCTGGATGACGTGGCTCATAAGTAAATGCCTACTTGTGAGATCAACTGTCCCAGTTTGCCTGAGATTGAGGGACTTCCCAGAAAGTGGGTTTTTCATTGCTAAACCCAGGGAGATCTTGAGCAAACTGGGACAAGTTGGTCAGCATGTGTGGGATGTAAAAATCCATGGTGTCAGCTTGAGAGGACAGGTTATGGGGTAACAGTGGGAGTAGGGTGAACATGGAGCAGCTGCCATTGATGGAACTGAGGGGTACTCTTAAGTTCAGGCTTTGGAGATTAGGGTAAAGTCACTTATTGCAAGGCCTAGGCATGGTGCCTTGTGCCTGTATTACTAGCACTTTGGGAGGCCAAGGTGGGATGATTTCTTGAGGCCAGGAGATCAAAACCAGCCTAGGCAGCAGACCCCGTCTCCACAAAAAATTAGCCAGGCACGGTAGCGCACTCCTGTAGTCCCAGCTACTCAGGAGGCTGAGGCAGGAGGATTGCTTAAGCCCAGGAATTCGAGGATTCAATGAGTTAATGATGGCACCACTGCAGCCCAGCCTGGGTGCCAGAGTGAGACCTGTTTTTAAGAGAAAGAAAAATTGCAGCAATGACATGATCTAAGGATGTGCACGCATGAACTGTCATCTCTGATTCACAGAGGGAGGAATCTACACATGTCCCAGGGGCCATGGTGAAAAGGTGCAGTTAATCTCCCCACTTGAAGTTAAAACCACCTTGGCTGGAGTTGGGGCAAAAATCACGCTGGTAAGCCTGTCTTGATGAATTTGGCACATTAATGGTCTGCCAGGCATTCTTTGTTTTTTTTTTTTCTCATGTTTTTTGTTTTTTTATTTTTTGAGTCAGCCTCACTGTTGCCCAGGCTGCAGTGTAGTGGTGTGATCTTGGCTCACTGCAACCTCTGCCTCCCAGGTTCAAGTGATTCTTGTGCCTCAGCCTCCTAAGTAGCTGGGACTATGCGCATGTGCCGCAACGCCCAGCTAATTTTTGTATTTTTAGTAGAGATGGGGTTTCGCCATGTTGGCCAGCTGGTCTCGAACTTCTGACCTCAAGTAAATACCCGCCTCGGCCTTCCAAAGTGTTGAGATTACAGGTGTGAGCCACCATGCCTGGCCTAAGGGGCAGGCATTTATGTTTAAAGGCACCATACCAGCAGTCAGTTCCCTGCAGAAGCATCCAGAAGTCACAGGTCCTTTTTCTGCCTTGGCCTTTGAGGACCATCCTGACTTTTTTGCCACCTTTTGCCAACTGGCTGTGGCTGCTTGAACAGATGCCAGGGGAAGGAATCTGGGTCCACTTGAGGAAGCTGTAACTGATGACAGATGTCTGCCACAGTGGAGGGGACAGCAGTAGAATACATTACCTAAGTCTAAGCAGTAATACAGTACCTAAGTCTGCATATTTCATCCGGCATCAGATCATCATGGGTGCCTCTCGCCACTGTTGCATGTGAGGCAGGAGCCATCCCAGGTCTTAAGGGCCTGAGGAACTCTGAGAAGAGCAGTCCATTAACCAAGGTGGCCCAAGAGCCAGGATTAGGTCAAGGAGGCGTGGCCCTTGCTGGGATATGTGCCCAGTATGAGGGCCTGAGGAAGCAGCTGGTTGGAGACTCCACAGCAGAACTGACAGCCAGGAGAATGGAGAGCTGGGAGAGTGAGGCTCATTCACTCAAAAAGCATTGTGCATTTACTTGGGAGCCAGACGCTAAGCTGGAGAAAAGGATACAAGGGTGAGTAAGGCAGTTTGTGTCCTCAAGGAGATCCCAGCCCAGATAAATATATGTAGCTGTGTTTCAGAGGCTTGGTTCCAGACCACTGCAATAAAGTGAGTTGCACACATTTTCTTGTCTCCTAGTGCATTAAAGTTATTTTAGCCAGGTGTGGTGGCACGTGCACCTGTAGTCCCAGCTACTCCAGAGGCTAAGGCAGAGGATTTCTTGAGCCCAGGAGTTCAAAGCCAGCCTGGACAACCTAGTGAAGACCCTTGTGTAAAAAAATCAAGTTTACACTATAGTGTAGTTTATTAACTGTGCAATAGCATTATGTCCAAAGCAATATAAATACCTTAATTTAAAAATATTATGAAAGAATGCTAATGGTTATCTTTAATCCTAGCTGCTTGGGAGGCTGAGCTGTGCACCAACATGCCCAGCTAATTTTTTTTTTTTTTTTTTTTTTTTGAGACAGAGTCTTGCTCTGTCACCCAGGCTGGAGTGCAGTGGTGCGATCTCGGCTCACTGCAACCTCCACCTCCTGGGTTCAAGCAATTCTCTGCCTCAGCCTCCCGAGTAGCTGGGATTACAGGCACCCGCCACCACGCCCAGCTATTGTATTTTTAGTAGAGATGGGGTTTCACCATCTTGGCCAGGCTGGTCTTGAACTCCTGACCTTGTGATCCACCCACTTTGGTCTCCAAAAGTGCTGGGATTACAGGTGTGAGCCACTGCGCCCAGCCACTAATTTTTTTTTTTTTTTTTTTTTTTAAGGGATAGGTTCTTGCTATGTTGAGACCCTGTCTGGTCTCAAACTCCTCCTAGGCTCAAGCTATCTTTTCACCTCAGCCTCCAAAGTACTGGGATTACGGGTGTCAGCTACCACCCCTGGTCCCCTTTGTGGAATTTTAATGCTTCCAGTCCTTTGCCTCCAAAGCTCTCCAATGCCTTTAAAACGATGGTTTTCTATTTTATCCACCCTTTCCAGTTCTTAGCAGAAACATTGGCCTGTCAACTACTCCCTTCTATTTAGAAGCAGAAATCTTGACATTAGCAGATTTTACTTAAAAAATGTTTTTCTCTCTGTTTGGAGAACGGATTATACCAGGGCAAGAGTGGAAGCAAGGTGACCAGTTGGAAGATTATGGCAGTTGTCTAGGTGACAGATATTGGTGACTTGGAGTAGGGAGATAGAGGTAGACAGCAAGATAGATGTCTATGTTCCAAGATAGAAAGATGAAGATACAATTTTAGGCAAATGAAGCTTAGAGCAGGGAAGTATGTAAAATGTGATATACCATTTTTTTGGTTAAAAGAAGATTTATTCGAAATCAGCCTGGACAACATGGTGAAACCCCATCTCTACTAGAAATACAAAAATTAGCCAGGCTTGGTGGTGGGCGCGTGTAATCCCAGCTGTTCAGGAGGCTGAGGCAGGAGAATCGCTTGAACCCGGGAGGCGGAGGTTCCAGTGAACTGAGATCGCGCCATTGCACTCCAGCCTGGGCAACAGGAGTGAAACTCCTATTGCCCAGGAGTTTTGAGAGTGAAACTCTCAAAAAAAAAAAAAAAAAAGATTTATATGTATATATGCAAATTGGGGTGATTTTTTTTTTTTTTATTTTAACATGCTTTTCTCTTTTTTCTTTCCCAGAACATCATAGTTTCTCTAATATATCCCTGGCATCCTTTTGGCTAGGGGGAGATTTGAATGCCAAGGAAGGCCACAGTGTTAGTCAGTCTTTGTCATTCAAAAATAGGATTATGCAGCAGGACAGTAGCCTTGCTTGCAAGGCAGGATTCTTCAATATTTTTTTTTAATTACTCCTTTATACCAGTAAGCAAACTTGGAGAATCTATTCCCAAAAATTTTACAGGGATGTGGAGTAGACACTTTTGTCTACCATTAAGGCTTAGCTGGAGTCAGAAAGAAAGATATAATTAGGGGTCACAAAAGGTTTTTACCTGATGCTCTTTTTTTTGTTATTGTTGTTGTTTTGTTTTTGTTTTTGTTTTTTTGACCTTGAGGGATTAAGGAAGAAGAAGGGGAACAGAGAAGCAGATGACAAGAGGCTCACATGGGTGTCCCAATTTCCCTTCTCTGGACTTTGACTTGGAGAGGGTGCAAGTACATTAGAGAGAACACTGAGAACAAGAGAGGAGACATTGACTTTGCTTCCCATTTAACACTGTGCAAGAGGCCACCTCTTGAATTGCCCCCTGCCCTAAACTGTAGTATAGCCATGGCAACTGGACAGCTTGGTGTGGTTGGGCAGAGGGACGTATCTTCGCCATCTTGGGCTGCCATAACAAAATTCCATAGATTGAGTGATTTAAACAACAGAAGTTAATTTTCTCAAAGTTCTGGGGGCCAGGAAGTCCAAGATCAAGGTGCTGGCTGATTCAATTTCTGATGAGAGCTCTCTTCCTGGCTTGCAGATGGCTGCCTTGCTGTGTCCTCATATGGTGGAGAGCGAGGGAATGGCCTCCCTGGTGTCTCTTCTTATAAGGGCACTAATTCTATCAGATTATGGCTCCACCCTTATGACCTCATTTAACTTTAATTACCTCCTTAAAGGCCCTATCTGTAAATATAGTTACATTGAGGGTTAGGCTTTGTGTTAGTCTGTTCTCACGCTGCTAATAAAGACATACCTGAGACTGGATAGTTTATAAAAGAAAGAGGTTTAATTGACTCACAGTTCCATATGGCTGGGGAGGCCTCACAGTCATGGTGAACGGGGAATGAGGAGCAGTCACGTCTTACTAACGGTGGCAGGCAAGACAGCTTGTTCAGGAAAATTCCCGTTTATAAAACCATCAGATCTCCTGAGACTACAATGAGAACAGTATGGAGGAAACCACCCCCTTGATTCAGTTATCTCCATCTGGCCCTGCTCTTGACACATGGGGATTATTATAATCCAGGGTGAGATTTGGGTGGGGACACAGCCAAACCACATCAGGCTTCAATATGTGACTTTTGGGGGTACAAAGTTCAGTCCATAGCAATTCAGTCCTTTGGAATTTAGCATCCTGGAGCTGCCCTGGGATCCTGAATGGTCTACGTCAACCCAGAGGTGGCTGAGGATGTGGCTGAAGAGTTTCCTAGCAGGGGCCACAGTACCAGAGTGAGGTACCAGACCTGCATCCTGCTTAAAAATCCAGCATGCACCCTGGAGAATTGCTGGCACTTGGCAAATATTTATTGAAATGAGCCGTTGGGCTGTATCTTCTTTTTGCATGTGTAATAGGAGTGTCCCTTGTTCTCCAGCCTTCAGGAGTCACCCTTTCCTTGAACGTCCTCTGAATATCAGCCCCAGATCTGTAGGAAGTCCACTTGAGTCTTCAGTAAATGCTGATATGTTCTTTTTCTTTGAGACGGCGTCTCGCTGCTGACTCCCAGGCTGGAATACTCTGGCGTGATCTTTGCTCACTGCAACCTCCACCGCCTGGGTTCAAGCGATTCTCCTGCCTCAGCCTCCTGAGTAACTGGGACTACAGGTATGTGCCCCTACACCCGGCTAATTTTTGTATTTTTAGTAGAGACGAGGTTTCACCATGTTGGCCAGGCTGGTCTTGAACTCCTGACCCCAGGTGATCTGCCCACCTTGGCCTCCCAAGGTGCTGGGATTACAAGTGAGAGCCGCCGCGCCCGGCCAATGCTGATGTGTTCTAACAAATCCATCCTGGTGGCTGTTTGTTGTATTTTTCTCTGAATAGCTCCATTGCTCCAGGCCTCTCTGTGGTTACCTATGGTTTTCACCTTTTCTCCCACTGCTGTTCTTTTCCTATGCCATTTTGCCCCAAACATTCTTATGATCAATTAAAGCTGGCTCCAGGGCAGCACAGGCTCTACACTCTGGCCGGATTTGTTTCTGCCTCAGAAATACGTGCTGTCATGGCCGGAGATGGCCATCAAGATGTCTCCTAGCTCATCCAGGCAGGTCTGCTCTCAGGTTCCACTGGGAGAATGTAACAGTGTTCTGGAGCTTGATCATCTCCCATCCTGGTGATCTCTCAAAAGGTCTTGCAACCCACCTGAGCGCTTAGATCAAATCCCAGTGGCTTCTGAGAACGTGTTGCTGGTTTGTGAGGGAGAAGGGATGGGAGAGGATAGTGAGAAAGAGAAGATGCTAGGAAGTGAAATAAGAAGGAAAGAGGAAAAGATATTACCATTTAATTCAACTCAGGGCTGGGCGCAGCAGCTCATGCCTGTAATCCTAGCACTTTGGGAGGCTGCAGTGGGTGGATTGCCTGACGAGATCAGTCTGGCCAACGTGGTGAAACTCTGTCTCTACTAAAAGTACAAAAAAATTGGCTGGGTGTGATGGTGTGTGCCTGTAATCTCAGCTACTCGGGAGGCTGAGGCCCGAGAATCACTTGAACCCAGGAGGCAGAAGTTGCAGTGAACCATGATCACATACCACTTCACTCCAGCCTCGGTGACAGAGTGAGATTCTGTCTCAAAAAAAAAAAAAAATTCAGTTCAACTCAAACTTAAGTATGCATCCAAATCACCTACAATGCTTGTTAAAGCACAGATTGCTGGGCCCCTCCCCTGAGTTTCTGATTCAGCAGATTTGGGATGGGGACCAAGCATCCTGACTTCTTCATTTTTTTTTTTTTTGTTTTTTTTTGAGACAGAGTCTCGCTCTGTCGCCCAGGCTGGAGTCCAGTGGCACGATCTCGGCTCACTGCAACCTCCGCTTTCCGGGTTCAAGCGATACTCCTGCCTCAGCCTCTGGAGTATCTGGGACTACAGGTGCCCACCACCACACCCTGCTAATTTTTGTACTTTTAGTAGATAACAGGATTTTGCCATGTTGGCCAGGCTGGTCTTGAACTCCTGACCTCAGCCTGCCTCGGCCTCCCAAAATGCTGGGATTACAGGTGTGAGCCACCGCACCCGGGCACATTCTCACTTCAAACAAATTTCCAGGTGATGCTGATGCTGCTGTTCAGAGGACCACATTTTGAGAACCACTGACCTCACCCCCAAACCAGCTTGGAGATGATGCACCCCATCCCAGTATAATATTTTACTCTTCATAATGGGTAGGCAGACCTGCTTTTTCTAAAATATCCTTGCAGCCAGCAGCCAGGTCCATCTGTTTGTTCATACAGTAGCAAGATGTCCAACAACTCCCTAAGGAACTTAATGAGCAACTTGGATCCAATTCTTCATTGTCTGTCAGAGGAAAGGCATCCATGCTTGGTAATGAGCCTTTGGATGCTCTACCCGGCTCTGTGGCCAGAACAAAGCGCCTTGTTATCTCCCTGACAAGGAGCCTACTTTATGGTGTTGGACAAAACACCTAGCACGTCATTCTCCCAAACAGCACAAACTCATACCCAATGAAACTGGGGGAGCAACGGGTGGTTCTTTCTACTCTCAGAAACCTGTTTATTTCCATCTTGGTGGTGTGGAGAGGGTGTTGTATGTTGCACATTGTGCAAAGGCCTGGGACATGATGGCCGCTGCTCCCACTCACCCATCTCATCAGCATGTTGTAGACATCTGCAGAGTCCTACACCGAACTGAGCATGCTGGGGGGTGGGGGGTGACAATGATGAAATGCATCCAGAACCTGTTTCAAGGCCAGGCCTGTGACACAGCTCCAGACTAGATGCATAGTGAAGGCTCAGGAAATGTCGGCCATGATTCTTTTGTTTTGTTTTCAGACGGAGTCTCACTCTGTCACCCAGGCTGGAGTGCACTGGCGTGATCTCAGCTCATTGCAACTTCTGCCTCCCGGGTTCAAGTGATTCTCATGCCTCAGCCTCCCCAGTAGCTGGGATTACAGGTACATGCCACCTCGCCCAGCTGATTTTTGTATTTCTTTTTTAGTAGAGACAGGGTTTTACCATGTTGGCCAGGCTGGTCATGAACTTCTGGCCTCAAGTGATCTGCCTGCCTCGGCCTCGCAGAGTGCTGGTATTACAGGAGTGAGACACGGTGCTCTGCCGATTCTTATGGGTATGATTAAGAAGAACATCCCAATCACAGCCTGGAATAGAACACTTTCGTGATACAATTCACAACCTCCTTCTGGGAGGACATGAGCATTCCTGATAAATGCTGAAGCAATTTTCTGATAAACTTTAACAAGATTAAAACCTCTTTGGGGAAATTAGCTACCCAAACCATTTGGATGATTATCATACATTCTTTGTCTTGTATTCAGTTTAATAATGATTATCCAACCATTCTCTTTTCCTTTGAAATATCCATAACAAAAGGGAACTACTGACTTGGCTTTGTGACAAGCTTAAAATAAAACTTCAACACATGCTTATAATTAATTTTTGTGAAAAAATGTAAAACAGTCATTATAGAGATAGGACATAAAAATAGTAGCTAACACTTATTAAGTACTTGTTGCTTGTCACATGTTATATTAAATGCCCAAAAACTCTTTATAATGAATTGGGTTATAATACCTCTGTTTGACTTAAAAGATGCTGATACAGTTTGAATATTTGTCCCCTCCATATCTCATGGTGAAATGTGATCCCTAATGTTGGACATGGAGCCTGCTGGGAGGTGTCTGGGTCATTGGGATAGATCCCTCTTAAGTGACTTGGTGCCCTCCCCATGGTAATGAGTGAGTTCTTGCTGTTAGTTCACGAGAGAGCCCGTTGTTTAAAGGAGCCTGCACCTCCTCCTCTCTCTCTTTGCTCCCTCTCTTGCTATATGATGCGCCTGCTCTTCCTTTGCCTTCTGCCATGATCGGAAGCTTCTGAGGCCTCACCAGAAGCTGAGCAGATGCTGGTGCCATGCTTGTACAGTCTGAAGAACTGTGAGCCAAATAAACCTCTTTTTTAAAATTTAATTTAATTTTTTTTTTTGAGACGGAGTCTTGCTCTGTCGCCCAGGCTGGAGTGCAGTGGTGCAATCTTGGCTCATTGCAAGCTCCGCCTCCCGGGTTCACACCATTCTCCTGCCTCAGCCTGCCGAGTAGCTGGGACTACAGGCGTCCACCACCACGCCCGGCTAATTTTTTGTATTTTTAGTAGAGATGGGATTTCGCCATGTTAGCCAGGATGGTCTCGGTCTCCTGACCTCATGATCCGCCCACCTCAGCTTCCCAAAGTGCTGGGATTACAGGCGTGAGCCACTGCACCCGGCAATAAACCTCTTTTCTTTACAGATTGCCCAGTCACAGGTATTCCTTTATAGGAATGCAGAACAGACTAACACAAATGCTAAGAAAGGCCGAGTGACTTGCCCAAGATCAGACAGCCAGTGATGGGTAGAGCCAGGTTTTGGTTCCAGGCCTGGCTGAGTCCCCAGCTGGAGCTAGCTACAGCTACACTCTTCTGCTTTGCCAGGGGAATTGCAGCAGGAGGTGAAGAGTGGGATAGTCTGCTGGGCACGGTGGCTCATGCTTGTAATCCCAGCACTTTGGGTGGCCGAGGCAGACGGATCATCTGAAGTCAGGAGTTCGAGTCCAGCCTGGCCAACATATCGAAACCCGTCTACTAAAAATACAAAAATTAGCCAGGCGTGGTGGCACGTGCCTGTAATTCCAGCTACTCAGGAGGCTGAGGCAGGAGAATCACTTGAACCTGGGAGGCGGAGGTTGTGGTGAGCTGAAACTGCACTACTGCACTCCAGCCTGGGTAATACAGTAAGACTCTGTCAAAAAAAAAAAAAAGAGTGGGATAGTCCCTGAGAAAGGGATAGGTATAGGGCTGTGGAACCACAGAGCACGGAGAGTGTTCTCCCAGGTAGAGGGCTTGGGAAGCGGACATGGAGGAAGAGATAGTCTATTCCAGAAGAGGAAGTAGGAGAGGGACTGGTGGAGACAGTGAGCAGCACATGCCAGGAGCAGCAGGAGGGTGGGCAGAGGCATAGCAAAGGCCCAGGCACATTTGAAGGTGATTGTAGAGTTCGATCTGCAGCCATGGGAGTGGCCCCCAGTCCTCTGAACAGCGCGACCCCTGTCATCCAGTGTTGTGGATCCTATGTGCTGCTACTTGGACTTTTTAAATTACTCTGGATTCAGAGAGCACAGCCACACAGTTTCATCACTTACTGGCTGTGTGACCCTGGGCAAGTCACTTCACCTCTCTGAGCTGAAGGTTTCCTCATCTGAAAACTGGGGGTAATGATAGCATCTCCTTCTTAGGATTGCTGTGAGGATTCAATGAGATAAACCTCAAATTAGCACATGCCTGGCACCTCCAAGGGCTCCATAGAAAGGTGGGGTATTACTGTCTTACCGTGTAATTGAATGGTGGCATTATAACGCTATTTTTCAGGAGGCTTGTGAAAAAAATAACTTCTCATTAAAAAAATAATTTTAGACTTTAAAAAAGTTGCAAAAGTAGCACAAAGAATTCCTGAATACCTTTCACCAAGATTACAAATATACACATAAAGAAAAAAACAGGGCCGGGCGCAGTGGCTCACGCATGTAATTCCAACACTTTGGGAGGCCAAAGCGGGTGGATCACGAGGTCAGGAGATCAAGACCATCCTGCCTAACACGGTGAAACCCCGCCTCTACTAAAAATACAAAGAAAAAAAAAAAAGTTAGCCAGGCATGGTGGCACGCGCCTGTAGTCCCAGCTACTTGGGAGGCTGAGGCAGGAGAATTGCTTGAACCTGGGAGGCGGAGGTTGCAGTGAGCCGAGATCATGCCACTGCACTCCAGCCTGGGCAACAGAGTGAGACTCTGTCTCAAAAAAAAAAAAACAAAAAACAAAACAAAACAAAAATATATATTGACATATATGTACACACATAGAAACATATAAACATGTATATACGTATTTCCCCCTGAAGTGTTTGTGAGTCAAATGCAGACTTGTTGGCCCTTTACCCCTTAATACTTCAGTGTGCATTCTTTAAAAGCAAGGACATTCTCCTATATACCATTATACTATAATTGTACAAATATAGCACAATTGGTACAAATTAATACAAATATGCAAATATAGTAAAATTATCAAAATCATGAAATTAACATTGGTACAATACTATTATCTAATGATCAGACCATATTCAGATTTTGTCAATTTTCCCACAATGTCCTATATAACAAAACAAAATCTCTGATCACCTCCTGCATTCATTTGCCCTGTCTCTGAGTCTCCTTGAGTCGGTAACATTTCCCCAGACTTTCTTTGTATTTCGTGACCTCGACATTTTTTAAGAGTGAAGGCTAGTCACGTCGTAGAAAGTTCCTCTTTGGGTTTGACTGATGTTTCCTCATGGTTAGATTTGGGTTAGGCGTTTTGGGCAGGAGCACCACGGTGACCTACACACTGCATCACAGTCTTGTGCACATTTTTGTTGACAACTTTATTTATTTATTTTATTTACGTTTTTTTGAGATGGAGTCTCACTCTGTCGCCCAGGCTGGAGTACAGTGGCACGATCTCAGCTCACTGCAACCTCCGCCTCCTGGGTTCAAGCGATTCTCCTGCCACAGCCTCCCGAGTAGCTGGGATTACAGGCATGTGCCACCACGCCCGGCTAATTTTTGTGTTTTTAGTAGAGACGGGGTTTCACCATGTTGGCCAGGCTGATCTTGAACTCCTGACCACCTTGGCCTCCCAAATGCTAGGATTTACAGGCATGAGCCACTGCGCCTGGCCTGTTGACAACTTTAAATGGGGTTTCCAGATGGGGGGAAGGTAAGGAATTACTGAACGACTTACATGAGAACATACACCCTGAGGGACTTGATAAACATGTGAATCCTCCAAACCTGCTGAGTCGTACCTCTGAGAGTGTGCCTAAGAACTTGCAGGGTTCACCAGCATACTAGGTGACCAGTTGTCTACAGTGTTCCTTCCAGCTGTGACATTCCCAGGCGTGGCCAAAAGATGGCGCTGCAGACTGCACTTTCAACGGAGTTTCCTTTCTGGAGAAACAGCTGGGCTTTGGTGAATTCAAGCTCACATCTACCAGGAACACTTGGTACCTCCTGTTTGCTCCTTGGAACCGGGCCTTTCCCACCGCTATCCTCCTATCACTTCATAGTGACTTTTCTGGATGCCCCAGGACCTCACAGGAGTTAGAATTCACTTTGGGGTTCCTAAGCCAGAGATGATTCACTCTGCAAGGTGAAGAGAAAACCCCTCCCAGTTTTCTGAAGAGCAAACCAAGAACTGTTAAAATAGTAATAGGCCAGTCACAGTGGCTCATGCCTGTAATCGCAGCACTTTAGGAGCTGAAGCAGGAGGATCACTTGAGCCCAGGAGTTCCAGACCAGCCTGGGCAACATAGGAAGACCCCATTTCTTTTTTTTTTTTTTTAGTATTTATTGATCATTCTTGGGTGTTTCTCGGAGAGGGGGATTTGGCAGGGTCATAGGACAATAGTGGAGGGAAGGTCAGCAGATAAACAAGTGAACAAGGGTCTCTGGTTTTCCTAGGCAGAGGACCCTGCGGCCTTCCGCAGTGTTTGTGTCCCTGGGAACTTGCGATTAGGGAGTGGTGATGACTCTTAAGGAGCATGCTGCCTTCAAGCATCTGTTTAACAAAGCACATCTTGCACTGCCCTTAATCCATTTAACCCTGAGTTGACACAGCACATGTTTCAGAGAGCACAGGGTTGTGGGTAAGGTTATACATTAACAACATCCCAAGGCAGAAGAATTTTTCTTAGTACAGAACAAAATGGAGTCTCCTACGTCTACTTCCCTCTACACAGACACAGCAACGATCTGATTTCTCTATTTTTTCCCCACGTTTTCCCCTTTTCTATTCGACAAAACTGCCATTGTTATCATGGCCCGTTCTCAATGAGCTGTTGGGTACACCTCCCAGACGGGGTGGCTGCCGGGCAGTGGGGCTCCTCACTTCCCAGACGGGGCAGCCAGGCAGAGGCGCCCCCTACCATCCAGACGGGGCGGCGGCCGGACGGGGGCTGCCCCCCACCTCCCCGATGGGGCGGCTGGCGGGGGGGGGCTGCCCCCCACCTCCCTCCAGGATGGGGCGGCTGGCCGGGGGGGCGGGGCTGCCCCCCACCTCCCGGACAGGGCGGCTGCTGGGCGGAGACGCTCCTCAATTCCCAGACGGGGCGGCTGCCGGGCGGAGGGACTCCTCACTTCACAGACAGGGCGGCTGCTGGGTGGAGGGGCTCTTCACTTCTCAGACGGGGCGGCGGGGCAGAGACGCTCCTCACCTCCCAGACGGGGCAGCTGCCGGGCAGAGGCGCTTCCCACATCTCAGACGATGGGTGGCCGGGCAGAGACGCTCCTCACTTCCTAGACGGTATGGCGGCCAGGAAGAGGCGCTCCTCACTTCCCAGACTGGGCGGCAGGGCAGAGGGGCTCCTCACATCCCAGACAATGGGCGGCCAGGCAGAGACGCTCCTCAATTCCCAGACAGGGTGGCGGCCGGGCAGAGGCTGCAATCTCGGCACTTTGGGAGGCCAAGGCAGGCGGCTGGGAGGTGGAGGTTGTAGCGAGCCGAGATCACGCCACTGCACTCCAGCCTGGGCAACATTGAGCACTGAGTGAGCGAGACTCCGTCTGCAATCCCGACACCTCGGGAGGCCGAGGCTGGCAGATCACTCGCGGTTAGGAGCTGGAGACCAGCCCGGCCAACACAGCGAAACCCCGAGCAAGACCCCATTTCTACAAAAAATAAAATTAGCTGGGCATGGTATGTGCCTGTAGTCCCAGCTACGTGGGAGACTAAGGTGGGAGGATGGCTTGAGCCCAGCAGGCAGAGGTTGCAGTGAGCCAAGACTGTGCCACTGCATTCCAGCCTGGGTGACAGAGAGAGCCCCTGTCTCAAAAATAAAATACAAAAATAAAGAGCAGCCACCATTCTTAGGGTTAAGATAAAATTCCCCCCAACTCCCTTCCCCCATTCTCGCAAGGCTGAGATCCAGACTTTGTTGCAGAGGGCACAGCTGTGGTTCCCTGGATGGCAGAGAAGCCACTGCAGTGTTTGTTGGTAGAATCTGCTAGAAATCTGTCCTCTGGAACTTGCCAGGAAACTGTCCTCTACGGAGTGAGAGAAAGCCATTCACAGAGTGGTGTCTCACTAGAGGCACTCTGCTACAAAATCGCCAAAGGTGGGGACACTGCGGGAAGCTGCTGGCCTTGTGGTGCTGCTGGCTGCCGTGCACTGCAGGAACTGGGTCCTGGAGTAGCTGCCTGCATGGTAGGAGGCTGCTGAGCGACCACATCTGAATCAGGAAGAGGTGGGCTCCTGGAAAAACTCTTTAAAAGGGATTAGACTTGTCTAACTTGTCCATTTTGCTCTTTGATCTTCTCTTTCTTTCCTCCTGGAACGTGGTCATGATGACTGGAGCACAGCATCCCCCTTGGGAGGATGAGGAAGAAGGTCACATTCTCAGGATGGTGGAGAAAAAAGCTAGAAGGAGACTGGGTACCTGATGTCCGTGGTGCTGCCCTGTTAGCTCTGGACTGCCTTTCTTCAAATTCCTTATTAAGAAAAACAACCTCTGTCTTGACTGATATGCTTTTATTTGTTTTTTTGTTTGTTTGTTTTTTGGTTCCCTGCAGTTGAATTTAATTCCCAACTGATATAATTATGTTTAGTGCAAAGGCTCAACTGGGTATGATTGTCATGAGATCACTTCAGCCAATAAACAGAAATTATGATAATTTTTTTTTTTAATTTTTTTGCTGTGGTCTCTGTTGCCTAGGCTGGAGTGCAGTGGCGCAATCATAGCTCACTGCAGCCTCAAACTCCTGGGCTCAAACCATCCTCCCACCTCAGCCACACAAAGCACTGGGATTACAGATGTGAGCCACCACGCCCAGCCAGAAATCACTTTTCATAATTTACACACATTGACTTTCTTAGATGACAGGTAAGTAATGATTATAAAAGCAGCATTTCTGAGCACTTTTTACCCAATATATTTTTTAAAAGTTTAGTATCTAACACATATACAAAAATGCACAAATCATATGTTGTACAGCTCAAAGAATTTTCACAAGGTGGACACAAACATGTAACCACCCAGATCAAGAAATAACATTACTTGCACCCTGGAAGCACCCCCTCAATCTCCCATTCAGTCAGCACTCCTACAAAGGAAACTGCTAACTGACTTTTAATGACACAGATTAGTTTTGCCTATTTTTGAATGTTACATAAATGGCATCGTATAGCATGTGGTCTTTTGTGTCTGGCCTCTGTCAACATTATGTTTGTGAATTCCTTCATGTTATTGTCCTGGGAAGACACAGGCCAAGCTCAAATCCAGAGGAGCAGCTGGAGGGAAATGGTGCATGTGAAATGAACAGGCATTACTTTTCACTGGTGCATGCTGGGAGGAGGTGATCCATGGCCAGGTTGTGTAGCTGCCAGCCCATCACATTCATCAGGAAGCTCATCTGCAACTCCGATACACAGAGTCAAGGCTCTGGGGTCAGAAGGACAGCTGAGATTCTCTAGACAATAAGTATCATTTGGACTCACAAACCTCTTGAATCATTGTAATGATCCTCTGGCACTTTGCAGAAAATAAGTTCTACCCTCTGTACATAAAAAGGTGTGTTCGGCCAGGCATGGTGGCTCATGCTGGTAATCCCAGCACTTTGGGAGGCCGAGGCGGGCAGATCACTGGAGGTCAAGAGTTCGAGACCAGCCTGGCCAACGTGGCAAAACCCATTCTCTACTAAAAATACGAAAATTAGCTGGTTGTGGTGGCGTGTGCCTGTAATCCCAGCTACTCGGGAGGCTGAGGCAGGAGAATCGCCTGAACCCGGGAGGCAGAGGTTGCAGTGAGCTGAGATCGCACCACTGCACTCCAGCCTGAGTGACAGAGTGAGACTCCATCTCAAAAAAAAGGAAAAAGAAGAAAAAGAAAAGATGTGTTCAACTCAATATGGACCAGCCCTTTGATTCATATTCATTGTAGTATATAGTGATGTTTTATGCACTTTTCTGTATGTCTGTAATATTTCATAATAAAAACACACGTGCAAGGGACAATGAAATAAGTGCAAGGTTAATGCAGAGATAGTAGATTGCTTATTTGTTCTTCTGGTAGACTGCATTATTTGTTCAAAACATTTGCAGCCACTCCATATCAGTCCTTCCTACTGGGCTTTCCCTACAAATCACCCTTGCTGGCGGATTCTATTTCCCATGACGTTGACATTAGGTGCAGCCATGGGATTTACTTTAGCCACTGAAAGATGAGTGGAAGTGGCCTGGTGCTCCTGAACAGAAACTTTAAGAGCAATAAGATGGTTCTGCCATTTCTCTTTTCCCTCTGCCAGGATAATGTCAATGTTCCAGGTAACAGCTGCTCCTGTAGCCTGGATCCCAGAATGAAGAGGGCATGGGGCAGAGCTACAGCTGATGTATAATGTGAGTGAGAAATAGGCCATGGTGGTGGGAAGGTGCTAAGATCTTGGGGTTGTTTGTCCTGCAGCATAACCTGGTGAAACCTGACTGATACACATATGGAAGGTTTTCACATTGTAATTGCCAGTTAAAATAAACAAAAGAGTCCTCTGGGCTAATACCAACTTCTATAGATAAGGAGGTGAAGGGAAGACAATTAACAAACACCTAGCCTCAAGTTTCTCCTTTGTAAAGGGACTTTGGAATTAACTAGAAAAACTGGGGTAGGGTGCAATCTGACTTGTACCCATATCAAAAGTCAACTTTCTGCATGGTCAAGTATCAGATAAATTTAAGCCCTCTAGGCTTTTTTTATAATAGTAAATAATTTTTAAAAATAGATGTTTTTGTAAAAGACAGACTGTGAGGAGGAGGTAAGAATTAAAATGAAAGGCTGGACGCAGTGGCTCACGCCTGTAATCCCAGCATTTTGGGAGGCCGAGGTGGGCGGATCACGAGGTCAGGAGACCAACACCATCCTGGCTAACACGGTGAAACCCCGTCTCTACTAAAAATACAAAAAATTAGCCTGGCGTGGTGGCGGGCGCCTGTAGTCCCGGCTACTTGGAAGGCTGAGGCAGGAGAATGGCATGAACCCAGGAGGTGGAGCTTGCAGTGAGCCGAGATCACGCCACTGCACCCCAGCATGGGCGACAGAGTGAGACTCCATCTCAAAAAATATATATATATATTATAATGAAAGAGCTAATAAGGTCTTGTTCAAGGGAAAGTGGAATCATAAAAGTACCTCCTGGACATTAGAAATACTGGTGCTTACAAATTTGTTACACGATCCGGAGACAGAATAAAAAGAACAAAATGGAAAGGAGAAAGTGAAACGTAAAACATTAAAGGAAAAACAAGGAAATTTTGAAAATACTATGTTTAATTTTTAAATTTTTTAAGTTAAAAAATTTTAAAATTATTTTGTAGAGATGGGTTCTCACTGTGTTGCCCAGGCTGTTCCTGGACTTCTGGGCTCAAGTGATCCACCACCTCAGCCTCCCAAAGTGCTGGGACTACAGGCATGAGCTGCCATGACCAGTGAGAACACTGTATATATATACAACTCCATAAACTCCCTGATGTTGCAGAGGAAGTGAAAAAGAACATCATTAAGCCAGTAAAGCCTGGCTGCTGCTCACTTGGAGGCCATGCAGAATCGCCCGTGTGAGACACAATTGGGAGCATCTCTATTCTTCTGACTTATGATGTGAAGCCACCGTGTTCTTTCTCCACCGCATCTTAACACGCATGCCTAGTCTGTCGTCACCAGCAGGCACACAGGCCTCCTGCTGAACTCCAGTTTCAGTGACCTTTGAGGTGCTCCAGCTATACACAGAATGAATGGCATTTATTTTGAATCAGACGATTCAACACACAGTCTCTCAATTTGGTGAGAATCCAGCTGTCAGCTTTCGTAGACTGTGGCAACAGTCAGAAGCAATTGGCAGAGATAAATATGAGGAGCAAAAGATGGCAGAGTGAGACCCCACCCCACCCTGTTTTGTTGCAGGTAGCAGCAGCAGCAACAACAACAACAACAAAATAGCAGAGCAAATTATGGAAGAGCATGCCATCTATAATGAATGTGGCAGATCTGAGCAAATTGGCAAGCGTACCTTTGCAGACTCAGAGATAGATACTTGAGAAAAACTTAAGGAAGATCTCAACTGCCCCTACTTATCCCCCAGATCTCAGTGGACACAGGATCCTGAAAAGTAAGTGGCAGAGTCCTGAAGGGTCTGGCCCACACCTTTACCAGAAATATGATAACTTAGGGCAGAGGTGGGCTTGGAGAATCAGAGAAGGTCACTCCCTGAGCTTGTCTTCAAGCCCCAGCATGGCGGGAACCTGGGCTGTCAAGAGGATCCAGTGATCTTGCAGCCCTTATGTTGTCTGAGCTAGGCTGCTAACCCAAACCAACAGCCTGAGGGTAAGGTAGAGAGAGGAGAGATGGGACCACACACTGACGTCACCTTTGCACAAGGCCGGCTGAGCAGAGGTAAATGGACTGAACCACATTGGATAAAGGGTGGCCCAAAGTTTTAGCATAAGCCACAGGTCACACAGTAATACGGAGGATCTGAATCAAATAACTCATCAGATTGATGTAAGAGATAATATTGCATTGTGTATCCCGCAATCAGAAAATATACCTCTGGGTTGGGTGTGGTGGCTCATGCCTGTAATCCCAGCACTTTGGGAGGCCTAGGTGGGTGGATCACTTGAGGTCAGGAGTTCGAGCCCAGCCTGGCCAACATGGTGAAACCCCATCTCTACTAAAAATACAAAAATTAGCTGGATGTGGTGGCACACGCCTGTAATCCCAACTACTCAGGAGGCTGAGGCAGGAGAATTGCTTGAACCCAGGAGGTGGAGATTGTGGTGAGCCGAGATCACACCACTACACTTCAACCTGGGTGACAGTGAGACTCCATCTCCAAAAAAAAAAAAAAAAAAAAAAGAGAAAATACACCTTCTATTGAAACACCCATGAAAGCATTGATAAAATTTGACTGTGGAAATGGTTAGGTTTTGTGTCCCCACCCAAATCTCATCTTGAATTGTAATCCCCATAATCCCCATCTGTCTAGGGAGAGAGCTGGTGGGAGGTGATTGGATCATGAGGGCGGTTTTCCCCATGCTGTTCTCATGATAGTGAGTTCTCACAAGATCTGATGGTTTTATAAGGGATTCTTCCCCCCTCACTCCTCACTCTTCTCTCTCCTGCCACCATGTGAGAAGGTCCAAGCTTGCTTCCCCTTCGCCTTCTGCCATGATTGTATGTTTCCTAAGGCCTCCCCAGCCATGCAGAACTGTGAGTCAATGAAACCTCTTTCCTTTATAAATTACCCAGTCTCGGCTATTTCTTTATAGCAGTGTGAAAATGGACAAATACACTATGGTTATAAAGAAAATATTAGTAGCTTTCCCTATAATAGAAATAGTAGAGGCCTCTGACCACCAAGCAATAAAACCAGAAATTAAAACAAAAGTAGAAATGAGACAAAAACCCAACCACATGAAAAATTTAAAACCCCCTCTTCAACTCCATTTGAGAACAAGAGTAAGTCGAAATTGCCATTTCGAGCCAGATTGAGGAAAAAAAGGAAAACAATATGTGTCAAGTGATGAGATAGAGCTAAAATCATATTGAAAGGAAAATTCAGTATTAAACACTTAATTTCCTTTTCTTTTTCAAATTGAATATTTCATTAACATGGTAATTGTCTTAGTAACATGTGCACACATGTTCGTACATTGAGAATGATCGGCCTGGGGGGAAAATATTAAATACGCCTAAAGGGAAAATGAAAAATAAATAAATAAATAAAAATCCTGTTTTTAATTATCATAGACAATTATTTCTATTAATTGATTGAAACAGCATCTCACTCTTATCACCCAGGCTGAGTGCAGTGGTGCAATTATGGCTCACTGTAACCTCTGCCTCCTGGGCTTAAGACATCCCCCCGCCTCAGCCTCCCAAGTAGCTGGGACTACAGGTGCTTGCCACTATGCTCGGGAAATAATTTTTATATTTTTTGTAGAGACAGTGTTTCGCTATGTTGGCCAGGCTGGTATCGAACCCCTGAGCTCAAGCGATCTACCTGCACTGGTCTCCCAAAGTGCTGGGATTACAGGCATGAGCCACCACGCCCAGCCAACTATTTCTAATATCACTTACAAAGCTGTTGCCAAATCTGTCCAAGGAACCAGGGTTTGAAGGGGGAGGAAAAAGTCCTGGGAAAAATTCATCAGTTAAACATGTATTTCTGAAAAGAAAAAGAAAAAGATAAATGAATCAAGCATTCAACCGAGAAAGATACAAAATGAGCAATAAAATAAATCTAAGAAAAGAAGAACAGAATGAAGGCATGCAGAAGTTAATGAATCAGAAAACAAAATAAAAGTAGAATTGATCAATTGAAGAGCTGACCCATAGTGGAAAAAAACCACATAGTGGAACAGATAGGCCACTATCTAGCCTAATCAAGACACACACACACACACACACACACACACAGGCGTAGAAGGCACAATTAGAAATGAGAATAGAAAAATAAGCATGAGGAGAACATTTTAACATGTATTTCGTTTTCATACCTACTCCTACAAATGTTATTTCTTAATTACATTAATAATGCATGGATATATGTGCCTAAGAAACAAAAGTCAAATAAGAAATAATAAAGCAAAAAGCTGAAGTCCTCTGTATTAGTTTGCTAGGACTGCCCTAACAAAATACCACACTGGGTGGCTTAAACAAGAGAAATTTATACTCTCAGAGTTCTAGAGACTTGAAGTCTATGATAGAGACTGGGTTTTTTTCTGAGGCCTCTCTCCTTGGCTTGTGGATGGCCACTCTCTTGCAGCCTCTTCACAGGGTTGTACCTCTGTACACAAGTGCCCTGACATCTCTGTGTGTGCCCAGATTTCCTGTTCTTATAAGGACATCATGTCCAAGCACGGTGGCTCATGCCAGTAATCCCAGCATGTTGGGAGGCTGAGGCAGGTGGATCGTTTGAAGTCAGGAGTTCAAGACCAGCCTGGTCAACATGGGGAAACCTCGTCTCTACTAAAAATACAAAAATTAGCTAGGTGTGGTGGTGCATGCTTGTAATACCAACTGCTCAGGAGGCTGAGGCACAAGAATCACTTGAACCAGGGAGGCAGAGGTTGCAGTGAACTGAGATTGCATTAGGACCCACCCTAGCAGCCTCATTTTAACTTAATCACCCCTTTAAAGGCCACAACTCCAAATACAATCACATTCAGAGGTACTGGGATTTAGGGATTTGACATATGAATTTGGGGGTACATAATTCAACCCATAACACCCCTTTTCTCCTGTTTGCCCTCAAGTCCCAACCTCTCCCCAGAAGTAACGTGATAAAGAAGACGTGCTTGTGACATTGGTGGGGCAGTCAAACTGAGGGTGGGTAGGTTTAATGTAATTCCTATATATGTCTAGATAGTTTCTGAAAACCCAGCTAACAAATAGTTGAATAAAAATGTTCTATCCTCCTATCTGGACAAATATACCTTCATAATGAGCTGGAGAGCCAGATTTGGATTTAGACTGTCTGGACTTTTCCCCAGTTCCTTGCCAGGATGTGGCAATAAGGCCTCCCTTTCCTTCCCACGCCCAGCTCTGTCTACACCATGATGGCCTCCTTATGCACATGTGTATGGAGACTCCAACCTGCACATTCAAATTCCTCCACACCCTCCTCAAACAGCCACCCATTAGTTACCGGTTGGGCCTAGCAGTGGTCACGACAGTGGTGCACTCCATTCCCAAGAGGACATAATGAGGTGAGCCCCTCACAGGCCCTGGAAAGGAATTCTAGGGTTCCAGGCACATGAGGCCTGTTCTGGGAGGAGGGTGGTGGCTGTAGACGGGCATGTCCCTCTGGCATATTCCCTGTGGGATACGGTGCATCTGGAGGGAACTTGAGTGGGTTCCTCCAAAATCAAAGCCCAAGGCAGGGATCCTTCTGGCTTCAGTCTAAAGATGATACTGCTATCAAGTAGTTATTCGTGGGTATCTTTTCAGACCCCTTTACGTCAATTTTGTATATGAAAATCAGAGTTCTAATTTCAAAATAAGATTTTCTGTTAAAAAATTGATTCTCTGTTTTTCTGAAACGTGCTTTTAAAAATTATGTCTTGTGGATCTTTCCGTGTCAGCATATATAGATTCACTTTTTCTTTTTAACTGTTGCATGATATTATACAGTATAAAGATAAAAGGGAGAAAAAAATTATAAAAACATATTTAACACAATTCAATGTTAGTCTCCTTGAAATGTAACTTGATTTAAAACCGAAGTAAGCTTAAATAATACAAATTACCAAAAACTGACTCAAGAAGAAACAGAAAACCTGAACAGATTGATAACTATGGAATTAGTTGAGGAAGTCATCCAAGAGGACTTCATAGTTTCTTTCAGTAAGGTAATTCCAAAGCTCATCAAAGTTCCAGAGCATAGAGAGAAACAAGATAAACTGCCTAGTTATTTTTATGAAGCTACAAATATCCAAACCTGACAAGATAGCAGAAAGAAATTCACAGGCTAATTTCATCTATGAATATTGAAACAAAACTTTTCTATAAAAGATTAATAAATGGAATCCAGTAGTATAGTAAGAGAATAACAAATTATAGTCAGACAGTGAGAGGTTGACATGGAAAAATCAGTCATATTTCTGTAAATTAGCAATGAACAATTGCAAACTGAAATTAATAATGCAGTGCCATTTATAACAGCTCCAAAAGGTGCAGTACTTAGGTATAAATTTAACAAAACATGTACAGCATCTGTGTGCTGAAAACTATGAAGTGCTATGAAATCAAAGACCCAGATAAAAGGAGAGACAACCTGCATTCACAGATTGGATGACTCAACACAGCAAAGATGACAGTCCTCTCCAAATTTATTTATATGTTTAATATAATTCCGATCAAAGTTCCAGCAGGAGTTTTTGTAAATATAGATGAGCTGATTCTAAAGTGTACTCTTAAAGGGAAAAGAGCTAGAAATGTTAAAAGAATTTTGGAAATGAAGAATAAAGTTGGAGAAATCACACTACCTGTTTTTAAGACTTACTGTGTAATAACAACAGCAATGAAGACAGTGGTATTGGAGGAACAGACTCACAGACCCAGGGAACAGAGTAGAGAGTCCAGAAATAGATCCAGGCAAGTATGGGCAACTGATTCTTGAAAAAGTTTCAAAAGCAACTCCATGGAGAAAGAATAGTGCTCCCCCAAAATATTGGTGGCATAATTGGACATCCACAGGCCAAAAAATAAACCTTCACCCAAACTGTACACTGTATGCAAAAATTAACTCAAAATGAATCATAGATCTAAATATAAAATGCAAAACTATAAAACTTTTAGAAGAAAACACAAAAGAAAACCTAGGTCTTGGTAAAGATTTCTTAGATATTACACCAAAAGCACAAGCCATGAAAGAAAAATAATAAGTTGGACTTCATCAAAATTAAAAACTTGTAATCTGTGAACAGCCTTGTTAAGAGAATGAAATGGCAGGCCACAAACTGGGAGAAAACGTGCCAATTAATGTATCTGACAAAAGACTTGTATCTAGAATATATATATATGTATATGTACACATACACACATAACCTCTTTAGACTCAACCTTAAGATAATAAATAATCCAATGAGAAAATCTGTAAAAGACTTGATTAGGTAACTCACCAAAGATGCTCAACATCATTAGCTCTTAGGATAATGTAGATTAAAGCCACAATGAGATACCATTATTCTCCTATTAGGATGGCTAAAATAAAAAAAAAAATGTAATGCCAAATGCTGGCGAGTACACCTTTTTGTATAGCCTTGACTGTCAGAACCATAGTAATGTTTCACATGCCCAGTAAACAAATAAATCATCAAAACCAACCAGGATATGTGGGAGAAACCCCAAATGGCATATAAGCTATAGCAAATGAACCTGTGTTACAAATGACTGAGATAATCCCACTGAAGGATGTGGGGAATAAAAGAACTAAGCAACTCTGGAAGACAGCATTTTTACTGTATATTGTAAGGTCAAAGATAAAAAGAATTGCATACAAATATTGTGCTCTGTTTAGTCAATATGTGTCTATTTGGATTGAACAAAAAGGAAAGCAGATTATGGATAATTAGAGCCAGGGTTCTCACTGTTGGAAAAAAAGTTAGAAATAAGGAAGGAGCTAGAATGAATCCTGTGTGGTGTTGGATGAGAATCAGAAATATCAGTATGAACCCATGGTTTTGAACAATTATACAGATGCATAAATATAGAAATAAATATGGCTTTATGTGTATGCTTGTTAGTAATTGTCCTATGTAAAGTTTCTAGTTTTGTCCTCTCAGAAGCCCTAGAGGCAATGGCATCCCAGTAGCAGTGAGCACATCTAGACATCTAGCACCCAAATCTTGGTTTCCAAATACCATTTTTCAATAAAAGGAACTAGAGTTCCTTGGAGATTGCAAGTCTTTAGCAGGGGAAGTAAAAGATGAACCTGGCACACATACTGTTGTGCTAGAGTGAGGAAGTGCTCAGAAAATAATGGGGCCTAGTATGGTTAGCCTTTGTGTTCCCATTCAAATCTCATCTTGAATTGTAATCCCCATAATCCCCATGTGTCAAGGGAAAGACCAGGTGGAGGTAATTGAATCATGGGAGCAGTTCCCCCATGCTGTTTTCATGATAGTGAGTGAGTTCTCACAAGATCTGATGGTTTTATAAGGGGCTCTTCCCCCTTTGCGCAGCACTTCTCCTTCCTGCCGCCTTGGGAGGAGGTGCCTTGCTTCCTCCTTGCCTTCTACCATAATTGTAAGTTTCCTGAGGCTTCCCCAGCCATGCCAAACTGTGAGTCAATTAAACCTCTTTCCTTTATAAATTACCCAGTCTTGGGCAGTTCTTTATAGCAGTATGAAAACAGGCAAATACAGGGACATAGCCAAAGGATGTAGGGGCCATCCTGAAGTCATTTCTAACGACTAAAGCTGGGATAATTTGAGTAACAAAATGGATAAAGATTGGATTATAACTCTGTTCTATTTTCTCCCATAACCATTATCATCTCTTAACCTACTATCTAATTAACTTTTGTTCTCATTTATTATTGCCTGTCTCTTCCCATCCTAGAATGTAATGTTTATAAAGGTGGGAATTTTCTGGATCTGTTTTGTTTACTGATAAATCCCAAGCACAATGACAGCACTTGGCATACAGTGCTGGCTCAATAAATATTTGTGGAATGAGTGGATTTTCTCTCTCCACCTCCCAAGAGCACATAGATTGGGGAAACTGAATGTTCTAATGGAAACAAAAAGAATTTATCCAGACCATTGGGCACCAAACATCAGCAGCCACTACCATCTGATTCTCTGCTTCAGCACGTCTGAGACTCGTACAGACAGCAGGGAAAGTCCCAAGGGAGCTGAGTCTGGAACATTCCCTCCAGAAAAGGGCTTGGCAACCTGGGAGCCCATCTCCCAGGGAACATTTCTAAAGGTTTTCCTCTCAGAAGAATAGTTGGAACAGCTGCAGTTATTTTGGAAACTCAGTGAGAAGCTGACTTTTGCATGGCTAACTTAAATCTTTATTTCAGCTAAAAACCCTCCCACTCTTGAGAGGTTGACTTTAGGTGCCCCTTTATGGATATGGGAAGGGAAGCATGGATAAGGGAAAGTAAGTGTATTCGTTTTCTTGGGCTGCCATAAAAAATACCACAAGCTAGACCAGGCACAGTAGCTCATGCCTGTAATCCCAGCACTTTGGGAGGCCGAGGTAGGAGGATAGCTTGAGCTCAGGAGTTCGAGACTAGCCTGGGCAACATAGGAAGATGCTATCTCTACAAAACACCAAAAAATTAGCTGGGTGTGGTGGCACATGCCTGTAGTCCCAGCTACTCAGGAGGCTGAGATTGGAGGATACTTCAATCCAGGAGGTTGAGGTTGCAGTGAGCCGTGATTGCACCACTGCACTCCAGCCTGCTAGATGACAGAGTGAGACCCTTTCTTAACCACCTCCCCGTCCCCACAAACTGGGTTACTTAAAACAACAAAAATGGATTGTCTCCCAGTCCTGAAGGCTAGAAGTCAGAAGTCAAGGTGCCCACAGGCCATGCTCCCTTTGAGACTCTGGGTGGAATCCTTCCTTGCATCTTCCTAGCTTCCAGCAGCCTCATGCATCCCTGGAATGGCAGCTGCATCAGTCCAATCTCTGCCTCCAGCATCACATAGTTGTCTTCACATCACCTCCCCTCTGCGTGTAGCTGCATCTGTGTCCAAATTTTCCCTTTTTATAAGGACACAAGTCATATTGGATTAGAGCCCATCCTGATGATTTCATTTTAATTTGATTACCTCTATCAAGAGCCTATTCCAAATAAGATCACATTTTGAGGTCCTGGAGGTTAAAGCTTCAGCATATCTTTTTTGATTATTTATTTATTGAGATGGAGTCTTGCTCTGTCGCCCAGGCTGGAGTGCAGTGGTGTGATCTCGGCTCACTGCAACCTCCGCCTCCCAGGTTTAAGCGATTCTCGTGCCTCAGCCTCTTGAGTAGCTGGGACTACAGATGCCCGCCACCACGCCTGGCTAATTTTTATATTTTTAGAAGAGACGGGGTTTCACTATGTTGACTAGGCTGGTCTCAAACTTCTGACCTCAAGTGATCCACTTGCCTTGGCCTCCCAAAGTGCTGGGATTACAGGTATGAGCCACCCCACCTGGTCAGCATATCTTTTTTGGGGGTACCACAACTGAATCCATAGTGAGAAGTAACTACAAATATTGGACTGTTAGATTGACAGGGACTATTTCAGTTGAAACCACCGCACTCTCTACTCGTTCTCTGCAAGACCTCAACCACGTCCAGGCTCTTCAGAAATGGGAAGGTGTTAAGGAAACTCACCAAAGTGTTAAAGTGTAAAGGTCACCTCAACCTGCCAGGGCCTCCCTTCCCTTTGGCCCTTGAGCACCCTGCAAAATGGAGACCCTCAAGGTCCTCTCTTACTTCCTGCTGCCCTGGGTTTCCGCCCTCCTGGGTTAACATTCTGTGGCTCATTTACCTTCCAAGTACCTTTCAAAGCCCCAGTGGGCAGCTTAGAACCATCATCAGTGAGAACAGGGTGAGATATCCTTTGCGGGCGGCTCTGGGATCTGAACAGGAGAAATTAAAGTGAAAGGTGGGGACAGCTGAGCATGCACAGAAGCGCAGTGGCAAGATCTGGAGATAATTAACAGCTGGCTATAAATTGAAGGAGCTATATGATAAAAGCCTAGGGCAGCCCATAACTTGGGAAAAGATTGGATCACTAGGTTAAGTGACAAGAGACTTCAAATCAAATCACCAGATACGTATTAAGTGCCTGACTCAGTACTGCATTGAGCCGTGGGTGATACAAAGACATGTAATATCTGTTTCCTGCCCTCAAGGCAATTATAATCTACTTAGGGAGGTTAGACATAAAACTAGGAGAAATTAGATAGCAAAATATTTAAATAGCAGTTGAAAATACCACATGATCGGTTGCCAATTGAATTGTGGAGCTGAGTTCTGAACAAGGAGAGATTATTTGATTATTTATGGTGTTAGATAGGCACGTATTTTCTTGCTGAGGGAAAGGAAGAGTTAACTGAACAGGGCAAACTAGAAAGTCTCTGGGAGGGGAAGCAGGGGAGAACCCTGACGTCCAAGGAATGTGTTACTAATAATAATAGTTTCCATTTGTTAAGCATTTACTGATTAAGCAACTTACAAACCTTAATATACTTACATACGTTTAAGTAATTCAGTAGTCTCATGGGTTGCTATACTTTCTGTACCAATTAAAACCAACACTAGCTCGTGTTTAATGTTTAAATCCCCAAATCTCAGTGACTGACAGGTTTATTTCTGCTTTTGCAAAGCCCACATGCCACAGTTGGGGATGGGAGAAGCTCTGCTCCATACAATCATTCAGGGACCTAGACTGCTGCTGGAGGCTCTGCCATCTTCAACACATTTATCCCAAGTCACCTTGGGTGTCAATATATCGACATCCAGCTGGCTGAGGGGGGACGAGAGAGAGAGAGATTGAGAGAGAGAGAGAGAGAGAGAGAGACAGAGACAGAGACAGAGAGAGAGAAAGATGTAGTGGGGGATCATACAGGTGGTGTTTATGGATTTGTCAGAACTCAGTCACATGGGCCACAATTAATTGCAAGGGGTGCTGGGAAATGTAGTTCAACCATGTGTCCAGGTGGAAAGAGAAATGGTTCGGTGGACAGCCAGCTAGTGAGACTACTGCACATTTGTGACTTTTTTAGATGTGGAAACTTGGGCTCAGAGAGACCCACCAAGGTCACACAGTGAGTAAAGGGAAGTCATATAGGTATAGTTGATAGAGCACGAAATATGTGTGAATGTATTATCTAAAATTACAAACACACCAATAGAGAAACAAAAAATATTATGTTACATAGTATTTTGAGAGAGGAAAGGAAAATGGGGTGACAAGCTAAGTCCTCATGTACTCAGCAAATTTTTAGAAAATTGGTAAATTTAAAAAATGATGTAGGAACGTTATTTGAGATCTTGAGCTAGCCATCAAAGGAACTAAAACCAGAAACATTTCAGGAATTAAATGTGGTACCTCTGAGACCACTGCTTCTTATGATAAGCCCTTTTGCACATTTGATTTTTTAAAATGTGTGCCTTAATTGCTTTGATATACATTTGTGGCAGGTTGAACAATGGGCTCACCAAAGATGTCCATGTCCTAATTCCCTGAACCTATGAGTATGTTACCTCGCGTGGTGAACGGACTTTGCAGGTGTGATTAAGTTAAGGATTTTGAGATGGGGAGATTATCGTGCATTATTTGGGTGGGCTCAGTGCAATCACAAGGGTCCTTATGAGAGAAAAACAGAAGGATCAGAGTTAAAGAAGATGTAAGGCCAGAAGTAGAGGTCAGAGAGGAGAGAAGATGCTCTGCTGCTGGTTTTGAAGATGGGGGAAGTGGCTGCAGGCCAACGAATGTAAGCAGCCTCTAGCAGCTGAACAAAGAAGGGAACAGATTCTCCCCCAGAGCTTCCTGAAGGAATGCAGCCCTCTTGACCTCCAAAACTAAAAGATAATAAGTTCATGTTGTTTAAAGTTACGCAGTTTGTGGCTAATTTGTTACAGCAGCAATAGGAAATTAATACATTTAAAAATTCATTTTTAAATTAAATTAAATTAAATTAAATTTTATTTTATTTTTTTGTAGAGACGGGGTCCCCCTATGCCACCCAGGATGGTCTCAAACTCCTGGCCTCAAGCAATCATCCCATCCTGGCCTCCCAAAATGCTAGGTGTGAGCCACTGCATTTGGCCAGATAATTTACTTTTAAGGAGTAGTATTTGCTTGCTTAAAAATATACAAATAATGTACAATGGCACAAAAAGGAAAGTAAAAATTTTGCAGCCTTACCAATGCTTCATTTCCATTCTCCAGAGGTAACTTCTGTTTCACTATCTTAGGTAACCTCTTAGCAATTTCCTGTACACATATAAGCATGCATGCATGAAAGAAGATAATACTGTACCTACTGTTCTGCAGTCTACTATTTCCACCTAATAATTCTTCACATTCTTCTATGTCTGCACACATAGATGGGCCTCATTCTTTCATTCTTTTTAATGGCTGCATAGTATTCCTTTGCATGGCTATATACCATAATATAACTACCAGTATCCTATTAAGGACCATACAGGTTTCTTTCATTTTTGTTTTGTTATTATTTTGCTATTACAAGCAATGCCATAATAAGCAGCTGTACACAATGTATATCTTCATATATATGGATGAAAAAAATCTGAAAAATGGTGCTTTGTTTATCGTGAGCAAAGACACTATAAGGAGTCTCATAAATACAGACATACCCTTCAGATAGATACTTTTATTTTGAAGTATAACATATACACAGACAAGTATATGGAGAGACAGATGTTCTCAAAGTGAGCTCACCAATGTAACCAGTACGTGGATCAAGAAGCAGAACATCACCAAAACCCCAGAAGCTTCCTCATATCCTTTTCTAGTTACTATCCCCCACCCCACCTTGAAGTCTGACCACTTGTCTAACTTTTGCTTCTATACGTTAGGTTTGCCTTCTTTTGAATTTTGTATCAATGAAATCATGCCAGGCATCTTTCACTTAGCATCCTGTTTGCAGGGGTCACCCATGTGGTGGCATGTGGTTGTAGTTCATTCATGCTCATTGCTGTTTAATATTCCATTGTGTGAATGTGCCACCATTTATCCATCTACTGTTGCTGAATGTTTGGGTTATTTCCACCTGGGGGCTATTACGAAAACTGCTTTATGGACATACCTGTATGCATCTTTTTTTAAATAGATGTAGGCATTTCTGTTGAGTACATACTGAAAAGTGGAGTTCCTGGGTCATGGGGCTCATCATGCATGTTCAACTTTAGCGGATACATCCTGCCAAACAGTCCTCCAATGGTTGTACCACTTTGCACTCTACTATGCAAATTACAAATATTCTGTGGACTAAGTGTTTATGTTTCAATTCATATGTTTATAGTGGTGAAGAACTGGATGTCTATCAATGGGGGATAGTTGAACAAACTGGGAAATAGTCATCCAGTGGAATATTATGCAGTGGTTTTTTTTTTTAAGAGATAAGATCTCACTATGTTGCCAAGGTTGGACTTGAACACTTGGGCTCAAATGATCCTCCTGCCTTGGCCTCCAGAGTAGCTGAGACTGTAGCCAAAATTCATATGTGGAAACCCTAACTCCCTATGTGATGGTATTTGGAGATGTGTCCTTTGGAAGGTAATGAGGTCATGAGGATGGGGCCCTCGTGATGGGATTAGTACCCTTATAAGAAGAGATACAAGAGAACTTGCTTCCTTTCTCTCTGCTCTCTGACATGTAAAGATACCATGAGAAGATGGTCATCTGCAAATCAGGAAGATGTTCTTTACCAGACACCCGATCTGCCAGCACCTTGATCTTGAGCTTCCCAGCCTCTAGATCTATCAGAAATAAATGTTGGTTGTTTAAGCCACCTAGTCTATGGTAATTTGTTATAGCAGCCCAAACTAATGAGGATACACTCCCACCAACGGGGCACACGCTTTCCATTTATTCCATGTTCTTGCCAACACTTTGATTTTATCTGTGTTTTTCATTTCAGCCATTTGATATTGACTCTTAATGTGGCAGTGCGCAGGGGCAGTTCTTAGAGAACTACTTTTTTTTTTTTTGAGATGGAGTCTTGCTCTGTCGCTCAGGCTGGAATGCAATGGTGTGATCTCGGTGCACTGCAACCTCCACCTCCGGGGTGAGAGCTACTTTTGATTGAACTGCAGGTCCTAGAAAGCTAGCTGTGGGGTGGAAGGGTGGGACTGAAAGCCGGGCTTGATGGGATCTGGAGGATGCAGGTGATAGCTCTGGGCCGAACCCTCCGTTCCAAGGTGGGATGGTGAGAACATTATTTTAAAAACAGCCCACCTGGCCCTGGGATTTCTCCGCTCCGTCTGTACTAATGGCCCCATGAGATCACTTGAGATGGGAGGAAAGCCTTCTCTAAGGGAAAGTAGAGAATTGAGCCCTGGATTCTTTAGTGGCCTCAAGTGGGAAATCGTTTTCTTCTGGCCCATAAAGCAGCCATCTGTTCTGCTGTGTTTTACTACCAGCGTTCCTCTGCGGGCTGGGAGATGCAGGCCCAGCTGGATGCGCTGTGGGGGAATTTACGCACCAGACTCCAGGAGAAATCCCCAGGATGCCTCTACCTTTCCCCTGGCACACCAACTGGGTGCAGCTCCCTAAATCCAGTTAGTCTGAAGGGGACATCAAGCCTGCAGTTAGGGGACAGGCCAGCATCTCAGAAGAGAAGGCTGGACTGGAAACAGGATAATTGGGGATAGTCTTCAAAGTTTTGGAGGCGGACATCCCCTAGGAATGTGAGAACATCTTTTTAAAAACAGCCAGAGGGCAGAAAAAGAGAAGAGGGCCCAGGACTGAGCCTGAGGGACCTTCACAGAGCCCTGCGTTCAGGAGCAGAGCGAAGTCCATTAGAAGACAGGCAGCAGCCTTTGGGAGCATTGCTGGAGGAGTGTGGGGACCAGCCCTGGTGTTATTTTTATTGTGTGAGGAGTCTGAGCTGGGGATGTGTTTCCCTGATGGGGCCTTTTTTTTTTTTTTTTTTTAAGAGTCAGGGTTTTGCTGTGTTGCTCAGACTGGTGTTGAACTCCTGGGCTCAAGCAATCCTTCTGCCTCGGCCTCCAAAGTGCTGGGATTATAGGTGTGAGCCACTGCTCCTGGCCCTGATGGGGAATTTAAATTCTTCAATCACAGCATTCTGATGCCTCTCATTAAATACCAGTCACCCACTAATGTGTCAATGAAGATTTCATTCCTAAAGAAGACACACTAAAGAGGAAAACCTAAACTCTCTTCCTGCATCTGCGATACAAGATCGGTTCTGAAAGGTGTTTGAAACCCTATTATGTAGATTCTGTTGGCTCCCAAGTTCAAAGTAGCCACCAACAAATTAACTGCTATTGCCATCTACTGGGGAGGACTGAGCTGATGACCTTTCTTTCTGGCCCAAGATTTCCTCTGCAGATAATTGGTGACTTCTGATCGTCTACATTCTGCCAATGGATGAAAAACTTTTTCTAAGTTTAAAAGAAACTTTTTTTTTTTTTTTTGAGACGGAATCTCTCTCTGTCACCCAGGCTGGAGTGCAGTGGTGTGACCTTGGCTCACTGCAACCTCTGCCTCCTGGGTTCAAGCAATTCTCCTGCCTCAGCCTCCCACAAAGCTGGGATTACAGGCACCCACCACGACACCTGGCTAATTTTTGTATTTTTTTAGTAGAGACAATGTTTCACCATGTTGGCCAGGCTGGTATCTAACTCCTGACCTCAGGTGATCCACCCACCTTGGCCTCCCAAGGTGCTGGGATTACAGGCGTGAGCCACCATGCCCAGCCTAAAAAAAGATTTAAATGAGCTTTTTATTTTGGAATAGTTTTAGATTTACAGTAAAGGATTTAATAGTTTTAGATTTAAAATACTAAAGCGGACCAGGTGCAGTGGCTCCTAGCACTTTGGGAAGCTAAGGCATGTGGATTGCTTGAGCCCAGGGGTTTGAGACCAGCCTGAGCAACATGGTGAAACCCAGTCTCTACAAAGAACTCAAAAACTAGCTGGGCATGTGGCAAGCACCTGTGGTCCTAGCTACTCGGGAGGCTGAGGTGGGAGGATTGCTTGAGCCTGGGCAGTGGAAGCTGCAGTGAACTGTGATCACACTATTGTACTCCAGCCTGGGTGACAGAGCAAGACCTTGTCTCAGTAAATAAATAAAAAATAATTTTCAATTTCTTTATAAAATTTTTTTTTAAATAATTTTAAATTTGTAAAGGTCATAAAGAGAATTCTCATATATCCTGTCCCCAGTTCCTCTACTGTTGGCTTCTTATATTAATATTACATTTATTATAACTAATGATTGACATATTCTTATTAACCATATAACTTTATCCAAATTTTATTATTTTTTTCCCTAATGTCCTTTTCATTTTCCAGGGTCCCACCCAGGATGCCACACTGAATGTAGTCCTCAAGTCTCCTGAGGCTCCCCTGGGCTGTGCCAGTTTCTCACACTGCCCTTGTTTTTGATGACCTCGACAGTTTTGAGGAGAACTGACCAACAGTTTCTGTAGAATGCCATTGAATTTGGGTTTGTCTGATGTTTTTCACCACGGGTTTTGGGGAGGAAGACCATTGAGTGCCATTCTCATCTCACCATGTCAGAGACACCTACTGTTATGGACTGAATATTTGTTTCCTGCTCAAATTCATATGTTGATATCTAAATCCTCAATAGGATAATATCTGGAGGTAGGGCCTCTGGGAGGTAATTAGGTCATGAAAATGGAGCCCTCATGAATAGAATTAGCACTGTTAAAATAAAAACTTTATTTTATTTTATTTATTTATTTTTAATTTATTATTTTTTTGAGATGGAGTCTCACTCTGTCGCCCAAGCTGGAGTGCAATGGCACGATCTCTTCTCATTCTCACTGCAACTTCTGCCTCCTGGGTTCAAGCGATTCTCCTGCCTTAGCCTCCTGAGTAGCTGGGATTACAGATGCACGCCACCACGCCCGACTAACTTTTGTATTTTAGTAGAGACCAGGATTTGCCATGTTGGCCAGGCTGGTCTCCAACTCCTGACCTCAAGTGATCTGCCCGCCTTGGCCTTCCAAAGTGCTAGGATTACAGGCGTTAGCCACCGCATCCAGCCTAAAGAAAAACTTAAGCTAAATTAAATTTAAAAGAGTTTACTGGAACAAGAACAATTCACGAATTGGCAGCTTCCTGAACCAGAGCAGGCTCAAGAAAGTCCAGCATAGCACGTGGTGGTAAAAGATTTATGGACAGAAAAAGTTAGGTGATGTACAGAAAACGGAAGTGAGGTACAGAAAACGGAAGTGAGGTACAGAAACAGCTAGATTGGTTACAGCTCTATGTTTGCCTTATTTGAACGGTTTAAACAGTTGGCCACTTTTGATTGGCCAAAACTCGGTGATTGGCACAAGAGTAGGGTATGGTCTGTTTACAACTCCATTTAGGTTATAGTTCACGATGTACAGAGGAATCTTTAGGCTGAACTTCAAAATAAGGCAGCTTTACGCTAACCTGGATTAAACAGTGCCATCAGAAGACAAGATATGAGAGAGCTTGCTTCCCTCTCTTTGCTCCCCACCACGTGAAGAGACAGTGGGAAGTCAGCAGCCTGCCACACAGTGGAGGGCCCTCGCTGGCCATGCTGGCATCCCGATCCCAGACTTCCAGCCTCTAAAACTTGAGAACAAAGGTTTGTGGTTTAAGTCCCTCAGTCTATGGTAATTTGTTAGAGTAGCCTGAACTAAGATGCCTACTATCAACATGACTTATCACTGAGTATCTTTACCTTGATCACCTGGCTAATGTAGTATTTGTCAGGTTTCTCGATAAATTTACTCCCCACCACTCTTCCATACTCTATTCTTTGGAAGCAAGTTACTAAGTGTAGCCCATACTTAAGGGGCAGAGAGCTGTGCTCCCAACTTCTTGCAGGGCAGTGTTTACATACATTACTTAGAATTTTTCTATATGGGAAATTTGTGCCTTCTTCCTAAAAGGGGGTTTTTCACTGAGACCCTGATCTAGCAATGTTGCAAAAATTGGCCACTTGACCTCAACAAGGTGACTGTATTCGTCTGTTTTCACACTGCTATGCAGACACACCGAAGACTGGGTAATTTATAATGGAAATAGGTTTAATTGACTCACAGTTCTGCATGGCTGGGAAGACCTCAGGAAACTTAGAATCATAGCAGAAGGAGGAGGAGAAAGTTACCTTTTTCACAGGGCAGCAGTAAGGAGAAGTGCTGAGCAGAAGGGGAAAAGCCCCTTATACAACCATCAGATCTCAGCTGGGTGCAGTGGCTCACGCCTGTCATCCCAGCACTTTGGGAGGCTGAGCCGGGTGGATCACTTGAGGTCAGGAGTTCAAGACCAGCCTGACCAACATGGTGAAACCCTGTCTCTACTAAAAATACAAACAGTTAGCTGGGCATGGTGGCAGGTGCCTGTAATCCCAGCTACTCGGGAGGCCAAGGCAGGAGAATCACTTGAGCCTGGGAGGCGGAGGTTGCAGTGAGCCAAGATTGTGCCACTGGACTCCAGGCTGGGTGACAAAGCAAGACTCCATCTAAAAAAAACAAACAGACAAACAAAAAACCATCAAATCTCATGAGAACTCACTCACTATTGCAAGAACAGCGTGGGGGTAGCCACCCCATGATTCAATTACTTCCCACTGGGTCTCTCCCCCAATACTTGGGGATTATGGGAACTACAATTCAAAATGAGATTTGGGTGGGTACACAGCCAAACCATATCAGCGACTGAATCATTTTCTGTCACTACTTGGCTTTTGAGAAATTTCCAGTTTTCTCTCCTGGGCTCCAGACCACTGAACGTTCTGTAGACCAACAATTCACACAGTGCTGGATGGAGGGCGAAGCTGGACCATGTTGGATCTATGGGCCAAATCCATTCATGTGACAAATGTCTAACTGTGCACCTACTATGTGCCAGGTGCTGTTCTAGGGGGTTATATAGCAGTGAGAAATTTCTTACTCCCACAAAGTTTACTTGATCTTGTTACTCAAGGACCAGCAGCATTGGAAATACCTGGAAGATGGTTAGATTCTCAGCTCCTCCCCAGACCTGCTGCATCAGAATCTGCATTTTAATAAGATGCTCAGGGGATTCATAGGCACATTGAAGTTTGAGAAGCACTGGGCTAAGAAGTATTTCACAAGCAGATAATTGAACACTAAATAAGTGTTGCAATCTTAAATAGTAAAGACAAAGGAATTTTATAAGTATATGTTGATCCTGGTGTATGATAGAATACCTTAAAAAATCAGTGGGGCTAATGAGAAAGTGAGCTTATATGTCCTGGTGTGGTCTGCATCTGATTAACCCCTGTGACCAGTTTGGAAGCTCAGCCTCAACTCTGTTTCTCCTCCCAACCATTTGAGAACAATCTAATGTCCTTTAACAAACCCCTTTCTGCCTATACTACCCAGAGTGGATGCTAAAGTTTGCAGGTAGGAAGCCTGATCAATACAGGGTTTGTAGCAGATCTGAAGATGCAGCAGCTGGGGGCAGGAGGTGAGGGACTTTAGGCCTTGACCAGGCCACAGGGAACAGGTCTCTGTGTCACTGGCCTCATGCTCAGGCAGCATCTGTGGCCAGCAGGATGTCCAGTGAGTGAAGGAGCTGAGGAGGAGAAGACTCCTTGTGTGAAGTTAGAGGCAGCATTGCTCACAAGACCACTCTTACTTCTGACACCAATTGCAAGTTCAGGAGTGGCCCAGACAACCCTTAAGTGTGAAAATGTGCCAGAAAGATTCACAGAACTCACTTAAAGTTGTTATACTCATGGTTATATTTTATTACAGCAAAAAGATACCAATTAAAATCAGCCAAGGGAAGAGCAACATAGGGCAGAGTCCAAGAAAGTTCTAACGCAGAGCTTCCAGCTGCCCTCTCTCCCTGGGGTCGTGGACAGCATCACTTTTCTAGCATTGATGTGTGACAATACACATGAAGTATTGCCAACTGGGGACACTCAGCCAAACCTTCTTTCCAAAATAAAAGCAATTATTTTAAGGTCCCCTTCCTAGGAATCTCATCAAATAGCTAGGAAAGATTAACCAGAGAAAAGACTTGGAGTAATCGCCACGCCCAGACTTCTTCATCTATCCTCTGAGTGCAGCTCAGAGATTACCGGGGAGACTTCATCTGCATAATAAGACAACCTTTGTGCATTGTGAAGTTCCGCCCCTCACCTTCCCACCACTTCCCACAGCACTCATAGGAACTTCCTTCCAGGCTATTGTTCTTTGGGCTCAGTCATTTCTCCTGAAAATCATCTGAAAAGCTCCAGAGTCTTTTGGGGCCTTGATCATGCCAATCTGGTTGGCTGCCCATGTGGCTGGGCTCAGTCTTCAGCATCTTCAGAGATTAAGCTGATATGATGTGAACAAAAGCCCTGCCGTGGCTCCCCTTGTTAGACTATCTGTTATGGACCAATGCCCCCAGGTAAACAAAGGCACTCTTACCAGGCAAGCATTCCAAGGGCTTAGAGATTACCTTCCAGGGGCCAAGGACAAAAGCCATGTCTCTCTTTGAGCAAGGTTAAATTCTTTACTATGTCCTGCTTCACTCCACTCTCATGATGCCATGTGGACCCCTTCAACATCCCTGTATACCCAGGCACCACCTCAAGAGAAGGGGAAAGTCTGGAAAGAAGAGAAAGTGAGCAAATGACAATCTGCTAAATTAACCAAAGAGTCAGAGTTATAGGATTTGATTTCTGGGCATTTATTCTACAATGTACCTCCACACGTATGAATTGGCATATGAATACAGGTATTCACTGAAACATTATTTATAAAAGCAAAAGTTTTAAAACAACCTGATGACCCATAAGTAGGAACTGGTTAAATAAATTGTATCTTTCACCAGGAGATCCTATGCATCTTTAAATAAGAATGAAGAAGTTGTTTTGTACATACACAAATGTGGAATATTATGTAGCTGTGTTAAATTTTAAAAATCAAATGCAGAAGATCTCTGTGTACTAATAGGAAAATATATTTTGGACTTTTCCAGTGAAAGAAGCAAAGTGCATTGGCCGTGCTAGCTCCTGCTTGACTTTCTAATCCCTGGGGCCCAATGCTGTACTTGGTTTTGGTTTTGTTTATTTTGTTTTCTTCTTCTGTCCTTTCCAAACACGCACACTTATTGGTTCTATTGTTTGCCTAACCCTTTGATACTATACCCAGCAGCTCTCATCTTTCCACCTATTCAGACCTGTGGCTGCCCCTGACCTTGTTACCTATATTGCCAAGACTTCTCCATGCTGCCTTCACTTACAGCACAATATGGACTATCCTGGCATGCTAGTGTCTTTTCTTCTAAGCTACATCTTGGGCTCTTAGAAAGAAATGCAGGCTAGGCATGGTGGCTCACACCTGTAATCCCAACACTTTGGGAGACCAAGGCAGGTAGATCACCTGAGGTCAGGAGTTTGAGACCAGCCTGGCCAACATGATAAAACCAAGTCTCTACTAAAAATACAAAAATTATCTGGGCATGGTGGCGGGCGCCTGTAATTCCAGCTACTCAGGCGGCTGAGGCTGGAGAATCACTTCAACCTGGGAGGCCGAGGTTGCAGTGAGCCGAGATCATGCCATTGCACTCCAGCTTGGGCAACAAGAGAGAAACTCCATCTCAAAAAAAATAAATAAAAAGAAAGAAGAAATGCAGCTGGGCATGGTGGCTCCTGCCTGTAATCTCAGCACTTTGGGAGGCTGAGGCCGGCGGATCACCTGAGCTCACAAGTTCAGGGCCTGCCTGGGCAACATGGCAGAACCCCATCTCTACAACAAATACCCACACACACAAAAATAGCTGGGCATGGTGGTGCATGCCTGTAGTCCCACTATGCTGGAGGCTGAGGTGGGAGGATGGCTTGAGTCCGGGAGGTGAAGGTTGTCGTTTGCCGAGATTGTGCCACTGCACTCCAGCCTGGGAGATAGAGCCAGACCTTGTCTCAAAGAAACAAAAACAAAAACAAAAAGCATGTCTTGAGACTGAATGGGTTCTGAGACCTTACCTGAGAGCCTCATTAGAAATATCATGTATTCCAATTTCTAGGCTGTTGCTGCTGCTCAGGCCATTCAGACAGAACTATGGTTTTGGTGATGGAAGGAGACCTCAACTGGCTATAGCCTGCCTGCCTTTTCCTCCAGTAATTTAATTCTCTTACCTACGCCTAGGCCCCAGGCTGGGGATGTGGAAAGTAGGATTGTCAGGAGATGAAAGGATTCTGTTAGAGATGATGAACTGTGCTTAGTTATGGAGACAAATTAAATCAGAATAGCGGCCTGGAAGACACCGGTGAGGCTAGAGGTCTTGATCAGGTTGAGGAGAGGAGAGGGGAAATCAGAGAAGGGCAGAAGGGAGGAACAGGTTGTAGTCAAGAGGAGGCGCTCCAAGGTGGCATCTTGGTTTTGTGTGAGAATGAGATCTACACAGCAATGAGTCTGTGGTCTCTTGAAGGTTCTTTGACAGTCCAGTTCTTCCGGTTATTGAGATCAGAACCTCCTGTCCCAAGGCCAGTCCTTCTCTACAGGTTGGAGCTGTCCAGGATACTCATATGTTTACAGTCAGATTTCAGGGCGTCAGAACCTGCTATGGGACTCTAGGGCCAGCTGTGTTGTCCTGTACTACCCCATCGAGATATAACACTGTTGGGGCTCGGAAAACAATACGCCAATATATGGCACATTGATATGCTGAACTAAAAAAGCAGACTCAAGGTCTCCCTCTGATCTTCCCTCACCTCCTTAGCTCTCTGATCCTCTTTCCTGAAGCACCAGAAGGGACTCTGTCTGGAATTTCCTTCTCTGAATAAGAAAACTTCTTTCCAAAAGAAATGCAATTATCTTAAGACCCCCTTCCTAGGAATCTCATCAAAAACCCAGGAAAGATTAACTGGAGAAAAGACTGGGAGTCAGGCCAGGCGCGGTGGCTCACGCCTGTAATCCCAGCACTTTGGGAGGCTGAGGCAGGCAGATCATGAGGTCAGGAGATCAAGACCAACCTGGCTAACATGGTGAAACCCTGCCTTTACTAAAAATGCAAAAAATTAGCTGGGCGTGGTGGCAGGCACCTGTAGTCCCAGCTACTCAGGAGGCTGAGTCAGGAGAATGGCGTGAACCCGGGAGGCGGAGCTTGCAGTGAGCTGAGATTGCACCACTGCACTCCAGCCTGAGCGACAGAGCTAGACTCTACCTCAAAAAAAAAAAAAAAGAAAGTAACAGCAAAAACCACAATTACTTTTGCAACACCGTCATACTTGTACTCACCTCTTTTCTTCAGGGTCTGCTTCTGGGGACACCAAGTATGACAGGTGATCTAATTGTGTCATCCATTGACCACCACCTGGTTATTCTCTGGGCACCCACGGAAGCTTAACCTGAACCCATCAATTTCCAAAATAATCCCGCCAAGAGCTCTTCCCAGCCTCATTTGACAGGAGAGGACACTGAGGCTTGGAGATACCTTGCCCAGGGACCCAAAACAGGTAGGCTGGAATCAATACTGGCTCTTTTCAGCACACCTATCACTCTTTTTATTTATTTATTTATTTTTATTGATCATTCTTGGGTGTTTCTCGCAGAGGGGGATTTGGCAGGGTCATAGGACAATAGTGGAGGGAAGGTCAGCAGATAAACAAGTGAACAAAGGTCTCTGGTTTTCCTAGGCAGAGGACCCTGCGGCCTTCCGCAGTGTTTGTGTCCCGGGGTACTTGAGATTAGGGAGTGGTGATGACTTTTAACGAGCATGCTGCCTTCAAGCATCTGTTTAACAAAGCACATCTTGCACCGCCCTTAATCCATTTAACCCTGGGTGGACACAGCACATGTTTCAGAGAGCACAGGGTTGGGGGTAAGGTCACAGATCAACAGGATCCCAAGGCAGAATAATTTTTCTTAGTACAGAACAAAATGAGAAGTCTCCCATGTCTACGTCTTTCTACACAGACACGGCAACCATCCAACCTCTCAATCTTTTCCCCCAACTTTCCCCCCTTTCTATTCCACAAAACCGCCATTGTCATCATGGCCCGTTCTCAATGAGCTGCTGGGCACACCTCCCAGACGGGGTGGCGGCTGGGCAGAGGGGCTCCTCACTTCCCAGTAGGGGCAGCCGGGCAGAGGCGCCCCTCACCTCCCCGACGGGGCGACTGGCCGGGCTGGGGGCTGACCCCCCCACCTCCCTCCCGGACGGGGCGGCTGGCCGGGCAGAGGGGCTCCTCACTTCCCAGTAGGGGCGGCCGGGCAGAGGCGCCCCTCACCTCCCGGACAGGGCGGCTGGCCGGGGGGGGGCTGACACCCCCACCTCCCTCCCGGACGGGGTGGCTGGCCGGGCAGAGGGGCTCCTCACTTCCCAGTAGGGGCGGCCAGGCAAAGGCGCCCCTCACCTCCCCGACGGGGCGGCTGGCCGGGCAGGGGGCTGACCCCCACCTCCCTCCCGGACGGGGCGGCTGGCCGGGCGGGGGGCTGACCCCCCCACCTCCCTCCCGGACGGGGCGGCTGGCCGGGCGGGGGGCTGACCCCCCCACCTCCCTCCTGGACGGGGTGGCTGCCTGGCGGAGACGCTCCTCACTTCCCAGACGGGGTGGCTGCCGGGTGGAGGGGCTCCTCACTTCTCAGACGGGGCGGTTGCCAGGCGGAGGGTCTCCTCACTTCTCAGACGGGGCGGCCGGGTAGAGGCACTCCTCACATCCCAGACGGGGCGGCGGGGCAGAGGCGCTCCCCACATCTCAGACGATGGGCGGCCGGGCAGAGACGCTCCTCACTTCCTAGATGGGATGGTGGCCGGGCAGAGACGCTCCTCATTTTCCAGACTGGGCAGCCAGGCAGAGGGGCTCCTCACATCCCAGACGATGGGCGGCTAGGCAGAGACGCTCCTCACTTCCCAGACGGGGTGGCGGCCGGGCAGAGGCTGCAATCTCGGCACTTTGGGGGGCCAAGGCAGGCGGCTGGGAGGTGTAGGTTGTAGCGAGCCGAGATCACGCCACTGCACTCCAGCCTGGGCACCATTGAGCGCTGAGTGAACCAGACTCCGTCTGCAATCCCGGCACCTCGGGAGGCCGAGGCTGGCGGATCACTCGCGGTTAGGAGCTGGAGACCAGCCCGGCCAACACAGCGAAACCCCGTCTCCACCAAAAAAAATACGAAAACCACGCAGGCGTGGCGGCGCGCGCCTGCAATTGCAGGCACTCGGCAGGCTGAGGCAGGAGAATCAGGCAGGGAGGTTGCAGTGAGCCGAGATGGCAGCAGTACAGTCCAGCTTCGGCTCGGCATCAGAGGGAGACCGTGGAAAGAGGGGAGAGGGAGAGGGAGACCGTGGGGAGAGGGAGAGGGAGAGGGAGAGGGAGACCGTGGGGAGAGGGAGAGGGAGAGGGAGAGGGAGAGGGAGAGGGAGAGGGAGAGGAAGTATCACTCTTAAAAGCAGGATCAGGAATGGAGCCCATGCTCCATGTATTTCTCCCCATGAGGACCCCAAAGCCTGGCAAATAGGAGGTGCTTAGTAAGCACACCCAGCCAATAAATATGGAATCCCCATTTGGCTAAATAAATCCTTCCACATAGATTACCCAATGCAGTCATTATAGCAGTCCCAGGAATTGACTACTATAATCATCATCATCATTTCATAGATGAGGACCCCAGGGGGAAAGTGACCTTCCCAAGGCCACATGGCTAGTACTGGATGAAGCCTGTGTCCTTTGCCAGTCGGTCATAGGGATGGATGGTGGCAAACAAATGAACAAAAATGGAGAGGAGAGAGGGCTTGAAGCCACAGCTTACCCTGCCACCAGCTGGGCGACAACACATCGTCCCATCTTGGAACACATCTCTGTCACACACAGGGTAAATGGGATTATTCCCTGTGAATTATCTGCTAGCCTGAAGCTCCATCCATCTGCTCATTAACACAATAAAAAAAATTATCAAACGAGTCTTCTGACTCCCAGTCCCTGGGAGCCCAACTACATAACTTGGAAATGACTCTTTATTAGTCTGATCAAAGGCTCATTGTTCAGTAATTAGAAATCACGGCCTCTCCCTCCAGGCTTGGGGCTCATAAACAACAGTTGGATGAGCTTTTTATTGGGGTTGGACCAAAAACTTAGACAGATCCATTTCCTCCTAATTTACACCTGCTTCAATGAGGGAAAAGCAGCGGGAGGCTGAGTTTTTGCTCCGGGAGATCATTGGCTCCCTTGGCTGTAGCAGGCAAGAAATGAGGGAGGGAGCGATGTCGAAGTGAGCCCCTGCCTGAGACAGGACAAGGGCCTTAGAGACGGAGCACCAGCGCCAGATCCAGGGCTACATGATGTACAGAATCCCTGGTTCTCTCATTGAGGCTCCCATAGCAGCGGCGATGAGAAAGGGGCCTTGGAGACCATAGATGTGGCTGACTATCCAAAGACCCCTGAGGTCAGAAGAGGGCAGGCAGTGATGAGGCTCAGCTAGAATACCAGGTGATTCCATCATCTCATCATTTAATAAATATTTATTGAGGACCTACTAAGTGCCAGCACTCTGCTAGGCATGGGGATCAGATGGCGAATAAAAAAATACAGTGCCTGCTTGTAAAGATATCCCAGGCCAGTCGGGGAGGGTGGTCCCTCCTGGAGGGGAAGCAAAGTCCAGACTCAGAGAGGGCATGCATGCACCTGGTGAAGAGGAGGAGGGTGGAGGCAGAGGCCAGGCACACCTCACCCCCGGAGCTGAGAGCAGAAATGTCTTCATTCTTCAAGAATCTCTGAGACGTGCTGCACAGCTGGAAATGCAACAAGCAGATCCAGCTGTGACCTCCAAGCTTCATCTTTCTTGTCCTCAAACTCTCATGTATTGGACATTGGCACCCAAGAACAGGAAGTCCTAGGAAAAACAGGACAGGACAGGATGGTAAAGAGCATCCTCTACTCCAAAAAGATGCATCTGCGATTGAAAGGGAGCCCACGTCTCACGAAACACAAGCTCTGCCAGAATCCAGGTCAGTGCATAAATTGCGAGTGTGCCTCAGTCCCCAAGCTCTCCGTAAAGCACAGCTCTTCCCAGCTACCTTCTCCAAGGTAGAGATCGATCTGTCATTCCCCGAGCTGCTGCTGCCCGGCAGGCCTCTAAGTGTCCTTTGCGTCACCTAAATTTTCTCTCTTTGGCAAATAATGAAAAATTGTGAACTGCTAGGGTGTACTCTCCTGCTCTTCTTACGTTTCCATCACCCAGAGGGGCAGGAATTCTGAACCGAAGGCCAAGTTCAGTTCTTTCCCACAGTGATCCATCCTTTGTTTTAGACGGTTAGACACATGGGCAGAGTTGACCTCAAAATTCTAATGAATATTATAATATATAATAAATCTAATTACTTTCCACATGTCAAACATTGAGCTAGAAGCTATCATACTTGCCCTCTAAATCATCACAAAAGCCCACTGACATTTCGGTTATGTCCCGTTTTACAGAGGAGAAAACTGAGGCCGATGGTATGAACTGTCACTCAATCTTTGCTTTGAACAACGATCTGTCTGACTACTTATAAATGCTCAAGAGCAGTTAAGTGCTGAGTATCTCAGAGCCCAAAAGGGCTTTCGACATTTGTTTTTTAGATAGAACAGTTGGCCAGTGTTTCTAGGTCCCTAATCATCCCCCCTGCCCTTCATTCCCTTTAATGGCTATTATTTTCTGTTGTTAACAATGTACCAGGCACAGCGCAGCATCCCCCTCCTGCTAATGAGTCCGCCAACCCAGTTCATCTCACCTCAAAAGATAACCTGAAAATTGGAAGCACAGATAGACCACAAAATGCTTGGTCAGAATAATAGTTTGAATAATGAAAATAGTTTTTCACTATTTCACTTGATATTAAAATAGTTTTTAAGTTAAGCTTTAAAAAGAACCTTAAGTTAATTTTTTTTTTCTTTTGAGATGGAGTCTTGCTCTGTCGCCCAGGCTGGAGTGCAGTGGCATGATCTCAGCTCACTGCAACCTCTGCCTCCCGTGTTCAAGCCATTCTCCTGCCTCAGCCTCCTAAGTAGCTGGGATTACAGGTGCGCACCACCATGCCCAGCTAATTTTTGTATTTTTAGTAGAGATGGGGTTTCACCATGTTGGCCAGGCTGGTCTCAAACTTTTGACCTCATGATCTGCCCGCCTTGGCCTCCCAAAGTGCTGGGGTTACAGGCATGAACCACCGCTCCTGGCCTAAAAAAAAATTTGTTTTAAGTTTTAAAAAAAAAGGGAAAGAAAGAAAACAGGTATGAGCACTAGTAATGCAACTGTGCAAAACAAACAAACTTAAAAAAAAAAACCCTTAAAACAAAAAGCACTAGAAGTACACCAAAATTCAAACTGTGCTTGTAGTGGAGCAATAGGTTTATGAATAATTTTTGTAAACATATATAGTGTTGGCTGTATATGGTGTCTCATGCCTGTAATCCCAGCACTTTGGGAGGCTGAGGTGAGCATATCACTTGAGGCCAGGAGTTTGAGACCAGCCTGGCCAGCATTGTGAAACCTTGTCTCTACCAAAAATACAAAAAAAAAAAAAAAAAATTAGCTGGGAGTGGTGGCGGGAGCCTGTAGTTCCAGCCACTCCAGAGGCTCAGGCTCAAGAATCTCTTGAACCTGGGAGGCAGAGGTTGCAGTAAGCCAAGATCGCACCACTGCACTCCAGCCTGGGTGACAGAGCCAGGCTCTGTCTCAAAAAAAAAAAAAAAAAGTATATATGGTTGTAGTACTTGTTTAAATGGGGAGGCATGCCAAACAGGTATTTATAATAAAGCTCTTCAACCTTAAAATTTAGAAGAAAAGCTTAAAACTTACAAATGACTTTCAGAACCTGACCTAATGCTACGTCTAGGACTTACAGTATTTTCTTTCTTTTTTTTTTCTTTCTTTTTTTTTTTTTTGACGGAGTGTTGCTCTGTTGCCCAGGCTGGAGTGCAGTGGCGTGATCTCGGCTCACTGCAACCTTCACCTCCTGGATTCAAGCAATTCTCCTGCCTCAGCCTCCTGAGTAGCTGGGATTACAGGCACCTGCCACCATGTCCAGCTAATTTTTGTATTTTTAATAGAGATGGGGTTTCACCATGTTGGCCAGGCTGGTCTCAAACTCCTGACCTCGTGATCTGCCCGCCCCAGCCTCCCAAAGTGCTGGGATTACAGGCGTGAGCCACTGCACCCGGCCCGCAGTATTTTCAAAACGAGCTGGTCTTGAGCTTCCCTCAGGCCCCTCATGGTAGGGATGGGATGTGGTGGTGGCATAGGGCTGTGTCAAATGCCACCTGCACCAGCAGAGGTGCCACTTCTGAAGGACATGTGGATGGCTTTGTGGCATATGGCAAGGCCCAGGAGCACCCGTCCTGCCCCTGGCCAGACTTTCCCAGCTGCAGGGCTGGGCTGGGTGTCACCCATGAATCATGGCCCCAAAGCTAGCATGCAAACCACCTCCTCCCTCACACATCCTCAGAGCCCCCCTGAACCCACCGACCTTATGGATCTGCAGCCCAAGGTCGTAGAGCTGAACACGCTTCAGCAGAGGAAGGGGGAAGCCTTCGGCCAACTTATCTAGAGGTTGAAGCACAACATTGAAAGAGATTGGTGAATAAATAATAATTAGAGACAGATTTTTACCGAAAATGTTCTCTGCAAACTCTATATTCAGTATATTCCCATTTAGTGATTTCCAAGACTATGAGGTAGGTGTGATTATTCTTTCCATTTTACAGATAAGGAAACTGAGGCACAGAGTGGCCAAGTAACTTGTTCTAGGTCACACAGGAAGTGTCAGAAAGGGGATTTAAACCCAGGGAGGCTGACTTGGGAGCCTAAGCTATCAGGCATGGTGCTGTCTGGAGGAAGCACACATTCATGATAAGATAAAGAACAGGGCGTTCCACTCCCTGCCCTTTGCCCGTCCTGTTCTCTGTTGCAGCCAAAAGAAGCAAAGCTTCATGGAAACAGGATTTAAGTTTTTTGCTTTCTTTTTTGACTAGGCAGTTGGGCAATTGACTGGGAGATGTGAGTTCAGAGGCGGCTGCCTTGTGCCTTCTATATTAACTTGGTCCTCAGTCTTTGACCTGCCTCTTCAGGATGTGGGGCACTTCCATGTGTCCCTCTGTCCCGCTTATAAGGAGGTTTCCCGTGCTCCAAAGAGCTGTCCCAGCCCCCAACCCTCATTAGAGCCCTGGAGGGAGATGAGGCCAACTTCAACGATCCCATGTCACAGGCAGGTCACTAAGCTCAGAGAGAAGTGACTTGCCCACGGTCATACAGCCCCCAGGAGAGCCCTGTTTTCCAAGTCCAACTCTCTTTCCTCCAGACAGCAGTGTTCACTTTTGACTTGGAAAAATCCACAGTGATTCTTACCATTGAACTTGGGGTAGAAGGTGTTAAGGATGTAATAGTTGAGGAGCGCTTCCAACAGCTCTGCCTGGAAGAGAACAGGAGAGATATATTTACATCGCCACAGGGCCACATGGTGGTTCTGTGTGTGCCAACATAGCAAAACGCTTGGGAAAAGCAAACTAGTATTACATCATGCTACTATTTTATAAGATAAAACTCTTTTGAGATGAACATTTGGTATGCAAGTGAATAGAAAAATTTTGGAAAGTTACACACCCGACAGTCTTTCCTCTAAAGGAAGAACATCAACATTTGACATGTCCTTAGCCTTATCTTTAGTATCGGTTTTATTTACAGTGAGAATGTTTTTCCTGAACTACCTACATAATTTAAAAAATTTAATAAAAACAAAATAAGCTTCTCTACCAAAATCATGAAACACAACTTCTAACCCCCACTATATGCCAAGCAGAGAGCTCAGAGCTTTACGTGCATGTCTGATTCAATCTTCACAACAACCCCTCAAAGTTCATATTAATGTCCCTATTCCATATATCGGGAAACTGAGGCCTACAGAATGAAAGGGACTTACTACAAACTGGGCAGCAGCATCAGGATTCGAATCTAAATGTATCTGAGTCTGTAGTTTTTGTTTTTACATTTCATGCTCTGAAAACCCGACAGGATGGATTTTTGTGAAACTTCTCACTTGAATGTTTTACTTTGCAGTAAACACGCACAGATACAATATGAGTGCACCATTATTCACTCCACCCTTTATTCTCTGAAAGGAGTTAGCTTCAGGGTCCCTGCATCTCTCCCCACCGCCTCTGTGTTTGTTTCCACTTCATAAGTGCTTCGGGAAAGTCTGGGAGGCAGGGCACAGGTGGAGGTGGTCAGTGGAGGCCAGCATCATGGAATGGTAAAAGAGAAGCCAACGACTACACATTAAAGTCTACCCAGCTCCTCCTTCCCTCTTTCCAGAAAGCTCTTCTCCATAACTTTGGCCCACACTGATTTTCACGTTCTCTTTCCTCCTTTTATTTGGGGCCGTCTACTTCACCACTTTTTCTACCTTGTGGAAATCACTTCTTGGATTTACCTGCTCAGCACTCAATCCCTCTTGTTTTGATAACGGAGTCTATTTTCCCCCAGGGAACAACCCTCCTTGCCAGTCTTGGTCCATGTGCTTTGGATGTAGCTGACTGCAAATCCTGCCTCCTGGAGTGTAGATGAGATCCATGCTGGGCTGACTTCTGGCCACAGTGCTTGGCTTAAGACTGGGTGCCTAAGATTAGTCCAATGAGAGCTAGCACAGAGATTTTGTGTGTGTGTGTGCAAATTTTTTAAAAAACTGAAACTGTAGGAAACTCTGGGGCTTGCTACCAATTGGAAGAGCCTGCCTGAGAGTGAAGCTAACACAAATGAAAACAGAACAGAGAGATGGAGAGAGATTCTTGATGCACTAATTAGAACACCTGGATCCAGCTATGCCTGAAACCTCTGGTCTTAGTTTTTTCGTTTATTTTTGCTTTTCAATTATATAATCCTATATATTTCTCCTCTTTGCTTAAGATGATTTCAATTGGCTTTCTGTCTCTTGCAGTTAAGAGAATTCTGTTCAGTAGATGACTTAATTATATATTGTTTTATACTAGGATATAACTGTTCCTTGGCCCTATGTCTTGTGTTTTCGAGACCTTTTACACTTCTGCAGGGCAAAAAATCAACTCTTCTCCTTTTGTATTTCCTATTATAGGTGCCATAGCAATTGCTTAGGAAACACCCCAAATTAATTAACATTCTAATCATGTCATCAATAAAAACAACTTACATTGAATAGTCCAACTTTGGATTCTTTCAGTTCCACTTTTACCCTGTAATGAATCAGAGAAGATTAAAAGGTGTGGGCTTTATGCAAGTTTAAGCAATGCGGGGGTCCCCAGAAGCGAGAAAGGATGGGCTTGAGAAGGCACAGGGCCAAAGGTAGGGCGGGAGCAGGAGTGGAAAAGATGACTGAGGAACTAAAAGCAGTGATACAATGACATCGGGAAGACTGTCACAGGGCAGATGAGATAGTGTCAAAAAGCTCACTCTTTATCATTTCAGGAAGTTCATATAGCTGGCTTCTAAAATTCATACATTAAGAAGTAACAGTCTTAGTGAATTCTTTAACAATTTGAGATTTGTGGGGGCAGGACCAGTGGGGCAGAAGAATTGGGCCAATTGGGGTGAAATGTAAGTGTCCTTTCCAAATGGTGGCCCCCCCTCCCACCAGCTACAGAGAAGCAGCTACAGCATACAGATGGAGTCCAGCTGGGCACCCCCATGTAGGTAGGAGGCCAACTTACTTTCCTGGCTTCAGGAACCCAGTGATCTTGCTGGTATTGAAGGTCAAGGTGGCGGACACATTAGTGGCCTGGAAATGCCAGAAGAAGGAAGCAGGTGTAAGTGATGAAGGTTGTATGTATAGGAAGGATGATGACGAGGGACCAACTGTCTCCTCTCAACAAACAGCTCAATGAGCTAAAGCAGGAAATTTGCCCACTAGATCATAGACTCCCAGAAGGCTCACTGTAGGTGCTCAAACAATATTTGAACTTGGACTTGAACATTTTTACTTGAAATTGTTGTTTATGTTAGCAGTTAAACTTTGAACAGACTACTAAGAGAAGGTATAGAGTACCTACCCTTGGAAAGCTCTAAAAAGGATCATTTCTAGTTATCTCAGGTCAAGATTCAGCCCTAGTAACAACATTAATAAATTATTATTATTGTTTTAGAGATGGAGTCTCTGTCTGTCGCCCAGCTGGAGTGCAGTGGTGCAATCATGGCTCACTGCAGCCTCAATCTCCTGGGCTCAAGCGATCCTCCCACATCAACCCCCTGAGTAGATAGGACTACAGGTGCATGCCACCAGGCCTGGCTATTTGTTTTTTCTTTTTTGTAGCAATGGAGTCTTGCTGTGTTGCCCAGGCTGCTCTCAAACTCCTGGCCTTGTGTGATTCTCCTGCCTTGACCTCCCAAAGTGCTGAGATTACAGATGTGAGCCACCACACCCAGACAGTAAATTATATTTTAATTTAAAATATATTAATAATGACACTTTTGATAACAATAACAACAATATTAAATTGCAGATATAGCCTCTAGGAAGAATTACCCTGGTAGAGATTTGACTTGTTGATTTCAAAAGTCAAGAAACAAGAGAGCAGAGTTCTCCATCCAGGGAGCAAGGCCCCCAAAGGACCCAACATCCCTTCCCTATTAGACAGAGTCCATCAAAAAAGGAAAACTGACTCTCAATGTTTAACGCAGAGGGAATTTAATACGGGGAATTGGTTATACAAGTGATGGAATTGTTGAGAAGCTAGTAAAGAGTTGGTGAGGCCACCCAGAGATTATCCAGAGACAGGAGGCTGTATCCACCCCAGGACTAGAGGAACAAAGAGTGGAGGTGGAATTATGGAAGTCACCATGAGGAGACATAGTCACAGCCAGAGCCTCTGCCGTGGTAAAGAAAGAGGAAATAGTACTCTGGCTTCATCCTTCCTCCCCGCCATCATTCTCCTGACAGTACCTCCCATTGGTTGACCTGGGTGGAAATCAAAGTGCAAAGAAGCTTGGGAAATGTAGTCTTCCAAGGTCAAAATAGACAAATAGACAAACACCAGTATACCTTTCTCCCCACAATAGCCCAGACTCACATAGTGAGAGATACATGCATTAAACAAATACACCTGCAGACAGCTACAAAGTATCTTTGTAGTAAACGCTGAGAAGAAAGATAATGGGGTGTTACAAGAAAAAGTGGCAAGGGGCGTAAGGTAGATTGGGGGTAAGGGCCAGCAAGAAAGCCCTCTCTCGGGAAGTAATATTTAAGTTGAGACCTGGAGGAATTACCCAGGTGGTGAGTGGGGAGAAAAGCATGTGGGGAAAAGGGAAAAGCATGTGGGGAAAAGGAAACAGCATTTGCAAAGGCTCTGAACCTTACCACACTGAGCCGGAAGACAGGCTCCTTGCTGGAGCTGGGCAGGAGCACAAAGGCATCTATCTCCATATAGGGGTCCACAGACAGATTCCCAGGGCTGAAGTTCAGGAGCGGAGCAGAGGGCACTGATCCCTGGAGTTCCAGGTTCATGTTGGGGTAGAGCCTGGCTAACTGGGAGCAGAATTAGGAGATTACATCAAGAGAAGAAAATATACAAGTCTGCCAGGAGAGGCCTGAGGGAGTCAGATAAAGCTGGAAGTTGCTTTCGATTGATTTTATTTCCAACAAAATTCTCTGTGCCTTTTTCTCCTAGTGGCAAAACTGGCCATCTCTCCATGTCAGACACAGAGTCTGCACCATCTATTTCACGGCTGTGTTGTATTTCGTTATGTATGGGTCCTGCGATGGATTAAACTCTATTGGGCATCAAGTTGTCTCCAGGGTTTTGCCATTATAATGACCACCTCCTGTGAGCACCCTTGGCTATTCTTTTCAGGAAAACATTCCTAGAGGTGGAGTTGCTGGGTTGAAGGACAGCAATGCTTTCTTTTTTTGTTTTGTTTTTTGAGATGGAGTTTTGCTCTTGTCACCCAGGCTGGAGTGCAATGGTGCCATCTCAGCTCACTGCAACCTCTGCCTCTGGGGTTCAAGCGATTCTCCTTCTGCAGCCTCCCAAGTAGCTGGGATTACAGGTGTGCACCACCACACCCGGCTAATTTTGTATTTTTAGTAGAGATGGGGTTTCACCATGTTGGCCAGGCTGGTCTTGAACTCCTGACCTCAGGTGATCTGCCCGCCTCAGCCTCCCAAAGTGCTGGGATTACGGGTGTGAGCCACCGCACCTGGCCAGCAATGCTTTTAAAACTTTCGGCAGGTATTGCCAAATTGTCCTCCAGAAAAGTTGGGCCCATTTTTTCTCCCTCCCTACCTCTCCCAAGGTTTCTCCATCCCCTCATCACATTCTGCTAATTGGGCATGCTGAGGTCAGATGCCAGTGTTTTCGAAATATGACACAGCTGGATCCCACCATTTCTTTTTTAAAAAAAATATTTAATTTTCTCGTATTACTCTTTTAATATGATATTCCACAGAACATTTCTTTCTTTCTTTCTTTCTTTTTTAACTTTTCTTTCTAAAATAGAGACAGGGTTTTGCTATGTTGTCCAGGTTGGTCTTGAACTCCTGGCCTCAAGCTACCCCCCCACTTTGGCCTCCCAGAGTGCTAGGATTATAGGTGTGAGCCACCACGACCAGCCCTAGATTCCACCATTTCAAAAGTGCTCTTAATTTTCTGTGTACTAGAGATAGGTACAGAGTTTAATTTGGGGCAAGACTCTTCCTTTTTAGGAGGCTATTCGTGGAAAAACAGCACTCCCATGAACCTTTTGGTTATGTATATGTAAAACCTACATCCTCTTCTAGAAGGGAGACATTTGGAAGGCTGAGGGGGTAAAATGCTTCACTAAGAAGGTAGGCAGAGTTGCTTTTCCAAGCATTTCAGATAAGAGATAGTGAACCTGTATATACATAGAATATCATCAGAAAGATATGTAAAATCTGGTAATATTGGCAAACTTGAGATGGGAACTGGGTGGTTAGGGAATAGGAGTGGATGTGAGACTTTCCACTCTATAACCTTCTAGATCTTTTGAATGTTGAACCTTGAGAATTTATTTCCCATTCAAAAACTAACATTTTTAATAATTTTTTTTGAGACAGGGTCTCACTCTGTTGCCCAGGCTGGAGTGCAGTGGTGCAATCACAGCTCACTGCAGCCTCAACCTCGCAGCCTCAGGTGATCTTCCCACCTCAGCCTCCCCAGTGGCTGGGACTACAGCTATGTGCCGCTACGCTTGGCTAATTTTTGTATTTTTTGTAGAGATGGGGTTTCGTCATGTTGCCCAGGCTGGTCTTGAACTCCTGGACTCAAGCAATCCACCCACCTTGGCCACCCACAATGCTGGGATTACAGGCATGAGCCACCATGCCTGGCCAAAAAATAATTTTTTAAAGAACCAAGAACATGCCTGGCACCTAGGAAGCCCCCTGTAATTGTTAGCTGCTGTTCATTAGGGTACATTTTATGGACTATGCCAGCATTCCTTGGGATTCTTAGATAACACCAATAAAAGATTGGACAAGCTGTGGTCCCACAAGATATGGGGCGTGGCCTCTGTTATTTAGGCTTTGAAAGGAGCAGCACCCCAGCCTTCAGTGGGAGTCTCATCCCGGCCTTCTCACTCTTGGTCAAGCTGAGAGATGCAGAGGTTTTAAAGAGAAACCTCTGGAGTCTAGTAGGCTCGGTCTGCACTCATGGGGAACTAAGGGACTCCTTACCCGTGGGACGAAGGGTCGGAAGGACTTGGTGGTCAGTCGGATATTAGAGTCAGGCGGTATCTGCAGCAAAGAGACATGAAGAAGTTTTAGGGTGCTCCCGCTGGAGCTGAAGGTCTAAAGAAGATTGGGGAGACAGGGGGATGTGCAAGACTGTCGCTTCTCCACAGCCTGGGTTACCCTGGCAGGGAGGAGATGCCTGTCCTGCATTCACCCAAGGAGAGCACATGGGACTTCAGCATCCTGCCCGCTCTCCCCGGGGGGCAGCTGATGTGTGGCTCCCACTCAGAGGGTCTGCGAGGGTGAGGTTTGCGGTCACACAGACTTCGGTTTGTGTCCTGACTTTGTGATCTCAGGCCAGCCCTTCCATCTCCCTGAACCTCAACTTCCTTATCCATAAAATGGGGATAACAATAGTCCCCACCTTCGAGTCACTGTGAGGCCTAAACGAACATCCTAGCACAAGGCCCAGCACATGGTGAGTGCTCCATAAAACGTAGCTATTATCATCCCATTGAAAGAGAGGCCCGTGCCGCAGTAGGATGGGTAAACCAAACACGATGCCAGAAGCGAAGGCCTGTGCAGGTGTAGGAGGCCATCAGAAGGACAAAATGACCCTCGATCTACCAGACGGCCCCTGACTTATACCAGGGTAAGCTGGACCGTCTGAGCCGAACCACACTGTTTCTCCCACCATCCTGACATTATTCATGAGGCCTCAACTTTTATGAAGTGCTTCAAGAAACAACTTTTTGAAACCCAGAAATATTAGATAAACTGGAGAACCATTAAAGGTGAGATCCACTGTAAAATTCAGTCTCCCTTATACAAAGCCACATTGGAAACAGTTGTTTTGGGGGTGTGAGGAAGACTGTCTCTCCTTTTCACCATGAATCATGAAATCATGTATCTTTTTCACTTTAGCTACAAGGAAGCTCCCCGACAGGTTTGAGATGTTAAAGAAATTAATTTAAGGGCTCAGTGTCTTTATAATTGTGCTTTATTTTCACTTGGTCTTTATTTCCTTTTCTCTGAAAATATATGCATTTATCAGTGCATGTATTATCTTGCCTCATTCACATATAAATATATATATATATATATATATATATATTTTTTTTTTTTTTTTTTTTTTGAGATGCAGTCTCACTCTGTTGCCCAGGCTGCAGTGAAGTAGTGAGATCACAGCTCACTGCAACCTCTGCCTCCTGGGCTCAAGCAATTCTCCTGCCTCAGCCTCCCATGTAGCTGGAACTACAGGCATGTGCCACCATGCCCAGCTAATTTTTGTATTTTTAGTAGAGATGAGGTTTTGCCATGTTGACCAGGCTGGTCTTGAACTCGTGACCTCAGGTGATCCGCCCACCTTGGCTTCCCAAAGTGCGAGGATTACAGGCATGAGCCACCTTGCCCGGCCTCATTCACTAAAATATTTTTTAATAAACCTCCAGAAATCATCAGGATGAGAGAAAATATGAATTAGACTAACAAGTCTAGACTAGTAAACAGGTCTAGAAAAGCAAAACACAGATAAGTAAGCTGCAAAGTCTTCCACAGTTGTTATAAGGGAGGAAGAGCTTTTTTTTTTTTTTTTTTTGAGACAGGGTCTCACTCTGTTGCTCAGACTGGAGTGCAGTGGCATGATCTTGGCTCACTGCAACCTCCACCTCCTGGGTTCAAGCGATTCTCCCACCTCAGCCTCCCAAGTAGCTGGGATTACAGGCGCACACCACCACACCTGGCTAATTTTTGTATTTTTAGTGGAGACAGGTTTTTGCCATGTTGGCCAGGCTGGTCTCAAGCTCCTGACCTCAAGTGATCCGCCCGCCTCAGGCTCCCAAAGTGCTGAGATTACAGGCGTGAGCCACCACACCCAGCCATGGGAGAAAGAACTTTGGCTTTGAGTTTCTTGGTTGCCAAAGTAAAAAGGGAGATTGTGCTAACATATTTTTCTTGGTGTTGATTTTTCTCTTAGCTATAACTCACTATTTGACTGATGTCAACAGGGGTGAAAAGGAAAGAAGGAAGGAGCGGTAGGTTATGTGTTCATTTGAGAGACCTGTTTGCCACCATCCTCACCATGTCATCTGTGATGGAGAAGTTCAGATATCCTTCCTCATGATAAACCAGGCTGGCCGTGTTGAAGACATAATCCGAGATGGCAAAGTAGACCATTTTGTTGTGTTCCTCAGGAAGGCTCATGACTGCAGCAAGGAGGGTAACTGGAGAACGGTGGTTACGATGAAAGATTTCACCCTGGAGAGGGAAATAGGGTCCAATTGGACTTTTCAAAGCCTATCGTGGGGCAGGGGCTAGGTATTCCCCTACACAGTCCGATGAAGGGACGCTGGCTGGAACACTGCCTGAAACTCCACCATTAAAGGCAGTGTTATGTCTTTTAATGAAAAGCTCACCAGAAGCTTTGCTACATTAACCCACAGGAAGTCCTGGCCAGCCCCTCTATATGCCCTAGGCCCATCTACACTCCCTAAGACCCGCTCTGATTGGCCTTTTCTGCATGATGGGCAAGGCAAAGTAGGGGAAGAAGGAGGAGGGAAGCGTTAAGACCTGAGAGGTGTAAGACAGCCGTGGGAGAATCCTAGCTCTGGAAACACTCCCCACCACTCCATATCACCCGGCCCTTGACAAAGCGGGAACCACTGGGAGGATGAGGACAGATCTGAAGTTGGGGGGACAGGTGGCCCAAAGAATGGCTGACCCTGAGGGAAAGCCTCACCCACGCAGCCCGGCCCCAGGACCCTCACCTTAAACATCACCTCCAGCATCTGGGCTGTTGCCCGAGGGGCTTCCACTAAGCTATAATCAATGTCGGCGAAACTGTCAATCTCTGTTGTAACTGTGAATGAGGACAGGGCAGAATTAGGGGCCAGATGACACTTTCAGCTGCTGGAGGAGGGGCAAGGGCTCTGGCTGACTCACATTCCCTGTGACTTTCTTCAGAATCCCCCTACTAGCCCGGCCCTGAGGCAAAGAATTGCTTCTTCAAGAAAGACACTACATGGATTCCCTTGGATGAGTTAACAATGGTGGGGGTGTATGCTCAGCCTAGGGCCTAAGCAGTTTCCAGACAAGCACACACACACACACACATACACACACACCATGAGTCCAGGCTTCACCTCTCCAGCCACACCTGGAGCTTAATGCTGAGCCAATAACCAGGAAGGTCAGGCATGGCATGTCCAGAGGGCCCAGACACTCCCCTCCAAAACCCTGAATGGATGAATGTTCCAAGTCCCAGTACCGGGTTGCCGACCTGGACCTCTGGTAAAGGTGATGTCAGCAAATAACCGCATAGGGGCTTAGGAGCTAAGGCATCAGAGAACATCTCAGATAATTTGCCAGGGTCTCCCCCTCCGAGCTTAATGTGTGCACCCTGGATCCAGAGACTCCACTTGTAGATGGCTCCTTGCAGCCCTGTTGGCAATAGCAAGGGACAGCAAAGCACCTAAATGTCCATCAGTGGGGGACTTATTAAATAAATGAAGACACATCCATGTGATGGAACACTACACGGCTGTTAACAAATAAGGTCTGTTACAACCACTTTGGAAAACTGTTTGGCAGGATCTTATAATGCTGAATCTGGGCATATCACATGATATGACGAGCTTGCAATTTCACTCCCAGATATATACCCAAAGACATGCGACCATAGGTACTAGGACATTTATAGCAGCACTACGGATAATGGCCTAAAACTGAACACCCCCCAGATGGCCTTCAACAGTAGAATGAACAAATAAATGGGGAAACATCTACATGGTGATATACTATGCAGCAAGGAGAATAAACCAGCTACACTACAGGTGCATGCAACAATATGCATGGACCTCATGTTTTATTTTATTTCATTTCTTTTTGAGATAGGATCTCACTCTGTGGCCCAGGCTGGAGTGCAGTGGCACAATTTCAGCCCACCGCTGCCTTGACCTCCTGGGCTCAAGCGATCCTCCCACCTTGGCCTCCCAAGTAGCTGGGACTACAGGCACACACCACTATGCCTGGCTAATTTTTGTATTTATTGTAGAGATGGGGTTTCGCTATGTTGCCCGGGCTGGCCTTGAACTCCTGAACTGAAGTGATACTCCCTCCTTGGCCTCCCAAAGTGCTGGGATTATAGGTGTGCACCACCAAGCCTGACCTGACCTCATATTTTATTTTGTTTATTTATTATTTATTATTTTTTTTCTTTGTTGAGACAGAGTCTTGTTCTGTTGCCCAGGCTGGAGTGCAGTAGCACAATCTCAACTCACCGCAAACTCCGCCTCCCAGGTTCAAGTGATTCTCCTGCCTCAGCCTCCCGAGTAGCTGGGATTACAGGCATCCACCACGGCACCTGGCTAATTTTTGTATTTTTAGTAGAGACGGGGTTTCACCATGTTGACTGGGCTGGTCTCGAACTCCTGACCTCAGGTAATCCACCCGCCTCGGCCTCCCTAAATGTTGGGATTACAGGCGTGAGCTCTCACGCCTGCAATCCCAGCACTTTGGGAGGCCGAGCGGGCGGATCACGAGGTCAGGAGATCAAGACCATCCTGGCTAACATGGTGAAACCCCGTCTCTACTAAAAATACAAAAAAAATTAGCCAGACGTGGTGGCGGGCGCCTGTAGTCCCAGCTACTCGCGAGGCTGAGACAGGAGAATGGCGTGAAATCGCGAGGCGAAGCTTGCAGTGAGCCGAGATTGCGCCACTGCACTCCAGCCTGGGCAACAGAGCGAGACTCCGTCTCACAAAAAAAAAAAAAAAAAAAAAGAAAACAAAAAATAAAGGCGTGAGCCACCGCGCCCAGCCCTGACCTCATATTTTAAAGTTGAACAAAGAAAGCCTTCTGGCTTTTGAAAAGAGACTCAAAATATTGTCTGATTCCATTCATGTGCAAAGTGCAAAACTAATCTTTGCTGGTAGAAGTTGGGATGGTGGTGACCCTGGAGGGCTGGGCAGTGACCGAGGGGGACACCAGGGGCTCTGAAAAACCAGCCGTGTTCTGTTTCTCGGTTGGGAGCTGGTTACATGCATGTAAAAACTCTTTAACAGCACACTTATGATTTGAGCACTTTTCTTTATAAATATACTTCAATAAAAAGTTTTTAAAAATGAAATCAAGCTGGCACAGTGGCTCGTGCCTGTCATCCCAGTACTTTGGGAGGCTGAGGTGGGCAGATCACTTGAGCCCAGGAGTTCGAGACCAGCCTGGGCAACATAAAGAAACCCTGTCTCTACAAAAAATACAAAAAGTAGCCGGGTGTGGTGGCATGCACCTGTAGTCCCAGCTACTCAGGTGGCTGAGGCAGGAGGATCACTTGAGCTCAAGAGTTTGAGGCTGCAGTGAGCCGAGATCACACCACTGCACTCCAGCCTGGGACACAGAGTGAGACCCCATCTCAAAAAAAAGAAATCTGGAACAATGCCTATACTATATGTATATGAACATATATATTTAAAATAATACATATACACATAGATTCATGAACAAAATAATACATACATGAATGTCTATTTATATGCTTACATGTATTTATATTTGTACATACAAAGAAAATATCTGAAAAGATACACCCAAAACAGAAGTTACTTCTTGGAAGAAAAGTGGGGGAGAAAAATGAACTTTTAATTTTTACTTTCTTTTTTTTTTTTTTTCTGTTGAGACAGAGTTTCGGTCTTTGTTGCCCAGGGTAGGGTGCAATGGCGTGATCTTGGCTCACTGCAACCTCCACCTTCTGGGTTCAATCAATTCTCCTGCCTCAGCCTCCCGAGTAGCTGGGATTACAGGCATGCGCCACCACGCCCGGCTAATTCTGTATTTTTAGTAGAGACAGGGTTTCACCATGTTGGCCAGGCTGGTCTCGAACTCCTGACCTCAGGTGATCCACCCGCCTCGGCCTCCCAGACTGCTGAGATTACAGGTGTGAGCCGCTGCGCCTGGCCCTTAATTTTTACTTTCTATATTTTTGCCCCATTTACTATTTTATAAGATATATATATGCTCTTATAGAAATTAACAGAAATAAAAGTGTCCCGGGATGGATGGGGTGTCCTACCTGGCAGAGTTTGGAGATAAGGCTGTAGATCGGAGGACACTGATTTCTGGATCATTTCGCAAATCTGAAAAACATGGGAAGAGAATGACTGAGTGAGTTCCCCAGCTCTGGTCTGGCCCCGTGCTGATCACTGCAGTCACATTATTCCACACATGTGCTCAGTGATCACTGATTTACAAATATTTATAAGTGCTTGTCATGAGCCAGGTACCAAGGAAATACAAACAATAAAACTATGTGGGCCCCCATGTGGACTCCACTAGGGTCCAGTTGGACTTTTCAGTCTGTCCCAGGGCTGGACACCTGAGCTAGGGAGTCACTGACACAGCCTGAGGAGGGGGCACTGGCTGGAGACAGTGCCTGAAACTCCACCATTACAAAGTTTTCCTTTGGGAGGTCCTGGCCTCTCAGAATTTAGAGTTTAATAGCAGAACTAGACACTAACTAGAAATAAACACAAATAAACATACAGTTAATGTAGATAGTTTTTTTGTTTTTTTTTTTTTTTGAGATGGAGTCTCGCCCTGTTGGCCAGGCTGGAGTGCAGTGTTGCGATCTCGGCTCACCCTCCTGGGTGAACCTCTGCCTCCTGGGTTCAAGCGATTCTCCTGCCTCAGCCTCCCAAGTAGCTGGGATCACAGGCATGTGCCACCACGCCCAGCTAATTGTTATATATTTAGTGGAGACGGGGTTTCACCATGTTGGCCAGGCTGGTCTTGAACTCCTGACCTCAGGCGATCCACCTGCCTTGGCCTCCCAAAGTGCTGGGATTACAGACGTGAGCCACCACATTCGGCCTGTAGATAGTTCTTAATGGTCATCCTGAACAGATTGGCTGGACTGATCAGTATTCCCCATTCCTGCTGGTACTCCTGGAAGACTGAATGCTGGGGTCTGTAGGCTACTCACACACAATTGCCACCAGTTGTGCGGCCTGCTTCTCAAGAGAAGGAAATGTGCATTTCCAAACTTGTTGGCTGTACTTGCCACTGTAATCACCCGAATTATTTATGATGCAGCCTTGGGATAGACTTTGAAAAGTCCAACTGGGCCCTACTGGAGTCCACATGAAAGCCTACCACCTGTTTGCTGTACTTGCTTTTGTAATTACTCGAATTATTTATTATGTACACTAATGCAATATCATTGAGAAAAGAGTTTTTTTTTTTGTTGTTGTTTGTTTTTTGAGACACAGTCTTGCTCTGTTATCTAGGCTAGAGTGCAATGGCACAATCTCAGCTCACTGCAACTTCTGCCTCCCAGGTTCAAGTGACTCTCCTACCTCAGCTTCCTAAGTAGCTGGGATTACAGGCATGTGCCACCACACCCTGCTAATTTTTGTAATTTTAGTAGAGACTGGGGTCTCACCATGTTGGCTAAGCTGGTCTAGAACTTCTGACCTCAAATGGTCCACCCCCATCGGCCTCCCAAAGTGCTGGGATTACAGGCATGAGCCACCATGCCCGGCCCCAGCTATAAGGGTTCTTTCTATGAAAACCTAAGATAAATACTCTGGAAAGGTGAGGTGCAAAAAAAACCAAAAAACCAAAAAAACGAAAAACAAAAAAACCCCTCTAAAAGCAAGATTAAATTTGGAACAGACAACAGAAAATCTTAGGAGGAAAAAAAATCATAAAGATCAAGAAGGATTCTACACTGGGATGGCTTTGCAAATGTCTTTAAATTCTCATTGCAGTTAAAGAAACCTGGGATGGAATTTGTAGCAGTTTAATGTTTTATGCAGGAAAGACCAAGGGCAATGTCAATCAAGAGACCATTTTCAAAGAATAGCTGTGGGCCTTCACTGACACAGCTCGAAGAGGGGGCACTGGAGACGCTGCCTGAAACTCCACCATTAAAACATTTGGGTTCATACGTCAATATTTTCTTTGTTGATGTGCGATGAGAAAGTCCTCACTTTAAACAGCTCTTTTTGTTAGCCAGCTACCACCTCTTGTGCAATGAATCCACATGTACAGTGAAGGAGAGGGACATGCAGAGCCCTGGCCTAGTGCAGGGGTCACAGATGGCTTCTGTGCTGAAGGGTAAGCAGGCACCATCCATCAGACGCTGGGTTGCTGATGGAAGGGTGACGCTGGGGGCTGGGAGGGCAAAGGGCTGTATCTTAACCTCTCTTTGCAGCTGCTCCATTTTCTGGGAGAGGAGTTTAGCAGCGATGAGCTGCCAGAAAGCAAGGTCAAGTGTGGTGAGGAACATTCGTGGTTGATTGCAAGGGAACCAAGAAACTCCATCCATCTCCCTGAAGACCGCTCCTTTCTTGCCTTTCCTTCAGACAGTAGCCCATCAGACCATCCCAAAAGCCTGGAGCCTGGATGCCCCAGTCTTTAGGGACCCGAAGGACTGGGCAGGGGAGGCATGGGATGCCTGAGTTGCAGACACACAGCAGGGCCTCCTGAGGATGCGACTGGGGTAGTGGTTAGGGGTGCAGCAGGAAAGCCAGGTAAATTTGGATTCAAATCCTGCCCAGTCCCCAATGGCTGTTTGACCTTTGCAGAACCTCTCTCTGCTTTTTGGTTCTCACTCACAAGATACAATGGCAAGGCCAAGTGCTTCCCAGGGTGTTTTTGTCAGTGGTGTTATAACTAGAGTGACTTCATCTAGAACAGGGGCAAAATGAGGCTGAGACCTGCTGGGCTGCGTTCCCAGGAGGTTAGGCATTCTTAGTCACCAGATGAGCTAGGAGGTCAGCAGGACTGGTATCACAAGATACAGGTCATAAAGACCCTGCTGATAAAACAGGATGCGGTAAAGAAGCTGGCCAAACCAATCAAAACCAAGATGGCGATGAGAGTGCCCTCTGGTCATCCTCACTGCTCATTATATGTTAATTATAATACATTGGCATGCTAAAAGACATGACCACCAGTGCCAAGACAGTTTACAAATGCCATGGCAATTTCCAAGTTACCCTATATGGTCTAAAAGGGGAAGGAACCCTCAGTTCTGGGAAGTCCTCGCCCCTTTCCAGGAAAACTCATGAATAATCCACCCCTTTAGCACAGACTCAAGAAATAACCACAAGTATACGCGACTGAGCAGCCCATGTTGCTGCTTAGCCTGTGGAGTAGCCATTCTTTTCCGTCATTACTTCTCTAATAAACTTGCTTTCACTTTATGAACTCACCCCAAATTCTTTCTTGCGTGAGATCCAAGAACACTCTCTTGAGGTTCTGGATCAGGACCCCTTTCTGGTAATATTTTGGGAAGTTGGGGATAGAGATAGTGAGTATATATCGCCCAGAGAGCAAGCATTCGTGAGTGCTTATTCTTCTCCTTAGCCTTGCTGGTCCAGGTACCACATCCCACCCTGAGTGGGGAATTAGAAAGGCCTGCGTCAGGCTCTTAGTTTTTCTGGAAGATAATTCGAAGATCTCTAAGGATCAGGGGTCAGGTGAGATCTCCATCTTTCCCAAGACACCTAGCCCTAGAAGGGCTTTGGTACAAGCTGCTCCACATTCTAGGAAGCTCCAATCCTGATTCAGCCTCTCACCAGCAAGGTGACACTGGGAAAGCTACTCCACCCCTCAGCCTCCTCTGTCCATGTGGAAAATGGCACCTCCTTCCAAGGTCGAGGTTAAGATCCAATGGGACTGGCTGGGTGTGGTGGCTTACGCCTGTAATCTCAGCACTTTGGGACACTGAGGTGAGCAGATCATGAGGTCAGGAGTTCAAGACCAGCCTGGCCAATATGGTGAAACCCCGTCTCTACTAAAAATACAAAAAATTAACTGGGCATGGTGGCACGTGCCTGTGGTCTCATATACTCGGGAGGCTGAGGCAGAAGAATTGCTTGAACCTGGGAGGTGGAGGTTGCAGTGAGCCAAGGTCGCGCCACTGCACTCCAGCCTGGGCGACAGAGTGAGACTCTGTCTCAATTAAAAAAAAAGAGAGATCCAGAGGGACTGTGCACGTGAACTGCTGAGCCCATTATCCCTGGCCAAGCTACAGGCTCAAGAAATAGCAGCCATTTTTGTTATAAATCAGAATAGTTATACAATAATATATTCTGTACAGCATTAATTATATACATTTATCAAAACAATAATTATGGTATGTGATTACTGTGATAATTATAATTGTGCTACATTACTATTGTTATGCACAGCAATATGGCAACAGGGTGCCTGAGTAGATTGGCATATTTCTCAGGGTCACTTAATCCCAGGGACCCAGAACCAGAAAAGAAAGAGCACAGCTGGCCACACCCAAAATGCGGGGTTTGCCTGCTGTTCCTGTTTCAACCACGAGGGGGCACTCAAAGCCAAACCAGAGGTTGGACCTACAGACGAGGGTGTGTGTGTGTGTGTGTGTGTGTGTGTGTGTGTGCGCGTGTGTGTGGTGTGGGGGGTGTGAGTGGGTGGTGTGTTTGTGTGTGTGTGGAGGGTGTGTGTGGTGTGTGCATGTAGGGGGTGTGGGTGGTCTGTGGGTGGTGTGTTTTGTGTGTGTAGGGTGTGTGTGGTGTGTGTGTAGGGGGTGCGTGTGGTGTGTGTGGGTGCTGTCTGTGTGTAGGGTGTGTGTGTGGGGTGTGTGTGTTTGTGTGGGGTATGGTATGTGTGTGGGGTGTGTTTGTGTGGGGTGTGGTATGTGCGTGTGTGTGGGGGGTGCTTGTGTGTAGGATGTGTGTGTGGTGTGTGTGTGCTGGGAGGGAGTGTGTGTGGGGTGTGGTGTGTGTGTGTTTGTGTGTGTGTTTTTTTCCCTTTCCTCCTCCATCACTTTCTCCCTTCCCACAGTCATTGCTACAGATACCATTTGGCTAATATCTCAGAAACGGGATTTTGGGATGAATGAGTGTTTAGAGGAACTGAAAGTTAACACGACATCTTTTTGATTTAGTCAAAGATGATACACTCTGAAGATTTCACATACTCCTTTTTAACAGGCCAGTCTGACAGTGTTGCTGCCTCCCCATCCAGGGCTGGTGCTCATGAGCTCGCCCAGTTCCCACCTGGCCCACGCCCTCGCTGAGCTTTCCTGCCTGGTCTCTTGCAGGCGCCTGAGGAATGGTTTCCTTTCGGACCTTGGTGGAATGCAGGGCAGTGTGGGGCACTGAGCAAGGTGGAGCAGAGGGAGGGGCTGGAGTCTCTGTTTAGCCCCTGCTGTTTAACCCTTGGTCAAGCAGTTGACCATTTTCTGCCCAACCGAACGGACTTGGAGCTTTGTCCCCAGCGTGCCCCACAACAGCTCCATGACCTGGGCAAATGATTTGTCCTCCCTGGGCTTTGGGCCCAAGTACGTCTAAACCAGCCCCCATGGCCTGGTCCAGGGCCATTGGTCAGTGAGGTCTTCCATTCAGCCCTCGCCAAGCTCGGGGGAGGCCAGAGGCTTGGACCTTCTTACCCTGCTCTCCAGTACTTTCTGGAACTTGGACTCAATCTGGTTGTGGAAGAGGTTCAACAGCCACCTGGGGAGAGAAGCACAGTCTGCCACTGAACTTGGGGATGGCCGGGTGCCTGGGAAAGCCAGGCCCTGGTCCCTGGTCAGGCCAGTCCACAAAGGGAGCCCTCTCCACCCCTTCCCGGCGCCCTGCTGTGTCCCAGCACATCCAGCCTGATTCGGTGTGTCTGGCTTCCCAGTGCCTGCGGCACCCAATCGCATGATCACATTCAGCAGATTTGGGGAAGCGGCTTGAGAATCCACATTTTTCTTTTCTTTTGCGGGGGGGTGGGGGACAGGATCTCACCTTGTCACCCAGGCTGGAGTGCAGTGGCACAATCTCAGCTCACTGCAACCTCTGTCGCCTGGCCTGAAGCCATCCTCCCAACTCAGCCCCTGAAGTAGCTGAGACTACAGGCATGTGCCATCATGCCTGGCTAATTTTTGTATTTTTTTGTGGAGACAGGTTTTACCACGTTGCCCAGGCTGGTCTTGAACTCCTGAGCTCAAGCGATTTTCTGCCTTGGCGTCTCAAATTGTTAGGATTACAGGCGTGAGCCACCACACCCGGTCACACTTTTCTAATCAAGGAAACTGAGACTAGAAGAGATGAAATGACTTGTCCAAGGACTTGTATGTTTTTCGCAAACTCTCCTTCAACCAAAGTTTCTGTGTTCCTCCAAATAGCCAGATTTCATTCACCTGACAAGGGTCCCCTTGTCAGGTGAATGAAAGTTTATTTTTTTAATGAAAATGATGCACCAATATTCCTGGCTTAAGTCTGTTCATCTCAACAGGGTTCCCCAGAGAATGATCTTCAAGTGCCTGTGCAAGCCACCTGGATCATTGCAATTATCGGAGGCCAGGCTGAGCGCTGGATTGGCCGGGAGCTGCAACCAGGAGTCCAGCTGGCAGTGCCCCGATGGAGACCTACCCCAAGTCTCCCGACATGTCCACCTCCACGTCAGCGATGTCACTGCTGCAGCTGGAGGCAGTAACTGTGGGCCTCCCGGAGGACTCGCTGCCCAACAGGAGGTTGACCGAAATGCTGATGCCCTTGACACTGACATCAAAGGAGCCCTGTAGTTTGCTGGAGGAGGTAAGAGAAGCCATGGTTAGTTCCTAGACCAGGGGTCTGCCACCATTTGTGGGGAAAATAGAAGGCTCAGTTCTGACCTCCAAATACATGGAGCTGAGCAGAGATTTAAGAATAACAAATAAAGCCATAAAAGATCTAGAAGAAAGCCCAGATCCAGTATTTCCAGGCAGGGCTGGATGAAGGCCTTTCTAGGCAATATCCAAGTCTCATAAGCCATAAAGGAAATCCTTGATAAACTTGTCGGCATAGAAAATTAAAACTTCAGTGGACAAAAAAAATGCCATATGTAAAGTAAAAAAAAAATTGCAGTATGAGACATCTAAAGAGCCAATTTCCTTAATATATGGGCTTATTTCCCTAATATACAAAGAACAAGCCAATATAAATTAACAAGGAAAGAAAGAACAACTCAAAAGAAAAAAAAAGATATGAACAGGAAATGCAGTACAAAATAAGCATGTAAAAGTCATTAAAAATGAAAATAACAATGACACCAGTTCTCGCCTATCAGATTCAAAAAAAACTTTTGAAGTTTTAGTACTCAATGCTATTGAATGTACGAGTAAACAGAAGTCCCAGACACTGTGGCTGGGAGAGTGCACATTGGCACAAGCTTTCTGAAACACAAATCAGTGAGATCTCTCCTCGTTCTAACATACATACTCTTTGGCCCAGTAATTTAACTTCTAAGCCTTTATCCCGTAGCTCTTCCTGCCAAGATATACGCGTGGTGTGGGGCAGCTCACTGAAGCATCATAGGCAGTAGCAAAAAAAAAAAAAAAAAAAAAAAAAAAAGGAAGCAGCCTACATGTCCGCTAGCAGCGACAGGTTGAATAAGCTGTGGGCACCCAATGTTATGCAGCCTTTGAGAACAATGGGGCAAAATGTGGTCTATTCCAGGAGTCTCCAACCCCAGTGGTGGTTGTCTGGAGCTGGGGGAAGGGAAATGGGGAATGATTGTTTAATGGGTAAGGAATTTTCTCTTGGGATGATGAAAATGTTTTGGAGTCAGATAGGGGTGGACATGGCACAAAATTGTGAATGTACTACATGCCACTGAATGTATACTTTCAAATAATCAATTTTATGTTCCGTGAATTTCCTATCAATTTTTAAAAGCACATTCAAAAAAGTGAAAAAAAATGAGGTAGATAGTCATATGCCCATAGAAAGAGATATTTAAGATACTTCAGTGACAAAAGCCAGGGTAAGAGAGTGTGGCCAGTTCCTTTCATGGAACTAGAACAAATGTGCATATGTAGGTAACATATAAACCAGCCGTCTTTCTAAAGCAATAGAATGAGAGCCACACATGTAATTTTAAATTTTCCAGAAGATACATTAAAAAGATAAAAAGAAAGAGCTGAAATTAATTTTAGTAATACATAGTATGATTTCAACATGTAATCAATATAAAAAATATTAATGAGATTTATTTATTTATAATAAATAATTTTAAAAATTAGCCAGGTGTGGTGGCTAATTTATTTTATTTAATTAACTAATTAATTAATTATTTTGAGATAGGGTCTCACTCTCTTGCCCAGACTGGAGTGCAGTGGCGTGATCTTGGCTCACCGCAACCTCCGCCTCCCAGGCTACAGCGGTTCTCCTGTCTCATCCTCCTAAGTAGCTGAGATTACAGGCATGCGCCACTACGCCCAGCTAATTTTTGTATTTTTAGTAGAGATGGGGTTTCACCATGTTGACCAAGCTGGTCTTGAACTCCTGACCTCAAATGATCCACCTGCCTCAGCCTCCCAAAGTGCTGGGATTACAGGCATGAGCCACCGTGCTCAGCTGCTGTTTTTTTGTTTGTTTGTTTGTTTTTTAATCCTAAATCTTCAAATCCAGTGTTGCATACTTAGAGTAGATCTCAACTTGTACCAGGCACTTTTCAAGTACTCAGTAAAGGCATGGCTGGTGGCTTCTATTTTAGGCAGTGCAGGTCTGAAGTATAAATATGGTCATATCACCCATATTTGGGCTGTTCCTTCTGCTATGGGCTGCTCTGTGTCACCACCTGCCTCCCAAATTCAGATGTTGAAGCTCTGATCCCCAGTACCTGAGAATGTCACAGTATTGGAGATAGGCCCTTTGAAGAGGTGATTACATTTAAATGAGGCCATTAGGGTGGGCCCTAATCCAATGTGACTAGTGTCTTTATAAAAAGAGATTAGGACATACAGAGAGAAACGGGGTTTCTTTCCTTTCTTTTTTCTTTTTTTTTTTTTTTAGAGATGGAGTCTCGCTCTGTCCCCCAGGCTGGAGTACAGTGGCATGATCTCAGCTCTGTGCAACCTCTGCCTCCAGGGTTCAAACGATTCTTCTGTCTAGCCTCCTGAGTAGTTGAGATTACAGGTACCTGCCACCACACCTGGCTAATTTTTAAATTTTTAATTTATTTTTCATTTTTAGTAGAGACTGATTTTTGCCATGTTGGCCAGGCTGGTCTTGAACTCCTGACCTCAAGTGATCTTCCCGCCTCAGCCTCCCAAAGTGCTGGGATTACAGGGGTGAGCCAACGTGCATGGCCTCAGAAATGGGATTTCTTGAGCACAGAGGAAAGACCACGTGAGGACATTGCCAAAGGGCAGCCATCTGCAAGCCAAAGAGAGTGGCCTCAGAAGAAACCAGGCCTGCCAAAACCTTGACCTTGGCCCTCAGCCTCCAGAACTGTGAGAAAACACATTTCTGCTTAAGCCACCCAGTCTATGCTTGTTATGGCAGCCCTAGCACATGAATACCCCTTCCATCCAAGTGCCTCTGAGGTCAGAGAACTGTTCAAAGTGCCTGAGAGCCAGAGCCCCTGGAAGCAGCCCTTGGCCAATGGCAAGCAGGAGGACGGGGTGACAGCGTGGGGCTGGAGTAACTCAGAGGCGTGTTCTCCGCTGTCCCTGAGTTCCCCAGCTAGACAGAGCTTCACTTGCCCACCAGGCTGACTTCCTTCCCTTCCCTTCCCTTCCTCACTTCCCCACTCCCCTGTGGGTTTCCTCAGATCGCTTCCAAGATAAAGTATTGCACTGGAATTCTTGCCCTAAAGTCTGCTTCTGTGGGAAGCAAACCAAGGAGACATGATATTACCGCACTTAGCCCTCCCATGACTCCATCAAGGAAGCAGGCCCGTCCCCTTTGGGAGATGAGGAAGTAGAGACTCAGAGACAGAAAGACACTCATCCAAGAGCCAGGACTCAATCCCCAGGCCACCTCCGGGCTTGGACTCCATCTGTCCATCACGTGGCCTTTCTGATAAGCTAGGAACACCTTGGACCTAAGAAGGATGGGGCGAAGGCCAAGGCCAAGAGCTCCAGGGCCTGGGAGCAGAGCCAACTTACAAGAATGACTTGCGCACCTTCCACCTGCCCTGGACCCGGATGGAGGAGTCGGAGATGCTGAGACTCAGGCCCTGGCCAGGGACAGGCCTCAGCGCAGAGTGAAGCAGCTCACAGCTGTGGATGTTCAGGCTGAAGGGAGAGACATGGAAGGAGGTGTCAGCCCTGGGCCTGGACCCAGCCTCACCAGGGACCTTGCGCCTCCCCTCTCCACAGTGGGGACTAGACCAGCAGGATCTGCTCCAGGTAAGCACCTGCTGTGCCCCAGGCATCGATCTTATGACCATGCTAAGCACGTTACTTTCTTCATGCCATATGGGCCACACTGAAGGGGTCAGCAGTGTTCTTGCTCCCTTTCCACAAAGGGGGAAATAGAACCTTGAGGAAGGGATGCAATTGCTCACGGTTTTGCAGTCTGCATCAGAACCCATGAATCTAATGACCCCCGGTGGCATCCTGAGAAGGTCCGTAGACATATCCCTTTGGGTTTGCAGTTCCTGCTAACCCTCCTCTCTCTCAATACATCCAGGTAGGGGGGAAACAGATTCAGGGAAGATGGTGGCAGCCTTAAGATAAGACCCCAAAAAAGTCAGCAAGGTTGTCACAGTGGGAAAAGAACGGTCAAGTTCTATTTTATTTGCCGGGCACATAGTAGGTGCCCAATAGATTTTTGCTGATGGACTGAATAAAAGAAGGCAGGAATGAAGGAAACGCCCAACAGCAGTGAGCAGGGAGGGGTACAATGTGCTACGAGTCTGATTGTCGTTTCTTCACTGCCCATCCCTCAAAAAGCAGTTCACGCTCTTTTAAAGCATCAGCTGCTCAAGTCTAGTAATCTTTTGAAGACTTGGCTCAAATGCCACCTTCTCCTGGAAGCCTTCCCTGACTCCCCCAAGTACAAACTTCAGCTCTAACCGTTGGGCTACTACATTTAAAGTGTAAGGTCTATCTTCTCTTCCAAACTATATCTAGTGGCCAGATTGGATCTTGGATGAGCACTCTGAAGGAGGAAGTAGATCAACTCCATTTTACAGATAAGGAAATCAAGGCTCAGATCACACAGCCAGTAGGTCTTCCTTAATATTTGCTGCGTGACTGAGTGGAGGAGCTCAATTCCTTCCCAGAATTTCCTTCTGAGCTCTTCAGGGAACTATCCCACTGTCTGCCCCGGAGAGGTCCCCCCACAGCCCAATCCTGAGGCTCTCTCTTCCTCACTCTCCAATTCCCCCTGACAGCCAGCTCCAGCCACTTCAGAGCCGCAGCAGAAGGGAGAGCCCCACCTGTGGAACTCATAGCGCCCACGGCCGACGTGGGGGATCCTCAAGTCCCCGGTGAAGTCAGGCAGCGTGATCCTGAGCAGCTCACTCTGCAGAGCTAATAGCCCCTCCTGGGCCGCTGTGGAAAGGAAATAGCTGGGAGTCAGCTTGATCTGCCTGCCTCCTCCCCTGCTCTAAACCCTACGGTGGCTCCCACCTGTCCTCAAGAGAGGGGCCAACATCCTTATTAGCATTAAGTACAATGACAGGATATGAGCCCCTCTGTGTGCCAGGTAGCATGAGGGACATTCAGAGGTGTCCCTGCATTTCTGTGGCATTGTTAGGTTCATGCCCATTTTACTGATGAGGAAATGGAATGCCTTTGCCAACAAATCCCCAAGGGCAAAAGTGCTGTGCGCTTGGACGGATAGTCCTCCTTCTTGTTCTCCATGACATCTGGCCTGTGTAGAAGAAACTGGAAGGATCTGGGGGCTAGAGAAAGAGGGCATCTTTCTAGCTGGGTGACTTTGACAAAGTCCCCAAACAACCTTCACTTTGTTCATCTGTCAAATAGCAATGACAACAATACATTTGCTGGGCGTGGTGGCTCACGCCTGTAATCCCAGCACTTTGGGAGGCCGAGGAGGGCAGATCACCTGAGGTCAGGAGTTCGAGACCAGCCTGGCCAATATGGTGAAACTTCATCTCTGCTAAAAAATACAAAAATTAGCCGGGCATGGTGGCAGGCACCTGTAGTCTCAGCTACTCAGGAGGCTGAGGCAGGAGAATCACTTGAACCCGGGAGGCAGAGATTGCAGTGAGCCGAGATCGCACTACCGCACTCTAGCCTGGGCGACAGAGTGAGACTCTGTCTCAAACAAAACAAAACAAAACAAAACTAAACTAAACTAAACTAAACTAAACTAAACTAAACTAAACTTTCCTCATTGGCATGCCATTGAAACTGCAAAGCAAGAAGGGGGCTGTGAGGATAACAAGCACTCCTAGCTTGGTGCCTGACACACAGCAGGCACTCAGTAAATGCCTGGAACAGCAAATAGGGTTTATATTATTAAAAATATGGAAAGGGGTCGGGCGCAGTGGCTCACGCCTGTAATCCCAGCACTTTGGGAGGCCGAGGCGGGTGGATCATCGAGACCATCCTGGCCAACATAGTGAAATCCTGTCTCTACTAAAAATACAAAAATTAGCTGGGCGTGGTAGCATGTGCCTGTAATCCCAGCTACTCGGGAGGCTGAGGCAGGAGAATCACTTGAACCAGGGAGTCGGAGGTTGCAGTGAGCTGAGATTGTGCCATTGCACTCCAGCCTGGCAACAGAGTGAGACTCCGTTTCAAAAAAAAAAAAAATATGGAAAGGACCAAAATGTCCAACCTCAGAGGACTGGTTACATAAACATGGTGTGTGTGCACAGTGCAAAGGAACAAAAGAGAAACTTCCCTGATTTACAGTTTCAATGCAAGTAGCAGTTACCAGGTCCCACTGTTCCGAGATCTGAGGGGCCCAGGTTTCTGTCCCCAAGGCAGACATGGGTACACAGATGACCAGCAGCCTCCCCTTTCACCTCTTTCCAATTTGCTCTTCTCCCTCTAGCAAACGCACATGTTGGGGTCCTTCCGCCTGGAACGCTACCCCTTGTCCCTGGGTAATTCCCACTGTCTTTTCCATTTTACTATATCCTGGAATCCTTCCCTGATTTCCCTCTGCCTGTCTCGAGCCAGTCTGGGCTCCCAACAACCCTATCTAAGGGAATGTTGTTATCTCATTTAATAGGTAAGGCAATTGAGGCTCTAGGGATGTGAGAAGACATGTGGTCAGTGCCTGTCCATATCCTTGAGTCTTTCCAGTGAGTGACAGTTGACTCCCAGCTGCCAATGTCTGCCTCCCTGAGCCTGTATGTCCCGAGGCTTTTTGTCCTGGAACTGCAGAAAGCAGGTACATGCAACAGGACAGAAGTGCTGGGGAGTTGACAAACCCCCGGCCCAGAAGCCCTCAATCAATCACTGTGGTGTATAAATATCCCAGTTCCCATGCCACCTGGATAGTCGGGAGGCTTTGTTTCAGTATTTAAAAAAAAATACTCCTACTTTTGCTCATTCTTTGTTTTATTTTTATTTATTTTTTTGAGACAGTCTCCCTCTGTTGCCCAGGCTGCAATGCAGCAGCATGATCTCGGCTCACTGCAACCTCTGCCTCCCGGGTTCAAGCGATTCTCCTGCCTCAGCCTCCCAAGTAGCTGGGATTACAGTTGGCTGCCACCAAGACTGGCTAATTTTTGTATTTTTAGGAGAGGCGAGGCTTCACCATGTTGGCCAGGCTTGCCTCGAACTCCTGGCCTGAAGCTATCCACCCACCTCGGCCTCCCAAAGTGCTGGGATTACAGGCGTGAGCCACTGTGCCTGGCCTGCCCATTCTTTAAAATTGAGGAATAATATACATAAAGTACCTAACGGGCACAAATTTTAAAGGTATTGCTAAATAATTTTTAATGTTTATACAGGAATGTGATCACCACCTGGATCAAGATATGGCAACTTCCAGCACCCCGGCAGACCTCCCTCATGCCCTTCAGGGTCTCTGCCTGCCTCTAGAGGTGACCACAATTCTGACTTCCAGTTCAGAGGCATGTGTTTCCAAACTTTACGCAGAATTTTCCCAGCTGAGTGGTTCCCATCATCAGAGGTGGTGGCTGGTTTAATTGCACACTCTCTCCTGGCTGCCCTCCCTTCCTCATCTCAGTACCGATTCCCTACAGTGTTTCCTGGAATCATTTCCCAAATCAACTACTTGCACGCAAAGCTGTGTTCTGTTGGCTGGTGGAGGACCTCACTACCACAAATAACATGCCCAGGGCACTCAGCTGGTGGGCAGTAAGGCCAGAATAGGAGCCAGAGCCACCTGACCCAGAAGGTGGCACTGCCCCAGGGAGAGGGTCCGGTCTGTGTCCCCACTCCCTGTCCCCACTGTACCCAGAGCAGCCTGGAGCGTGGGTTTGCCAAGTCCAGCCAGCAGATGTGGCTTCTTACCATACTGCAGTCCCTTGTCGGTGATCCTGGCGACCAAGCCGGGGTTGGCACCCAGAGCCTCTGGGGTGGACGTAAGCAGCAATGCCAGCAGTATGGACGGCAGGGCTCTGGCCAAGGCCCCCATCCTAGATTCCCAGTGCAGTGGGCCAGGACTGTCCCAGCTGTGGATTGGGCCCAGGTCCCTTAAGTAGCCAAGGCTCGATGGCTGGGGGCAGTTCCTGAGGCTGGATGGGTTCCTGGGAGCGGGAAGGGGAGGCACAGGGACTGGAACCTGCTTGCGACATCACTGAAGTCATAAGGTCATACTTAGAAGCCAGTTTTCACTGCCCAGATCAGTGGATGAGGAAGCCTGACTCCTATGATCATCCCTGTCCACCCTCCCCACAGAAAGACCCCATATTCATCACTGTTCATCTTGCCTCATCTCAGCCAGTCTCTTAAGAGCTCGGCTAGGAAGGCCTGGTTTAGCAGATGAGGAAACTGAGGTTCAAAAAAGCCACATAGCTCCCTTGAGATCTCACCCCCAGCAGAGGGCAGGGTTGAGAGTGAAGCTACATCTGGCACCAACCAAACTCTCTTTTTTAAAATATATTGGCTCGTTTATTTAAAAAATAAATGTTTCCCCCAATGGGAAAACAGTGTTTCTCAAACCTTGCTGGTGGTGAAATTTTCTGGAAGGCAATTGGCAAATGTTTAAACAGTTGCATGCCCTGTGACCCAGGAATTCAATTTCAGGGACTTGCCCTTAAATACATAATTGAGTCAGTGTGCCAGTAAATCACTGCTCCAAGATACCACTGCTATGCTGTGGGAAACAGGACAGGAGAAGTGAGACCCAACCTCATGTATCCACCAGAAGGGCATTGGTTAAATGAATTATGACATGCCCCTTAAAGTGAGGCTGCAGAAATAAAGGTATTTCTTGGCAAGGAAAGGGATGTCATGAGGCATCCGTTTCCGATGGCACCATAGAGTAAGGTTCTATTTTGGGGGGTTCAAAATAGGCTTCTATGTTCAACAATCTGGAAAATATTTAGCAAGGAGTCATGAGGCATTGTCTCTGGTTGTGGGGGTAGAATTATAAGTGTTAAAAAAGTTTTTGCTTGTTGATACGTACAATTTTTTTTTCTTTTTTCATTTTTTGAGACAAAGTCTACTCTGTTGCTCAAGCAGGAGTCCAGTGGCATGAACATCGCTCGCTGCAACCTCAACTTCCTGGGCTCAAGTGATCCTCCCACCACAGCCCCCTAAGTAGCTGGGACTACAGGTGTGAGCCACCATGTCCAGCTAATTTTTTGTATTTTAGTAGGGACGAGGTCTTGCTATGTTGCCCAGGCTGGTGTCGAACTCCTGAGCTCAAGTAAGCCTCCCGCTTGGCCTTCCAAAATACTGGGATTATAGACTTGGGCCACCATGCCCAGCCTCTAAAATTTTTATTTTCTTGGGGGTATGGTCCCGGGCATATATTCGCAGTAAGTAAAGATAGTAAAATTTCATTCTGGAAAACAAAATTTATAGTACAGACTGTGTTTAATTTTTAGAGTTTTGCCCCAGCCCTGCTTACATTTGTGAGTTCTGCTTTGCCCTCACCCCCAGGAAGCCTTCCCTGACCACTCCCATGCTTCTCTGGATTCTAGAAAGGGTCCCCTCTGAGGTCCCAGAACCCTTTGCGCTTTCCCCACCACAGCATTAACCACTCTGCTTTTTGATAATTGTGGTCCTTTAAAAATATGCCCACGAATTCTTTGATATTCCTTCCATCAAAAGGTAATGTTTCTGCCCCCTTCCCTTGAAATTGGGCAGGTTTTCATGATGGCCTCAACCAACTGAATGTGGTGGGATTAACAGGGTGACTCCCAATAGGTCACAAACAGCACTGGCAGGCACTGAGGTTAAGATCAGAATGTCCCACGTTAAGCACAGGGAACCCCACAGTCCAGGCCTCTCTGCTCCTCTGTACCGTGTTGCTCCTGTCACTGGGGCTGAGGTTTGTTGGGATCCTCATCCGTCCCTCCCCTCAGTCCCCACACCACCAGTCTGATGGCTCCTTGCAGGCACGGCTGAGTCTTCCATTTCCTGAGATCCTTGCAGCACCCAGCAGAAATTGGAAAGAAACTGATATTTATTGAGCACCTACTATGTGCAGGCGCTGTGCTGGTTAAGCTGCACGTCTCCTCTCATCCTTGCATCAGCAACCCCAGGTGGATATTTTAGTCTTGTCTTGAGATGAAGAAACTGAGGTTTGGCAGGGTGAAGTGATGTAGGCTGCAGTCACCCAGCAGGAATTTAAGTCCAGGTCTGCAGGATGCCATTCCAAAACTCTGGTCAGGGCAGGGTTCTCTTGGGAGGCAACAAGCTGAGCAGAGGCCTCAGGGTAAGGAGCCAGCCTTTGGGAGGCTTTGGAGCAGGAAAGGGCTCACAGGTGCATCCCCAGTGTGCCTAGGGGCCTTTGCTTCCTGGACCTCAGCCTGCCCAGGAGGGGAGGAGAGTGGGGGAGGACATTCTGGAGCATAAGGATCTTATGGGGACATAGATGTCACTCTTCCTCTGGCAGCAGTTTAAGGATGTCCCTGGCTGGGAGTCATTTGCAGGGGTGGGAATTTCCCACAGCAGCAATCTTTGGACCTTAGAGCTGCCACATGGCCCAGGCCTGGCCTCCACCCCTGCAGGTGCCCACTGCTGGCTAAGGTCCCTGCTGATGGCCCAGGACCCAGCAGAGGCCTCAGGGAGCAGCACGACCCCACTGCTGGTCAGAACCCCTGGGCCTTTCTCCTACCAGGCTGTCCATCCAATTCCACAAAAGCAACAGCTGCTACCACTCTGGCCACCACTCAGTCTTATTGCAGTGAAATAGGGACTCTTTTAACAAGGCTGTTTATTGTGTTCTTGTGCAGGAGAGGGCCCCCAGAAATGGCAGTGCATCAAATGATGGACAGGCGATCATAAAACTGTCCCTCTGACATGATAAGTGGCCACGAATGGCGCCAAGAGGGAGAGGAGTTCCCTAACAGATAGTTGACATCATCTGGAGCCAGCAAACCACAATTCCCTGGTAAGGTCGAGCAGAAGGGCAAATGTTGGAGTCTGACTTGTATATGACCTTTTTCTTGCGGCGACGGACCAGTAAGGGAAAATCACCCCAAGTGAGCATGCGCACAACCTTAGTAAACACACTGCGCATGCGGCCCCTCCCAAGTGCTGGCAGGCCATTGCGCATGCAGGGAGGGCGCAGCAGCCCACCGAAGGGAGGAATCAAGGAGGAGAAGAAACCCCAGAACCAAGCCAGTGTATAAAAGCCCCGAGCCAAAGGTTGAGCGGGGCACTTGATCTCTCAGTTGTACTTTGCTTCTTTCAATAAACCTTTGCCTCTGCTTTAAAACTTGCCTGCGTCTCTCAATTGAATTCTTTCCTCTGAGAAGACAAGGGCTGGGAGTGTTGCGGACTCGCCACCGATAATATTCTCACTACAAAAGTGTTACTGAAAAGATTTTGAAAAACCCAGAATTTGGAATCCATAGTGTCTAGAATACTGAGCAGCAAATAGTAGATAATTGCCAAAGGAATAAACAAACCTTATGTTTATCTTTATGGACTCTGGGGCCAGATGGCCTGGATTTGAATCCTGACTCCCCCACGGGGTGACTTTGGGCACTTTGTGACTCAGTTTCCTCATCTCTACTTGGGTTCAGCCAGAGGGTGGCATGGCAGGAGGTCAGATGTCAGGGCACTTTTCCCTGCTGTCTTCTCTAGATCACAAGTGTGGCAGTTGGCTGTGTCCCTCCTGATAAGGCCTTGTCCTTGGCTCCTATTATCTCCTTGGGCTGGGATACCCAGATGCTTTTCTTTGCTGCTTGAGCCTTAGGAAAAACAGTCCCTGGTTGGTTTCCTCAAGCTTGTCCCCCAACTCTAGAAATAGCCACTTTATTCAAATCCCAAGAACCAATGCAGTTGGATTCTCTTTTCTTGCCTGAACCCTGTTGGACACAATTAGCAACACTGAGCATTTCTTCTGCACTTATTCATCTTTTGTGCAAACGCCTGCCTCTCGCAGAGAGCTTTGAATCCTTTTCCAAAGTCTTACAGGTTTTTTGTCAAGGCCCTGCTCCTAATGGGCTGGGGGACCTGGAACAAACTCCACCCCTCTCTGTTCCTCATGTTTCCCCCAAATGCAGATGAGGGCTGGGGACTAGGACAGCTTTTCAGAAACAAAGACGTGCAGTCAAGTCCCCCAGGGATCTTGTTTAGATGCAAATCTTGATCCATCATGTTCCTCTTGGGGCTGAGCCTCTGCATTTTAACAAGCTCCCTGGTGAGGGTGATGCTGCTGACCACGGATTGTGCTTGGAGCTTCGGGAACAAGGGACTAAATGAGCTCCGAGTTCCCTCCAAGCTCAGCAGTTCTCTAATGCTTCACTCTCCTTTTCGATAGTTTTCTATGACGGTGCCCACACTCCTGAGAACACTGACTCTTGAAAGAGAATGATGTTATGAATTCCTGCAGTTCTGAATCTCTGCAGGGTACTTTGGAGTTGGGAGTTTAATATTTATGGCAGCCTCTCCCCAAGCCACATCACCTGCAGATCTGAATGTGTGCCTGTGTACGCACACGCACAGACACACACACATGAGCCCTGAGACATGCGGGCTTACAAAATAAAAGTAGTAACGTCAGTGACGATCCTTTGTGGCTTGAAGGTTGCGTGTCTTGAGATACCAGGAGCCCCCATGGAGCAGGGCTGGTCATGTGGATAAACAGCTCCTCACCCCAGAGAGCCCTTACTTTTACAGATGGGGAAACTGAGACCTAGAGAGGGAGAACTGGCCCAGGTTACACTGTGAGCCTATTGCTGAACTGGAGAGGATAAATCCAGAGTTCTGGCCAGCCAGGGGCTCTGATTCTTGGGGTCAGGCCCATTCAGGCAGACAGCCCTGGATCATACATTGAGAATCACTGGCATAAATGTTTTGAGTTATGCAGATGTGGGTTGAAATCCCAGATCATTTTTAAAATAAATACTTACTGATCACCAACTATGTGGCAGGCATTGGGAATACTACTGTAGCCAGATATAGTATTTTTTTTGTTTTTTTTTTTTTGAGACAGAGTCTCACTCCATCACCCAGGCTGGATGGAGTGCAGTGGTGTGATCTCAGCACACTGCAACCTCCGCCTTCTGGGTTCAAATGATACTCGTGCGTCAGCCTCCTGAGTAGCTGGGACTACAGGTGTGTGCCACCACGCCCGGCTAATTTTTGTGTTTTTAGTGGAGACTGGGTTTCGCCATGTTGCCCAGGCTGGTCTCGAACTCCTGGGCTCAAGTGATCCACCTGCCTCAGACTTCCAAAGTGCTGGGATTACAGGTCGTGAGCCACTGCACCTGGTCAGATATAGTCTTTACAGTATAGTAAGAAGAACTGCGTTTATTCAAATTAGAGCAAACTTGGATTACTGTTGTCAACCCCTGTACCACGGATTTGACATGTATTTGATTCTCATAACAACTTTATGAGGTAGGTACTATAATGATGTTCCCTTTATAGATGAGAAATAGAAAACCTGAGAATTAAGTATACTGCCCAAAGTCACACAGCTGGTAAATAGCAGACGTGGGATTTAAACCCAAGATATCTGGGATCATGGTTCATACTCTTAACCACTGTGCCATGACCCTATCAATCATACCTCTGATTCTTCCCAATAACCTCATGCCGAGAGGGCAAGATTTTAACTCTCCTTTTCAAAGGAGGAAATAGAGGGCCAGAGAGGTTAAGGAACATTTGCAAAGTCACACAGCTCTTGAGGGGGCCGGATTTATGTTTGAAACCACCGCCAGGTGACTCCAGAGCCCAGGCTCTGAACAGTTAGCTTAGCAGGCCACACGACTTTTCTAGAGACTCCTCATCTGAAAAACAAGGGCAACCTTGGCTACCTTTAGCGGTTGTCATGAGGATTAAATAGGATCATAAGCCTGAAGAGATAGACCCAGGGACAGGGCTGCTCATGGCCACTAGCGGGACATGGCAAAATGATGAAGACAGTGCTTAGTCTTCCTGTGCCCCTCCCCACCTTCTCTCCTTGCAGAGGGTACTCCTCCCTCATATTTATTTAATAAGTCAGCATTTCCAAAAGGAACCCCAGGAAGGCTGTGCTTATCCCAGAAGGGAAGCTGCTCTGATGGTGAGCTTTTAGGCAGTTTGGAGTGAACAATTCTTTTTTTTCTTCTTCAATTGTCTTTTGCCACTTTATTGACATATATTTCATATACATAAAATTCACCCATTTAAAGTGTACAATCCAGAATTTAATTTTAGAACATTTTCAACGTCACCCAAAGAAACCCCAAACACACATTTGCAGTCATCTGCAGCAGACAATGCTTAGCCTGAAGGGAGAAGCTGCTCAAATAGTGGTTCTGTAGCCAACTTGGCAGAACCTTTGGAGTGTGTTGGGGAATGCTGCTCAAACCCTAACCCCCAAGCAACTGCCTTTCCTCAGCCATTAGAGAGAAGTTCGCAGGCACAATGTGTTTCATGCACCAATCTTCAGGTCCAAGAAAGATTTAGGTTGATGGAAAAGTAATTATTTTTTTTGGCATTAAAAGTAACGGCCAAGACTGGATTCAGTGGCTCACACTTGTAATCCCAGCACTTTGGAAGGCCAAGGTGGGTGGATCACTTGAGGTCAGGAGTTGGAGACCACTCTGGCCAACATGGAGAAACCCTGTCTATATTTAAAAATATATGTACACAAAATATTAGCCGCGCGTACTGGTGTGAGACTGTAATCCCAGATACTTGGGAGGCTGAGGCAGGAGAACGGTTTGAATCCGGGAGGCAGAGGTTGCAGTGAGCCAAGATCACACCACTGCATTCCAGCCTGGGTGACAGAGCGAGACTCTGTCTCCAAAAAAAAAAAGTAATTGCGGTTTTTGCATTAAAAGTAATGGCAAAAACCGCAATTACTTTTGCACCAACCTAATAATTGCATTTTTTTTTTTTTTTCTATAGAGTGTGGAGCAGGGGGTGCCTATATGTTACAGAAAGTAGAGGGCAGGTGTAGAAGGGGGTTAACTCCAAAGAGAATGAGGGTGGGGGATGGCAGGTGTGTGTCCATATCTACCAGCTAGTCTCCCCAGCAGCCAGAGGGCTCTTTTACAAATGTGAATTGGATTGTAACATTCTTCTGCTCAAAACTCTCCAGTGGCTTGCCTTATCTTTTGGAACAAAACCTAGAGCCCTTAACAGTCCTCATGGCCTCCCAGTCTATCCCACGCTGTGCTTCCCTTCTCTCTCTTCCTTCCGCCCTTGCTAGCTGCTCTTCTGTTCTATTCAGGGCCTCCATAGCCCCTGGCTAGTGGAGAAAAAGATGCATACTACTGGTGGACAAATTAGAGAAAGACTTTTGTTTCCTCAACCTGGTACAACCTATGTTTTACAGTGTACAACCTATGCCACAGAACAAAGAAGTTCTGCTTTAAACGTGCCAAGTCCCCCAGAACAGACAACATTTTGACATCGGGGAGGAGCAAAAAAAGCATGGGCTCTGACATGTGGGAATAGATAAGGTGGGAATTCCAACTCTGCCACCTGCTGGCTATGTGATCAGGGAAGGGTAACTCAATTTAAAATGTTTGAACAGCTGGGCTCGGTGGCTCACCCCTGTAATCCCAGCGCTTTGGGAGACCCAGGCAGGTAGATGACCTGAGGTCAGGAGTTTGAGACCTGCCCGGCCAACATGATGAAACCTCATCTCTACTAAAAATACAAAAATTAGCCAGGCATGATGGCACATGCCTGTAGTCCCAGCTACTCAGGAGGCTGAGGCAGGAGAATCGCTTGAACTTGGGAGTCAGAGGTTGCAGTGAGCTGAGATCGTGCCACTGCACTCCAGCCTGGGTGACAGAGCAAGACTCTGTCTCAAAAACAAACAACCAAAAAAGTTTGAGCAATTGCCATCTTGGGGGATGAAGAATGCTATCAGGATTAAATTAGATCATTCATGCCCTTTGCTTGACTCCTGAGAGTGTTTGATCAATGGCCCTCCCTTCTTGTGTGGCCCTAGAGCCTTTAACTCCATTTGACAGAGAATCAATGATGTCAGCAGAAGTGTGTACATTTTTCTTTATAAATAAAATAAATACCTTTTATCTGCTTTTGCTCGCTACAAATGCTTCTCTTCAATTTTACCATCACCAATCTGGTTGAAGCTTGAATAACAACACATTCCTAATTTGTGCTCATCCCTTGCCCTCTTGTCCTTCTGATGCTTTCAGAAGTCACAATAAAACATTTTAAAAACTAAATCTGGTCATGTGGTCCCCCACTCCACCGTCTGCATCGAACTCCTCCAGTGTGTTGTTGCTCATCCTTATGGTCTCAGAGCACATGTCAGCAGTGTAGAAAGGCCTTCCAGGACTCCTCAATCAATCTGAAGTACAATCCATAAAACCCCATCTCATGGGCTGAGATAGCCCCCTCTGATGTCCCATGGCAGGAAATGGCCCAAAGCCCCCAAGGAAACTCCCCAGAATTCCAAAGACAGTCTGGGTTGGTGATCTGGCTTCCACACTAGAGCTGGGAGAGTCATGGGGAAGTGCTAATTGCACCCAAAGATGTGACTGAAGCAGAAAACCCCAATGGACTCTGTCACCTGGCCCATTGTTCTGCTTTTGGGGACAATGGCTGGGCAGGAGAACATGGATGAAACGGGGAGCCCAAGTGTGGGGCAGGGAAGGTGGGCTGTGCAGGCTAGCTTTTCAACAGCGACACCGTGTGGTAGTGACGGGAGCAACAGTCCTAGTGGACAGGTGACTACACAGGACAATGGGCTGTGCAGAATGACGGGTCAACAGCCACACCATGTGGTAGTGGAAAGAACAACAGCATAGTGGACTGACCCACTCTCCAGACCCTCTCTGTGTGACATTAGGAATTTGGACTAAGAAAATCACAAGGACATTTGGAACAATGAGACTTTCTGTTAATGGAGGCTGTGGGGATTCCAGAGATTAATTATAGAAATAAAAAGAGATGATTGTATCTGTGCTGTAAACTGGCACTGCCGGCCACATTGGTTACAGCCAATGAATAATAAATAAATGAACATAAAACAAGAAACAATACCAGCACACAGAATCCACATGAAAAAAACCAGAAGTTTTTTTTCATGAAGCACAAATGGAAATTTCTTGGTTACAATTGAAACACGATTCCTGGAGGAAATATCTCTGCAGCCTTAGCCCTTGAAAGAAGCTCATAATCCCTAAAATACACACCATGCACTTTTCCAATGAATAATGTTTCCTCGTGTTTAGATCATTTCTGAATCTGAGTCGAAGAAGTTTGCAAGGGGCTCTTGGTTAAGATCTGGAGAGGATTCCCTGGGGAAAGGCAGCCGGTGCCCCACAGCCCATCAGGAACAGGTGTGGCTGACAGCCCCCGGCACCCCTGGTGCCTTCATTTATAGACAACGTCTGCACCGAACAGCAGGAAGTTCTAGGGAGAGATGAGAATGTTGTCACCAGTTGAAGATGCACCCCTTGTTTGTGAGTGTGGAGCTACTGGAGTTTTAAGAAGGACATTTTGGGAGCCTGCCTCTTAGGAAGGAGAAAGGCAGGGCCAGTGGGGGTCACTCAGTGTTTCGCTGCCCGGATCTACACATCCACAGCTGCCAACATCTGCGAATCTGTCAGCAGCTTCCCTGGAAGCTGCCTCCTTCTTAGACACGGAGACCCCCCGGGCTGTTTTAGAGGCCTTCATTTGTCGTCCCTGCCTCATGGCAGCTCAAGGGAGTGCTTGTTCCAATCAAGGCTGCAAAACCACTTCTCTCTGCTTCTTTGTGTCCTTCACTCAGGATTTTTAGAAATGAAGAAATTAAATTGTGCCATGGGTCATTTTTTTTAAAACACGAACTTGGTAAAATGTGAGGAATATGCGGTATGTGTTTCCTCTGCACTCTTGGTTATTTTTCTACAGTCTCTCAGCCCCATTAATTAGCTCCCTGGTCTAAAGAATTGAGGATTGATGGCCTGGACATTGGGGGAAAGGGAGAGGGAGGGATCTGGGTGATGCGAGGCTCCCCAGGAGGGCCACAAGTTATCAGGAAAGCCTTTGACCAAGGTGAGAAATGCAAGCTGGGTGACGGTTTCGCTGCGGAGGTGACAGCTTTGTGGGGACATGCTGGGTTTAAGAGGCCTCAGGGTGGAGACATTGAGGGAGCCTGCGAATGCACAAGCTGAGAGTTTGGAAAAAATAAAAAGACTGGAAGCATGTCTGGGACATTGGGTGGCACGCAGGTGGCAGCTAAGCCTGAAGAGGTTGACAAGAGTGACGAAGGCTTGCCAATGGCGGGGGAAGAGAAGAGGCCTGGGGAGGGGTCCTGGAGATCTCCAGCTTGCAGAGAAGGGGCAGGAGAACAAGCAGAGGAGGTGGCAGGTAGACAACCAAGAGCTAGGGGAGTGCTGGAAACTAAGAGAAGAAAGCATGCCCAGGAAGCGCATCAGTGTCAAATGCAGACGGAAGTCAGCCTGGGCGAAAGCCACGAAGGAGACTTCTGTGCTGTGTCTAAATCTGCCAGACGTCGACCACATGTTATACCCCACAGTGCCTAGTATGATGCTGGGTGCAAAAGGTGTGCAACATATATTCGTTAAATATTTAAATGCACCTTAAAAAAGAGGCTCTTTGGCCCACAAATGCATTTCATTTTTGCCGAGTGTAGCGTGGGAACGATGCAGTGATGGTTCAAAGCCGGGAGCCTGGCTTTGAATCTGGACTTCATTTAACACTGTGTGGCTTTTCTGAACCTTGGTCTTTCTTTGTTTTTTAACAGCACCCACATCCCAGAGTTGTTGTAAGGGTAGAAGGCGCTTCACACAGGGCTTGGCATGCAGGAAGCATTGCAGCCATAGGCTGCTGTTGGTCACTATCGTTAGGGGAGATTTGTGGAAAAGACTCCGGGACTCACCTGGTGAGGCTGAAGCACTACGTTGTAGAGCTGGACTCTGGCCGGCGTCGGGAGAGGGAAGCCTTTCTGTAGTTTCTCTGTGACAGAGACCGATGGTGAGGACCAGGAGAAAAGAAAGAGAAGGGCAGGGGAGGAGGGAGGGCCAGAGAGCCTGGGTAGACAGCCTCCCTGAACCAGCATGCCTGGCCCTAGGTAGGGACTGGCATGGGCATACATGCCTGAAAGGAAGGCTGCCCCAGAGTCCGTACCTCCCACCTGTTGTCCATCAACCCCAAGTCCACTTCTAGCACCTGCGTGGACTCCATCCCCATGATGGCCCTCCTGAGGGTGCAGCACTGCTGGTATACACTAAACCAAAAATCTGCTGCTTGCAATGGTGTGACTAGAGCGTGGTGTGTAATAGGGGTATTTATGCATGTGAGCATGAAACCCCTCAACATTTAGGATAAAGCCAGAGGTGGACAGTGGCCAGGGCAAGCCCCCCACATACTGCCACATTCTGACACGGAACTTTGGAGAACTCTAAATTAGAACGTGGCCTCCCAGGTCATTACAAAGCTACATTTGTCAAGGTAGGAGGACAGATCCCAGGACTGATGTATCATATTTCATATGATAATTTGTTGGATTAATTGGTAAGTTCTAAATATCCTAGTCACAGGTTATATGGGCCTCTATTAGTACTTTTGCCCCTCACTCTCAAAGGTCAGGGGCCGGCCTGCCTGAAGCTCTTACCAGCGTGGTGATCTAAGCTCTGGGAGGGGTTATCAGGGAACCCCCTCATCCTGCTTCCAAAGTTGGAAAGAGACCATGGGCTTTGTTTTCACTGCTAGGATCAAACCCATGCCCCATCTCTTGCCTGCTCTGTGACCTAAGTCACTAAACCATTCTGTTCTTCCGCTTCCTGCCATAAAAGTTGGAGATGTTAATAATCCTTCATCTCATGGGGGTTTTGTAAGGACAAACTCACGCAATAATGAATCAACCCATGTGTAGTAAGTCAACTCATGTGAGTTCCTTTTTGTTGCATTCATTTCTGGGTCAGATGCCATTTGAAGTTCACTTGACATCACCACTGCCCAGCCCTCATACCTGGGGCCAGGTAACAGGTGGCTGTGGGTAATCAACCCCACCCTCTTCCCCCATGACTGAAAATGAATGGTTTCTTCAAAGTTCCTTACCGTTAACCCTGGGCAGCACAAGAATGGGTACAATGTAGTTCATGATATCCTGCAGCAATTCAACCTGGAAATCAGAGGGAGGATGGGAGGATGGCCCTGCATCGCCAGAACCTTGCGGGTCCAGCAGTCCTCATCACCCCACCTCTGTCACCCTCCTTTCCCCTAGCGCTGCTCAGCAACCGCGCAGTTGGGAAAACTGCTGAGAGGTGGACGCAAGTGATATGTGAATACTTGGCAGCCCAATCAAGGTCATGGAAGTGGTTTCTTTTGCTCCAATGGTTCCAGATGTAAAGCATGTTCTCAATTGTAAGGTGCAAGGCCTTACAACTCACGACAATCATGAGGAAGCTCATCAGAGAGTATTTAAATGGGAAAAGCTTAGCTTAAAAAATGAGTCCTCTCAGACACTGCAGTAAGAGGGCAAATCAAATCAACCTCTTTGACGGCTATTTGGCACAATGTTCTTCCAAAGCCTGTGTGTGCCTGGTTGGGCTTGGTGGTTCATGACTGTAACAGCAGTGCTTTGGGAGGCTGAGGCGAGAAGATCACTTGAGACCAGGAGGAGTTCAAGACCAGCCTGGGCAACACAGCAAGACCCGTGTGCCTTTTGGGCTAGCAAACATGCCTCTGAGGAATTTATCCTAAGGAAATAATGTAGGGTGTAGGAAAAAATGTGGATGCAAGAATGTTGACCAAAGCAACAAATTTATCCAAAACAATAAATTAAAAGCAATCTCCATGTCCAACAATAGGGGAATCACTTGGTGGAAAATGGTAATACTTTAATACAAGGAAATATTATGCAACTGTTAAGAATGATATTGTAGAAATGTAAGTAACAACACAGACATAACCATGATATGTTTTTGAGTGAGGAGAACCAGGCTATAGAAATCACATCATTCCATTTTTTAATTAAATAGGCATAGCAAAAGGTCAGGAAGGATATACTCCAAATTATTAACTAAGTGATGAAAATATGCATGGTTTTTATTTTCTTTCTTTTGCAAATCTGTAGGTTCTGATTGCCCTATAGTGCATATATTTTTCTTTGGCAATAATAAAAAAAATTAAAAATAGTGTAAAACCCTCAAGATGCTTGCCTGTAGTTGTGACATTTACAATTTGTAAATATATACATTTTTGTTTCTGGAACAACTGAGTCTCTTTTCCTGGCCTGTTATTCCCTGGCCTCACCAAATGCAGTGCCCTCCTTCCTATGAATCCTGGGAACTTAAAATTTCTAGTTTCTACAGAAGTAGAAATTAGTTATGGACTTAGTCAAGCCACCAAGAAAGCCTTGGAACCAGTAAGTCCATGAAAATACAGTGAGGTTGCATTTGGTCCTTTCATTTGGAATCTCATTTGGTAGAAATGGCTGGCTGGATTTTTATCAGATTTGAAGGGGACACTGGGACGGTATGACTTTGGGGTTGGAGGGCTTACAAGGCACTCACTTGGTGGGGAACTTGGGGGCATCTCGGGAATCTAAGGAAATGTTCTCCAGAGCAGCAGAAACTGGGATTCAACCAGAGCCCACCAGGAGATTCAGGTCAATGTAGCAAGACGCTGGACAGGATCAGCAGACTGCAGCTTCTGACGTTAGACACAGGGCAGGTGCTCTGTGTGGCTGGTGTTGAACAGCATGGGCGACTACTTACTACTAACAGGGGCAACTCGTCATCAATGCCCCTCGTGAGGGCAGTAGCGGCAAATCTACTTAATGATGAGCAGTGATTCCTGGGCAGGCGAACCACCTACTTGAGCTGGGTTTCTCCCTGCTCTTCCCTCTCCTACCAGCCCTTTCTCCATGTCAGTACGTAGCTCTGCCATTCATCCAACTGCTCCACCCAAAACCCTAGAAGTCACCTGGACAATCCTTTCCCTCACCACACAGCCATGAGGGAGGCTTCTGTGCTGTGTCTAAATCTGCCAGACATTGACCACATGTTATACCCCACTGTGCCTAGTATGGTGCTGGGTGCAAAAGAAGGTGTGCAAAATATTCATTAAATATTTAAATGCACTTTATAAAAGAGGCTCATATCTCTCACTAAGGTCTCTCTAAATCTACTTCCAAAATATATCTCCAATCCACCATCTTTCTCTTCTGCCTGGCTGAGTCCCAACCTCCAGCATCTCACGTGGACAAACACACCAGCCTCCTCAATGACCCCTTGTCTGTAATCTATCCCCCCACCCCAGCCAGGGGAAGCTTTTACAAAGGTATAAATAGACTCACAGCACTCCCTGCAGGGAAACAGCGCACCGGCTTCTCACTGCCTGTGCAACACAACAATCTCCCCTCCTCTAGCTCAGCCCGGAAGACCCTGGATGAGCTAGCCTGTGCTTGCCCCTCTGGCCACATCTCTTCCGATGCCCCCTACTTGCTCTGCTCCAGACACACAGGCTCCCTTCATTCCCCAAACGCACCAAGCTTGTCTCTACCACAGGGCTTTTGCCCCTGCTGTTTCCTCTGCTGGCTCCTTCTCCTCCTTCAGTCCAAACGTCACCTCCTCGGAGAGGCCCTCCCTGATCACATCTTCTGACTCTTCATTCTCCCTCATCACTTTCCGCCCATCCCCGCTTTGGTTTTTATAGCTTTGATTGTGACTGAAACGATCTTCTCTCTCTTTTTTTTTTTTTTTTTGAGACAAGATTTCACTCTGTCACACAGGCTGGAGTGCAGTGTAGCATGATCTTAGCTTGTGTAACCTGGAACTCCCGGGCTGAAGCCATCCTCCTGCCTCAGACTCCCAGGTATCTGGGACTACATGTGCATGCCACCACACCCACCTAATTTTTATTTTTTATAAGAGATGAGGTCTTGCTATGTTGCCCAGGCTGGTCTTGAAGTCCTAACCTCAAGCAGTCCTCCTGCTTCAGCCTCCCAAAGTGCTGGGATTATGGACATGAGCCACCATGCCTGGCCTTTCATTTCTTATTGTGCTGTCTTCCCACTGCCATGTAAGGCTCTGAGAAGGCATCACTTCCCTGTCTGATGCATCAGCCTACCCCATACTTGGAAGAGTACTTGGCACATAATAGGTGCTCAATAAAGTAATTCATTTGTTCATCCAACAAACATTTGTTGAGCAGATTTTCTCTACCAGATTGTGCATGTTTAATCCCATTTAAACCATACTACACTCACTCAGGTGGGGAAGGTCTGGAGTTCAGAAAAGGGAAGTGACTTGCCCAAGGCCTCACAGTTAGTAAGTATGGAGCAGGGATTCTGGCTCAGGTCCCTCTGCCCACGAAGCTCCTTGAACTATTAATTCACAACCAAATTAAATGCAAATGAGCCAGTAGCCTCTTAAATAATGCCTTGAGCCTATGACATGTCCCCCTCCCCGCCGCCAGGTCAGAAGGAGGAAGAAGCCACCAAGGGCCTCAGACTCACCGGGAAGGGGCCAATATTTGAGTGCTTCAGTTCCAGGAGCAGCCTGTGAGAGGGGGAGGAGGGGACTGAGACCACCAATTGCCTGACTAGCATGAGAACCCAGTCTCTAGAGAGGAGAGACCCACTCTGGTGGATACTGTCTGGTTTTCCCACCCAGTATCCACTCCCCTTCCACGGGTCACAGCCCCCCGATGTTGCCTTTGGAGAATTCACACATTCCCTGCATTGTTAGTGCCGTTGACCCCACACTGAGCTCTGGGCCATGCTGACCAAAGGGCATAGTCCACTTCTTCTGCTACAGTCATTGCTGCAAGGATGTACCTCTGACCTATGCTGGCCCAATGAAAGTCAGTCCCAGGACTTCTGCTGGGAATATTGGGAATAAGGTATTCTCTTTTCTCTGGGAAAATAAGGAAGCTCCTGGTGACTATTTTGCCACCACTTGGTGACAGCCTGCTGGGCAATGAAGCCAGCACAGAGGATAGCAAAGCCAAGAGATGGAGACAGATTCCTAAGGATATCATTTGAGCACCTGGGTCTTTCCTTGACTGAAAGCCTTGGATTTTTCAGTTACCTGAGCCAATATACTATTTTCCCTTTAAGGCCTTTATGACATTTTTAACAGTGATCTCAGAGGAAGGGGGGAACATATGGCTGTTTATTGAACCCCAACCATTCATTAGCTGTATTGGGCGCTCTATCCCACTGAATACCAGTAACATTACAAGAGGCAAGGGCCATTACTCTCATTTTTACAGATGAGGAAACATACTCAGAGATCAAACAATGGTCCAAGGTCACACAGCTAACAATTAGCAAAGCACGGTTTGCTTTTTTTTTTCTTCTTTGAGATGGGGTCTCACTAGCTCAGGCTAGAGTGTAGTCACAGCTGCACTACACAGCAAAATCACAGCTCACTGCAACCTCAACCTCCCTGGGCTCAGGTGATCCTCCCACCTCAGCCTCCCAGGTAGCTGGGATTACAGGGGTATGCCACCAAGCTCAGCTAATTTTTAAAAATTTTGTTGTAGAGACAGGGTCTCACTATGTTGCCCAGGCTATAATAAAGCAGAGTTTTGGCCAGGCACGGTGAATCATGCCTGTAATCCCAGCACTTTTGGGAGGCTGAGGCAGGCAGATCACTTGAAGTCAGGAGTTCAAGACTAGCCTGGCCAACATGGGAAACCATGTCTCTACTAAAAATACAAAAATTAGCCAGGTGTGGTGGTGCGCACCTGTAGTCCCAGCTACACGGGAGGCTGAGGCAGGAGAATTGCTTGAACCCGGGAGGCAGGGGTTGCAGTGAGCTGAGATCATGCCACTGCACACCAGCCTGGGTGACAGAGCAAAACTCTGTCTAAAAAAAAATAAATAAAATAAAGCAGGGTTTCGAACAGGGCTCCTTGAAGGCAAAGCCTTGGTTGTCTCCAACACTGTACAAAGCTTAAAAACTTGCCCTTGCTCCTCAAGAGTCAGTAGCCCCAGGATTTCTGCTCCGTGGATTCTCATACCCTATCCCCATCCCCTGCATATTCCAGAAAGCCTGTGCTCAGCCCACACCCAGCTGTATCCTCTCCAGCTCCTTTACTTTAGAGGCCCATGGGTGTTTAAGAGAAATTAAATCTATACGTTTCTGAAGCAGTAATGCTTGTCAACATGATGCCAGGAGAAATGAGTAGCACATAAACCTCTGGGGCTCGTCTCAAGGTGAAGAAGGACGACTTGGTGCCAGGGAGAGGGCGGGACTGGGCAGGGATGTGGGTCAAGGCGGCGTGAAAACAGCGCAAATGTGCTGAAGAGGCGGGTGCCAGGTCTAACTGCGGGGGGCCATCACATCTGCTTGCATATGGTGTCTCTTTCTCTCTGCCCCCCGACTCCCTCCCTCTGTTTCTCTGAGTGTCTCCCTCTTTCTCTACCTTTCCTTTTCTACATCTCTCCCCTCCCTTCCTTCCTTTGTGTCTGTCTCCTTCTCTGAGTGTCACTCTCTGTGTCTCTGTCTCTTTCTCTATGTCTGAAACTCCCTTTCTGTATTTCTTTTACTTTTAAAAATCTATTTGTTTATTTATTTATTTATTTATTTATTTAGAGACAGGGTCTTGCTCTGTTGCCCAAGCTGGAGTACAGTGGCTGGAACATGGCTCACTGCAGCCTTGACCTGCCAGGCTCAAGTGATCCTCCCACCTCAGCCTCTCGAGTAGCTGGGACCCCAGGCATGCACCACCATGCCTGGCTAATTAAAACAATTTTTTTTTTTTTGGTAGAGACGAGGTCTCACTATGTTGCCCCAGCTAGTCTTGAACTATTGGGCTCAGGCGATCCTCCCACCATGGCCTCCCAAGGTGCTGGGAGAGAGGCGTGAGCCACCATGCCTGGCCCTGTATTTCTCTCTTTCTGCATTTCTGTTTCTCTTTCCCTCTTGCATATTGAGTGTTTATTCTATCCCTGGAAGTGTTCTAAACACTTCAACACATATTAATACCTCATTTCAGCTCACAATAATGCTGTTGGCAAAGTAATTACTGGGCTTATTTTTTATTTTTTGAGACAGAGTCTCACTCTGTCTCCCAGGCTGGAGTGCAATGGGGCGATCTCGGCTCACTGCAACCTCCACCTCCCAGGTTCAAGCCATTCCCCTGCCTCAGCCTCTCCAGTAGCTGGGATTACAGGCACCTGACCATGCCCAGTTAATTTTTTATTTTTAATAGAGACAGGGTTTCACCATGTTGGCCAGACTGGTCTCAAACTCCTGACCTCAGTTGATCCACCTGCCTCAGCCTCCCACAGTGCTGGGATTACAGGCGTGAGCCACCGCGCCTGGCCTTACTGGGCTTATTTGACAGTCGGAGAACTGAAGTTGGCAGCGTTTTGGTGCTTGCCAAGGTGAGCCACACTTTTAACGCAGGCAGCCTCATGTTGGGGCCACACTCCTAACCACAAACTCCCTTGCTGGGACTCAAATCAGGGCCATGTGGATTCCAGAGTCTCCCAGCAGAGGATGGTGGTTAAAGTCCCAAGGATGGGGTGAGAAGAAGTTGAAGCGGGATCTCCTAGTGTCAAGGAAAGCCAGGGACGTGCAGTGGCTGCATGCTGTTGTGGTTCAGTGGGGATCATCAGCTGACGCCTCCCAGCCATGAGGACTGGCCATATCCCAGAACACAGGACTGTCACTGCTAGAACCGGGACATTTATGGGTAAGCTGAGATGGTTGGTCACCTACAATGTGTGACCTCGAGCAAGTCACTTTTTCTCTGAGCATGAGTTTCATGGTCTGCAAAATGGGGATACTGTGGCCATCGCACACTCTTTGAGGTTTTAATGTGATGAGCCAACAGGAAAACAACAATGCAGTGCTTCTGTATATCACAGGACCACTGTCATCCCACAGACACCAAGGACAGAGGGGCAGCCCCCTCCTCCTCTCACAGGCCCACTTACCTATCCAGCTTGAGCTCTCCAACAAGCCTGTTGGACTCGGCGCTGACCTCCATGGAACCAGTTGTGTGCTGCCAAAACAACAACCCAGGGTGAAGTGCCCTGACCCAGGCACCTGATTGCAAGGCCTCCAAACCAAGAAGGGTCAGCTTCACAACGGCTCAGCAGGGCAGCATACACTGTGGGGTCAGGCCCACAGAGCCAGAGGAGTGGGGAGACTTCCCTTGGCTTTGTGGCTGTTGAGTCCTAAACTGTCAATTTCCATTTTCTCTCTCTACTTCCAGGACCATTTCAGAGTTCTTGGGCCACTCTCGGAGAGGCTGCATAAGACAGGCCAGCCCCATTCTCACAATCCCTCATTCATTAATTCATTCAAAAAATATGAGAAGGAAGTCCCCGGTTCCCACCTCAGCTGTTCTGTGCAGTCTGTGTGGTCTTGGATGACCTCTTAGGACCTATTCTGTCTGCAAAGTGGGAATAACAGGTCTCAGCTTGGGAGACCCAGTAGACCTGCCTAAGGCCTCTAAGTGCTTCCTGGTGCAGAGAGTGTCTGAACCACACCCTCAGTGGCCATATGGGTGCCACCAAATCTTTGCGGAGTGATGGAGTGATCAAAGGGATGAATGCATAAATCAACAATGGAGTGAAAACTGAGGCAAATGAAGGATTAAAAAATATGTGAATTGAAGAATAACAAAGATATGCATGAATGAATAAATGATGGACGAATAAATGAACAAATATACAAATGAATGATCAATTGAACAAAGGTATAAGTAAATGAATAATTGAATAAATGAGTGCAAGTGGGAATCAGAAAATGTATAACATATTTCAAGTCAACAATCTAATAAATAACTGAATGAATTAATAATTGAATGAATGAACAAATACACAAATGCATAATTGAATGACTAAAGATATAAATGGATGAATTGGAACAGTACACATATTTCAAGCCAACATGGAATGAATAATTGAATGAATGAGAAATTGACTGAATGAATAATTGAATGAATAAGTAAACAAACGCACTAGTGAATGGCTGGGTGAATGAATACCTCCAGGAGTCGGCACCATTGAGTACAGTGACTCAAGCCTCAGGCTCCGGAGTGACACAGTCCAGGTTTGAATCCAGACAGGATTCACATGGTCTCCTGACTCCAAAGACAGTGCTGTTGGGACTGTCTGGGGCTCCTCATCTGTCCAACCCAGGAACTGCTTACCATGCCAATCAGGAAGAGGGAAGCCAGGGAGGAGTTGGGGAGGACGGCAAAGGCCTGGACATCCACGGCAGGGTAGAAGGTAAGGCCGGTGGGCTGCACAGACAGGTGTGGCGGGGTGGAGGCTGAGACATGGATCTGTATCTTCATGTTGGGAAACTTCTTGGCCACCTGCAGCCCCCAGTGGAGACAATCAACGAAAGGAGGAGTTTCTGTTAAAATGTTTCTGAATCCTACCTTGGCCTGCCCCTACTTAAATACCTTCAATGTCTTCCCATTGCTCTTAGAATAAATCCTAAGATTGCACAGTCTGCCAGCTGGCACCCTGCCAACCTCACCACATGTACCTCTGCCTCTTGTCTTCCATCTCTGGCCACATGGAACTCTTTCTGTGCCCCAAACTCAACAAGCTCTCTTGCCATCTAAAATCCTTTGCACTCTCTGTTCCCCATTGTTAGATACTTTTCCTCGCATTCTTCTCTCGGCTCTTTCCCTTCCTTCAGGTCTCTGCAGATGTTACTTTCTCAGACAGCAGTAGTGGCTTCAAGGGGGAACTAAGGAGGGCCTTTGTGACCTTCTTCCCCTTTCTCTTAGTCTCTGATCTTCCCCCAGGTAAACCCACAGTCTGAGTAAAAATAATGTGATTGTTATGCAAATGAAGCTTCAAGACAACACTCCTGGACACCCCTAGCAGCCACACCTCTCCCCCCAACCAGAGCTTCTCTGTATAGAAATTTCTGGGGTTTCACCACCAGAGACACTGCTATGAACAGAATGTGTCCTCCCAAATTCATATGTTGAAACCCTAATTCCCAGTGTGGCTGCATTTGGAGAAGGGCCTCTAACGAAGTAACTGAGGTTAAGTGAGTTCATAACAGTTGGGCCCTGATCTGATAGAATTAGTGTCCTTATAAGAAAAGACACCAGAGAGCTCTCTCCCACCCGCCACCATGCATGCATTGAGAAAAGGCCCTGTGAGGACACAAGAAGGAGGCAGTCTACAAGCCAGGAAGAGAGCCCTCACTAGAAACCAAATCTGCTGACACCTTAACCTTGAACTTCCAGTCTCGAGAGCTATGAGAAATAAATTCTGTTGTTTATGCCACCAGGTCTGTGGCATTTTGTTATGGTAGCCTGAGCAGATAAAGACAGAGGCGTCCTTGACCACCTTGTCTAAAGTAACCTCATCCACCTGTTGGTTTCACTGGTAACAGTCCACACTATTTTTGTTATTGTTTTGGATATCTGGATGATATTTTTCTCTCTCCACTGGTCTGGGAGCTCCAGGAGGGTAGGGAGGTGCCCTATTCTGCTGGGTTCCCAGCACAGGGCCCCAGGCACATGGTGGGCATTCAATAAGAATTTATTGCATGAAAGACCCTCCCTCCACCTCCTGCCAGCATCTACTCCCACACCTGGTCAACTGGGCGCTTGGAGCTTTTCTCTGTTCTGTGGATGAAGCTATTTCCACCCTTTCATGCTGGGTTGTTTCTGGATCTTGTGTGTGTTATGTTGGGTGGAGGGCTCTCATCATCCACTCAGCAAAGCCCTGTCCTCCCAGAACCCCCGGGGCTCACTAAAGGAAAGCAAGGTCTTCCATACCTCAGGTAGGAAGGTTCCAAAGAACTTGGTTGTCAGTCGAAATTTGGACTCCTTTGGAATCTGTAGCAAGAGATGAGAAAAGGATCTCGGAGGATGCTGTTACAGACGGAGCAGAGGGGGTGAGTTCTGTATCGGGGTGAGAGGCTGACTGCACACACAGACAGTGGCCAGCCCCTATGTGACAACAGAGCACTGACCCACAAATTCTGCAGCAACCAGCCTGGAAGCCAAACCACACCTTCTGCAGCAGTTGGCCCAGAATGGTCAGGAGCTGGTCAGTGACCGCCTGCTTGTTTTTTGCTCCTGAGAAAGCCCAATCTGCCTGCAAACCAATCTCATAGGATGCCCCATTTCCAGGAAGTCTGCCTCTGCCTTAGCATGGTGCTAGGACTGGATGACAGAATCTGACAAGTACTCATCAATGTAGCCCTTATGTTTCTTATTCATCACTTCCTACATTCAAAGCTCTGTGTTCGGTCCTCTCATAGACTAATATCTCATTTAATCAGGCATTACTATCTCATTGAATCCTCATGACACCCTTTGGAGAAAGCCAGTTATTGGTGTTTTACAGATGACAAAACAAGTTCTGAGAGGTACAGTAATTGACCTGGGTCACCCAGCTGGAGAGGGGTGGGGCCGATATTGGAACTCAGCTCTAGCTGACTCTAGAGTCAACACTTTAACCTACCCCAATGTGAGAAAAGCTTTTTCCAGATTTGTCTGGAAGGTCTGCAGGATTCTGGGTCCAGTGCTCTTCCCACACCCACCCAGAGCCCGGCCTTACCATGTCATCTCTAAGGGTCATCTTCAAGACCCCAGCCTCTTGGTATACAAGCCCGGCTGTGTTGAAGAAGTAGTCTGAGAGGCCCAGGTATACCATGCGGTCATGGGCAGCGGGAAACTCCATCACTGGTGGAGCAAAGGGAGGTGGATTGTGGTGGTTCTCACTGTAAAACTCCCCCTGGGGGTAGAGGCAACAGAGTGAGCCCAGATATTCTTCAGGAATTATAAGTCAACATCTCCATCCAGGAAAAAATGGACTGAAGACACCAATTGTACACTTGCAAAGGAAAAAGCAATGACCAGAAACTAACAGTAGCATCAAAAGCCTCCTGGGCATTACTTTCTAAGTGCCTTTCATGCCAGTCCTGGGAAGGCAGGTATAATTATGCTCATCTTATAGGAGAGGACACTGAGGCACAAGGAGGTGAAGTGACTTGCCCAAGGTCACACAGCTGGTAAGTGGCAGAGCCAGAAATTGAACCCAGGCCTCCAATGTCCAGTGAACGTTCTCCTAACCACTCCATTGTCTCAACCTCAACCTTGCTAGTAAGCACAGAAACCCTACGAAAAGAACAGTGAAATCCTGTTTGTTTCGTCGGTAAACTTAGCAAAATGGGAAAAGAGGAAAATTGTTTTGAGAGTCGTGTGTGCTTTAAACTGATGCTACCCAGTGTTTGGTGAGAGCACTCATAAGCTGTTAAGGTTGTTCTTTATGTTTCTGAAAAGCAATTTGGCAATATGTTGCAAAAGCAGATCATTTATTTAGCAAATAAATGTTGAGCTTAAAAAACCAAATTATAGATGGATACATATGGTAGGATACCACTTATGTAAAATTTAAAGGCCCATAAAAAGTATAAAAACACAGGCAAAAAGGACACACACCAACATCATCAACATGGTTCTGGGGTGGGGGGAGAGGCACCCAAGGGGGCCTCGTTAGTTATTTCTACAGTTTTTTAAATTTTTTTAAAAATCAGAAGGAAATATGACAAAATGGTAAGATCTCTTAAATCTGTGTGTTGGGTACTTGGAAGTGTATAGCATTCTCTGTACCTTAGAATTATTTTATTACTTAAAATTAACAAACATAACCTCCATATTATGGAATACATGCAACTCTTAATAATAATAAGATGGGCTGGGCACAGTGCTCACGCCTGTAATCCCAGCATTTTGGGAGGCCAAGGCAGGTGCATCACCTGAGGTCAGGAATTTGAGATTAGCCTGGCCAACACGGTGAAACCCCATCTCTACTAAAAATACAAAAAATTAGCCAGGCGTGGTGGCGGGAGCCTGTAATCCCAGTGACCGGAGGCTGAAGCAGGAGAATCGCCTGAACCTGGGAGGCAGAGGTTGCAATGAGTGGAGGTCGCGCCATTGCACTCCAGCCTGGGCAACAAGACAAAACTCCATCTCAAATAATAATAATAAAGATGGACCTATGTACTGACTAGGATTTATCTTTAATACATATTGTTAAGTGAGAAAAGCAAGTGGAAGAACAGTGTGTATCCATTCATGTAGAGCATCAGCAAAATCTAGATGGATTTTCTTATGCATTTATGTGAGTGCTTAGAACCAGGGACCTGGGAGGTTAACACACTCCATGGTTGTCAGTGATCAACTCTGGGCAGGAGCCCAGGAGATAAACAAGACCTTTCTTATTCACTGAGGATAATTACTTATTGTTTTAATCTTTTGGTCTGTTGTATCACTTAGATATATGTGGGTATTCATTTTTTTTTCTTAGTATGCCATTTGGTCTAGCAATTCCACTTCTAGGAAATACTCAAGGATAGACAGAGACACGATTGCAAGGATGATCACTGCAGCTTTGGTTACGTTTGTGGAAAAAAAAATGGAAAGCCCAAGTGTCCCAGGAGGGGGCACTGTCCTCGTACATTACCACAAGCTGTCCGCTGAAAATCCAAGCAGCCAGTAAAGGGCTGCAAGAGGACATTTCATGGATGGCAAAGATGTTCCTATGATACGTGTTGAGTTTTTAAAGTTGTAAAGCAGAATATATAATATGACACATGCAAAATATATGTCTGTGTGTATTTTGTTGTCTATATGTGAGTACATATGTGTGCATTTTTTCCTGTTTCTATATTGTGGGTTTTGTGTGTATTTGTTTTTGTATCTATATATGTGTACATTTGTTTCTGTCTCTCTCTCTCTCTCTCTCTGTGTGTGTGTGTGTGTGTATCTTCCTCTGTTTCTGCAAAGACAAGGGTTGGAGGGATCTACACTTATTTATTGATGATGCTTATCTCTAGGTTGTAGACTCGGGTAATTCTCTCTCTCTCTCTCTTTTTTTTCCTTCTTTCCTATATTTATTTCTGCATTCCTCTGCAGTTTCTAAAGTTTCTTTTTCACATTGAATGTGTTTTGAAGCAAACAAATAACTGTAAACAAACAAGCAAATCACCAATATGGAAGGACTGAAGGAGGCACAATCCAGGATGAATTTCAGAGTGGGACCCACTCTTGCTGGGGTGGTAGGGAAGGCTGCTCTGGGAGTGACAGCTGAGTGGAGATCCACATGGTACTATAAGAAGCCAGCGGGGTAGAGGTGGGCATTGGGAAGGAAAGGAGTACCAGGCAGGGGGAACAGCTAGGACAAATGCCCTGAGGTGAGAGGAAGCTTAACCTATTTGAGGAAGTGTAAGGCCAGTGTGTCTGGTTGGAGGGTGGTGAGTAAGGGAGGGAGCAGCATGAAATAAAACTCCATCTATCCATCCATCCATCCATCCACCCACCAATACATCCACCCAGCCATCCATCTACCCCCACCCATCTACCCACCCACCCATCCATTCATCCACCCACTCATCCGCCTACCCATCTATCCATGTATCCATCCATCCATCCATCCATCCATCCATCCATCCATCCATCCACCAATACACCCACCCACCCATCCACCTACCCGCCCACTCATCTACCCACCCTCCCATCCATTCATTCACCCACCCACCCACCTACCTTTACATCCGCCAATACACCCACCCACCAACACACCCACCTCCCATCTACTTACCCATCCACCTGTCTACCCACCCACCCATCCATCCACCCACCAACACACCCACCTCCCATCCACTTACCCATCCACCTGTCTACCCACCTACCCATCCATCCACCCACCCACCCACCCATCCACCTACCCATCCATCCATATATCCATCCACTAATCCATCCATCCATCCACCCATCCAACAAATAATTTATTGAGCACCTAGTATGTGCCAAGCATTGGTCTAGGTGCTGCACATGTGGTAGTGAACAAAATAGTCGCAGCCCCTTCTCCCTCATCATAGTGAGGGAGACAGACTAGAGACTCTGTGTGTGTGTGTGTGTGTGTGTGTGTGTGTGTGTGTATTGGTAATAAAGCAGGATGTGGGGGAAGAGGAGAGAGCTATTTCAGCGAGAGTGGTCTGGGAAGGTCTCTCTAGGGAGGGAATATTTGAGCAAAGACTTGAAGGAAGCAAGGGAGAGCTGTGTGGAAACCTGGGGGAGAGTACCCAGGCGGAGGAAAAAGCAAGGGCAAAGGCCTTTGGAGGGGGGTGGGGCAGGCATGGTGTGTTTCGGGGAATGGCGGGGAGGCCAGTGTGACTGGAGCAGGGAGAGGCGGGGAGAGTAGAGAGGGTGGTGGTGAGTCAGATAGGAAGTAGGGGACATTGTTAAGTTTGTTTCCAAGGACTGGGGAGCCCTGGAGTGTCTGAGACAGAGGTGTGAGGGTGTATGATTCTCAGTGTCAGCCTCACCTTCATCTGTACATCCAGGGTCTCAGCCGTGGTTGCTGGAGGTGCCACCAGACCATAGTTGATTCCAGCCACAGAATCTATTTTGGTCATTACTAGAGAGAAAGAAAATGGACCATGAGCTGGCTCCCACGGCAGCATCGCTGGAAGCTGAAATGCAGGATCAGAATCCCCTAAAATTGAATCAAGAGCTGCAGTGCAAGTTTCATTCCCACCTTCTCCAGGGAGCTCTCCTTAAGGGAGCTCGCCTTAAGGGAAAATGAACCCACACCCCACATTCACAGACACCCCCTTACTCTCTTCTTCCAACAGCCCTGAGATGAGTCGCTAAGACACAGGGTCAAGGGCACAGAGAGACCTAGGCTTGAACCAAACTCTGGATGACCTTGGACAAGTCCTTGCACTTCTCTGAGCACTTTTTGTCATTTGTAGAACAGAGAGAATCCTAGTGACCTCACAGATGCTGGGAGGGTTTTGAGAGGAGGTGGATGCCCAATGCCCTGTCCATGCAGAGGCTCAGAAGCCAGAGAGGATCATTGTTAGGATCATTGATAATAGACAAGGCTAAGCCCTGGCTGGCTCAAGTCTGGAGAGTTTCTCTGTTTCCCAGTAGTAATCAATGAGAATTAAATAAATATCCCTTTTCTCAGTTAGCAGGGAAGAAACCAAGGCTCAGAAATCCAAGTTGTTCAATGGTTGGTGAGTGATGAAGCTGGCATTCAGACCAAAATCTTTTTCCTGCCTCTTGAGGCCAAACCTTGGGCACTGCAGCTGCATTGAACCTGCCCAGGATGGGCTCCTGTTCTGGAGGAAGAAAATGCCTCTTAAATGGGCATATACTATGTGCCAACCATGCCAGGCTTTACAGCAAGGTAGTCCTGAGAGCAGCTGAAAGCCCAGGCTCTGGAGTGAAGGAAATCTTAGCTCCAGATTTGTATCTTTCTTCTGCCTCTTGATGGCTTCATGACTCTGGACAAGTCTCACCTACTCTCTGAGCCTCAGGTTCCTCATGTGTTTTTTGTTTTGTTTTGTTTTTTGTTTTTGAGACAGAGTCTTGCTCTGTCACCCAGGCTGGAGTGCAGTGGCATGATCTTGGCTCACTGCAACCTCCGCCTCCTGGGTTCAAGTGATTCTCCTGCCTCAGCCTCCTAAGTAGCTGGGATTACAGGCACCTGCCATGATGCCTGGCAAATTTTTGTATTTTTAGTAGGGACAGGGTTTCTCCATGTTGGCCAAGCTGGTCTTGAACTCCTGACCTCAGGTGGTCCGCCTGCCTTGGCCTTCCAAAGTGCTGGGATTACAGGTGTGACCCCGGCCAGGTTACTCCTGTGTAAAACGGGGAGAATAATGCCTCTCTCAGGGGAGTGTTGGGAGGCTGAGAGCGGACAATTTCCTGAGTGCCTGCCACAGTTCTTTGCAGCTTGCCAAGTACTTGGGGGTGAAGATTACTGTCCCCATTTTAAGGACATGGAAACTGAGATCCAAAAAGAAGTGACCAATATCAGATCTCAGGCCAGTCATGTGTCTCTGGCCTCAGAGAGCTGGGGGTATTTTGTTGTTTGGCCCTTGCAGAGCTGAGGGAATGAGGTAGTATGGGCTGTTTGTCCTCCTCACTTCTGGACCTAGCACAAGGACTTGACCCAATGCTAGCTGCCTCTTGAAAATAATGTACTACTCTGCTCATTCCCACCCAGGCCCAGGGCTGTCTGGGAAACTTGCCGGCCCCATCACATCCACCCTGACGTCCTCACCCCCTCCCATTTCTGTTCCTTTCTATCCTTGATCTTCATCCAGCCCTCACCTGGCAGAGTCTGGAAATAAGGTTGCAGCTCGGAGGATACAGAATTGGTCACTTTCTCGCAGACCTGGGGAGAACCAAACAAGTAATCAGTAAGGTCTTCCCATAGTGAAAAATGTCCCTTGACAATAACGGGCCAGATATGCCTTGCTTTCCTTGAATGTTTTCTTGAAAATTATGTAGCCAATCAAGTTTCCCTTTTCTTTTTGGCCACCAGGAAGCTCAGAGTTGAACATGTAGCTTAGAAATAATAACTGTATATGACTGTATGGCCCACATAACTGCATTCTATTTCCTGCCCTGGTGTGTGGAACTGATGAGGGTTTATGTTTTCTATTTTATAAGGTTTTTTTTTTTTGTTGCTGTTGTTGTTTTGTTTTTTCTTTTGTTTCTGTTTGATTTTGCTGTCTCAGATCCTTTGTGGAATGAGGTAATAAACAAATACGAGGTAGTCAATGGCCAGCCTTCCCTTACCTGGGCTTCTGGGAGCATGGGCAGTGTTTCTGCTTAAGTCTAGGTGGGCACCCTCATGTTTGGTATGTATGGCCAGAGAAGCCATTCCCTACCTGCCTTTGCCACTCCACCCCAATCCCCCTGTCCCCTAGCCCATGACTCACAATGGAACAAACACTAGCCTGAGAAAATCTGACTTGGGCCACACACTGACTTTGACACTGAGGAAGTTGTTCCATTTATCTAGACCTCTATTTCTTCATCTGTAAAACGGAACATGGCAAATTACATTTTCCATTCCATTTGCTCTTCTGTAATGTGGCTTTGCCACACCCCCACCAAGAGATGGAGTCTGTGAACTTGCCACTAGAATCTGGGCTTGCCGACTTGCTTCTAAGCAACAGAACACAACAATACACCTGACCTTTGTGTAACTTCAGAGGTGAGGTCATAAAAGGCTGTGCAGAACCCACTCAATGCTACGAGAAGCCCAAGCCCTGTGGAGAGACCATGGAAGTGGCTTGGGTCAATAGTCCCAGCAGAGCTGAGCCTTCAAGTCTTCCTAGCCCAGGCACCAGAGATGGGAGAGAGGAACTCTCCAGGTAATTCTAACATGGAACTTTTGAGTCTTCTGAGGTGAGGCCTCAGACCTCATGGAGCAGAGAGCTTAGCCATCCCTGTCATGCCTTTTTCCTGATGCACAGAATCCATGAATGTTAACAATGGTGGTTGTTTTATGATACCAAATTTTGAGTTGTTTGTTTTCAAGCAATAGATAGCTAGAATATAGGATTTAAACCACAGGCTTCTCCTCACTAAGAGATTGGGGCTGGGGCTGGTGGTCAGACAAGCTCCTTCCCTCCCTCTCCTGATGTTGCTCTCGAATGACCTTTCCCTCAGTAATCCAGCAGTCTCTTCAGTCCTTGCATTTCTTGACTACTGGGTAGCTCCTGGTGTGGTTGCCCATTCCCTTCTAGAAACACTCCTTCTAGAGTCCTGTGACCAAGGCCTTCCACTTTCTTCCTATCCCCTGCAGGCTTTTCCCCAGACTTCTTTGCAAGCTCTTCCTCCTTCACTGAAGATGTGGGAGCTTCTCTGGGCTTTCTTCCTGGCTCCCTGTCCCTTCCACTTAGGCCCTCTTCTTGAGCCATTTCAGGCATCCCCATGGCCCCTGTGGCAGATGCTGCAGCGCCTCACCCACACTCTCTGGACTGTGCTCAGAAGTGCCAAGCAGTTAGGACCCTAAGAACAGCCTTCAATGAAAGAAGGGTAGGAGGTGGTAGACAAATACCCCAGCCTTCTTCCCGCTTCTGGGACAATTCTGAGGTGTGCTCCCCACCATTCCTCTGAGAATTGCCAGCAGGACTGAGTCCCAGTTGCCCATAGCAGCAACCCACTCAGTAAAGGCCCTTCCCTGCCTCCCGACCTCCTCACTGCGCTGCCTGGGAACCCCTCCCAATAAATGACTTGCACCCAAACCCTGACTCAGCATCTGTCTTTGGGATCCCAGGCGGAGTCACCTCCACTGCTCCCAACATGTGGCCAGTACCCAGGCCTTACTTTGCAGCCCAGGCTTCTCCTCTGAGCTTCAGCCTGGGGACCCAGCTGCCTCAAGGACAACTGTCCCTGTGTGTCCTACTGGTCCCCAAGGCTGGCACATCCCAAACCAAACTCTTCAGGTTCTTAATCCTCCTTAGGGTTGGCTGCACCATCTGCCTAGAGGTCACCTCTATCCTCCCCTACCCCTTCTTCTACACTGCCAATCAAGTTATTTTTCCTGGGGTATGGAGGGAAGAAAAGGGGAAGGAGGGAAGAGGGGAAGAGAAAGAAGGAAGGAAGAAAGGGAGAAAAGGAGAAAGGGATGGAAGGAAGAAAGGGAGAAAAGAAAGGAAGAGCTGGGTGTGGTGGCTCACGCCTGTAATCCCAGTACTTTGAGAGGCCGAGGTGGGTGGATCACTTGAGGTCAGGAGTTTGAGACCAGCCTGGCCAACATGGTGAATTCCTGTCTCTATCAAAAAATACAAAAATTAGCCAGGCATGGTGGCAGATACCTGTAATCCCAGCTACTCGGGAGGCTGAGGCAGGAGAATCTCTTGAACCCGGGAGGCGGAGGTTGCAGTGAGTTGAGATTGTGCTACTGTACTCCAGCCTGGGCAACAGAGAGAGACTTCATCACCAAAAAAAAAAAAAAGAAAAGAAAAGAAAAGAAAGGAAGAAGAGTGGGAAGAAGGAAAGGAAGGAAGGAAGGAGGGAAGAAGGAAAGAAAGGAAGGAAGGAGGGAAGACAGCAGTGAGAAGGAGGGAAGGAGAAAATTTGGTTTCCCTGAAGTGTGTTTCTACCACATAAGGCTCTTGAAGTCCTAAGAGGACCTGGACTGGCATTCTCCAAGGAACCTGCACCTCTTTTCCAAAGGACCCAGGAACAGAGGACAGCACAGCTGGCAGCTGAGGCCCTGCTGGACTCCTGAGCTGCCCCTCAGGCATTGTCATCAGTGTTGCTCACCCATCAGGGCCAACAGATGGCTCCAGATCGCAGCAAATCCTGGTGGGATCCCAGCTCCCTCCCTGCTCTTCCCTTCATGCACACTTTGTACTGACGCAGGCTCTTCCTTCCCTCAGACACCAGCCCTACATGCTGTATTCCCTGGGGGCAGACTCCCTGGCTCACTTCTCACCATTTCCAGACCCTCCTGGCATCATGACATTTCATTCCTTCATTCATTCATTCAGGCCAGTACTTGCTTCTAAATTGGATCTTATGGTTAAGAGAGAGGCTCATCTCTGAGGCAGGGTATCCTGGATTTGAATCCAAGCACTATTACTTCCACTTTCTGTATCTCAGTTTACTCACCTGTAAAATAGGGATAATCATGGAATCTCTCTCACAGGGGATTAAATGCCAGAATGTGTGGATTAAATGCTGGAATCCATGGAAAAAGTTCTTAGCATAGTGTCAGATCACTGTAAACACTCAGTATATTATATGGGCCAACATCATCACCATCCCCACCATCACCATCACCATCAACCTCGCTATCACCATTGAAACTTCCCAGGATGAGCTCCTGCCTTGGAGGAAGAAAATGCCTATTAAATCGGTGTATACTTACCACCATCACCATCACCATCACCATCATCAGTCTCACCATCACCATCACCATCATCATCATCATCATCTCCACCATTACCATCACCATTATCATCATCCCCACCATCACCATCATCAATCTCACCATACCACCATCATCATCATCCCCACCATTACCATCACCACCATCATCATCCCCACCATCACCATCATTATCATCATCCCCACCATCACCATCACCACCATCATCATCCCCACCATCACCATCACCATCATTATCATCATCCCCACCATCACCATCACCACCATCATCATCCCCACCATCACCATCACCATTATTATCATCATCCCCACCATCATCATCACCACCATCATCATCCCCACCATCACCATCACCATCATTATCATCATCCCTACCATCACCGTCACCATCATCATCCCCACCATCACCATCACCATCATTATCATCATCCCCACCATCACCATCATCATTATAATCATCCCCACCATCACCATCATCATCATCATCCCCACCATCACCATCATCAATCTCACCATCACCACCATCATCATCATCATCCCCACCATTACCATCACCACCATCATCATCCCCACTATCACCATCACCATCACCATCATCATTATCATCATCCCCACCATCACCATCATCAATCTCACCATCACCACCATCATCATCATCTTCCCCACCATTACCATCACCACCATCATCATCCCCACCATCACCATCACCATCATTATTATCATCATCCCCACCATCACCATCCTCAATCTCACCACCACCATCATCATCATCATCTTCCCCACCATTACCATCACCACCATCATCATCCCATCACCATCATCATCATCAACCTCACCATAATCATCACCACCATCACCATCACCATCCTCATCATCTCCACCATTACTATCACCATCATCAACCACATAATCACCATCAACCTCACTATCACCATCATCAACCTCACCATCACCATCATCACCATCATCGCCATCATCATTATCATCCTCAGAATCACCATCATCATCATCATCCCATCATTACCATTACCATCACCAACCTCACCATCACCATCATCACCATCACCATTATCATCCTCACCATCACCATCATCATCATCCCCACCATCACCATCATCAACCTCACCATCACCGTCATCACCATCACCATTATCATCCTCACCATCACCATCATCACCATCATCCCCACCATTACCATTACCATCATCAACCTCACCATTATCATCATCATCAACAGCAGCAGCAGCATTACTACTTATTAGCTTGGCTGCTATAGAGGGGCCACCTTTAGATGGTACTAAGAAATAATCATTGTAATTGTTCCAAATGTTAAATATATCTCAACACTCCTCTCAGACTGTTACTTGATTATACAGACAGCTGAACTGTGGGTGAGCTAGCCTAGTGAGTGAGCACATTTTCTGGGTTATCTCATGAATCCTTACAGTGCCTTGGTGAAGACGGTATTAATGTCCCCCCTACCCTTTTTTTTTTTTTTTTTTTTTTTTTTTTTTGAGACAGGGTTTCACTCTCGTTGCCCAGGCTGGAGTGCAATGGCATGATCTTGGCTCACCACAACCTCCACCTCCCAAGTTCAAGCGATTCTCCTGCCTCAGCATGCCGAGTAGCTGGGATTACAGGCATGTATCACCATGCCCAGCTAATTTTGTATTTTTAGTAAAGACAGGATTTCTCCATTTGGTCAGGCTGGTCTTGAACTCCTAACCTCAGTTGATCCACCTGCCTTGGCCTCCCAAAGTGCTGGGATTACAGGCATGAGCCACCATGCCCGGCCTAATGTCCCCATTTTACAGATGGTAAAACTGAGTTTCAAGAAGGTCAAGTAATTTCCTCAAGGTTACACAGCTAGTTAAGCCCTGGAGCCCAAGCCAAAACCTTCCCTGAGACCCTACCCTGAGACTTTGGCTGGGGAATGTCCTGCTCATTGGAACTGTCCCATCTAATCCCAACCGAGCCACTGGCTCCACTCTTGCCATGGGACTCTAAAACCCATTCTATAGTCCACTGTGTTATGCATTTTGACAAACATGTATTGACTTCTTGCTTTTTAAGCTTTTGACACAGTATCTTCAGATAGATGATCTCACTTGATTGATGCCCCCCATCTGTATTTTCAGTGTCTTTAACAAGGAAACCAACATCTTCCACCTAGAAGACCGCATGAGACTCCTCAGTGGTCTCCTTGCTCCTACTCCTGGCCCCTCCAGTCATTCCCACAGTGGACAGGGAAATTGTTGTAAAGCACAGATCTGGCCAAGTCACCCATTTGCATAAAACCTTCAGTGGCTTCCATTGCCCTCTGGAGAGAGGCAAAACTCTTTGCTTTTTGAGACAGGCTCAGATGATTCTTAAAAACTGATAATTTGTTAATGGAAAACCAGCCAAATGAATGGCCTCATCCCGTAACTGAAGTATGTGGGTTGCGGGTTTAGGCTATGGGCATGGTTCGGGAAGTGCTGGCTGATACCCGTCTCTTGTACTAGTTCCAGCCTCAGGGAATGGGCTATGGCTGGGGTTTGGCCAAAGGCCAGAATTGCAGCTTCATCAATGGCATTTGTTCTGAATGGGGAGCATCAAGGAAGGAACTTGGGGTGGGTGGGGTGGAGGGAGGCTAGCAGGGCTATGGGAAGAGAGGGAGGCAGAAAGAGAATGGCATTTTCTCAGCAGGGAGGAAGGCTGGGGAAAAGCAGAGGTGGCCCAAGCTTGGCATGAGGGAAAGTTTGCTGGGAGTGTGGGAAGTGATTGTCTCTTGGTCTCTTGGTGGACTCTTCAGCAAAACATACATGACAGGATTTTAGAGCTGGGGTTGTGGTTTCAAAGGGCCATAAGGACTACCAAGGGGTCTGGAGTGACAGCAGAGTGTCCGTAGAAGGGGGAGGTGTGTGGTTACTAAGGGCCCTTCTCCTCTGTTTGCTGATGGGGCTCTGAGCCCCTCCTACCTGGCTGTTCATCTTGTTTCGAAGCGCAGACTCAATTTTTTTGTGGAAGAGTTGGATCAGCCACCTAGAGATGAACAAGTAGGGACATAGATGAGGCTTTTTGATTGTCCCTGGGCTGGATTCAGGAGGCTGCCTCATCTCAAAAGCTTTCTTCCCTCCTAGAAACAGGTTTTGGCACCCTCTCCTCTGAGCTCTAACTGCACACACCCCATCAGACACTTCTCCCCGATTTAGTGACCTGTTCATGAGGCTATTTCCTGAATCCCTGCATGGCTGGGCCCCCGTCCCAGTCTCATTCCTTACCAGTCCCCTCCCTTGCTGCACACTAGCCACACTGGCCTGCCATGTCCTCTCTCCTGTGTGTCCTCCCATTACCGTGCCTTTGCACATGCTCTTCCCTCTGCTTAAAACACCCCCCTCCCCAACACCTCCCTAACTAATGCCTACTTATCCTTTCATCTCAGTTCAAATGTCATTTCACCAAGGAAGAATTGGCCTGCTCCCAGATGCGGTCAGAGCCTCTGGTTCTCTGCGTTCATAGAAGTTTGTACCTCTTTTTCTTAATTCTTGTCTCCTTTTGTAATTCTGTGTGGGCCATTCATTCATGCAATGCTTTGGTTAATGATTGTCTTCCCCACTGGGCTGAAAACTTTAAGAGAACAGGACTGTGTGGCTGAGTCTGGGGTGAAATAGACCTGGACTTGAACACTCATTAGCTGTAGCAACTTAAGTTATTGCCTATCTCTCCATGCCTTGGTTTTCTCCCCAGAAAATGGGGTAATAATAGACCGACCTCACAGAGTCATGGTGTGGCTTGAATGAGATAATGAGTGTGATCAAATCAGTGCTGGGCACAGTCAGCCTCTGACCAATATTAGCTCTTGCTAAGTTTTCATTTGTCACTCCTGTTTCCTGACCATGTTGCACGAGCCTGGTGCAGAGCTGATTCTCACTAGGTATTTGTTGAATGGATGGATAGATGAATGCCTACAGATTTGTGATGAGGATATAATTTAGTGCATATGTAAAGTGCTTAGTATGAGCCTGGGACATAGTAAGTGCTCAGTAAAGTCTGCTGGATGAGTATGGAATGAACAAATGATGCCTTGAGAAAGAGACAGTGTCTGGTTCATCTGTGGGCCCCTGGCCCCCATACCATGCCTGAGGCCTCTGAGCAAGGCCTGGCATGCAGGTGGCACTCTGGATGTGTTTTCGGAATACAGGGATGATTGGGAGAGTTCTTCTTTAAGTCCCTCCTCCCAGCCACAGTCCCGGGAGTCCATACCCCACTTTGCTCTTTGAGATGTGCACGTGGACACTGTTGATGTGGCTGCTGCAGCTGGAGCAGGTGATGGTGGGCTTGCCTGACGTGGGGTTACTGCCCAGCTTCAGATCAGCCGAAATGGACATGCCTTCTATGCTCAGGTCAAAATTGCCGCTCATTTTTCTGAAGAAGAACAAAGAGGAATGTGGGACAAGTCCTTTCTTCCCACTGACATTCAAACTTTGCCCCAGTGCTGGAAGGCGGGTTTTGTTATTATCCCCACTCCAGGTGAGGAGGTACGTTCAGAGAGAAGAGGCAGCTTGCCCAAGATCACATAGCAGCCGAATGGGAGAGTCAGGAATCCAACCTGAATTCGGAACTCATGTTTGCCTGGCAGAAACCTGCTCTTAACCACTGCTTCAGCTGCTGCCCTAGCTGTGTGGCCTTGGGCATGTTTCTTACCTCTCTGAGCTTCCATTTCCTCCCTCAGACCCTGGATCAGCAGTCAGACACCAGAGTGTGTGTCTCAGCTTTGCTACTAAAAAGCTGGGTGTTTGGGGCCAATGACTTTCATTCATTAATGCCCCCATTAATTCAGTAATGAGGTTAATAACTCCTCCTTCAGGGATGAAATGGGTTTTGGTTGAGACAGTGGACATTCTTTTGTTTTTGTGTGTGATCATTAAGGGAAAAGACAGATGCAAAACAGCCCAGGGAGAGAGTTAAGTGATTCTTATTGTGGGGAGGAGACACATCCAGCAGTTCTTGTAAGGGCGGGCAGACTCACGCCCCTTTCATCCGCCAGGGTGGTTTCTCCTCCATTTTCCTCCCTAGATTCCCTAGAAAGGAGACCTTCCTAAAGCGATGGTCAGTCTGAACCACTATTGCTAATGGGCAGGGTAGCTGTGGAGAGATCCCAGGACTTAGATTTGGAGTTGTAGTTTGGGTTATTTGCCCCTATTTTTCACCCTGCCCTGCATTCATACCCTTGCCATTGCCTATCATGGCAGGGTTGAGGAAGGTGCCTTTGCTTGCCCTTGACTTTGGGCTTGGCCACGTGAAATGATTTGGCCATGGTATATAAATTCTGAGCCTGGGCCTTAAGAGGACCTGTGTGTTCCTGCTTTCCCTTTTTACACCTCTGCTATCACCAAGAATATGCTCTGCATAACCCACTGGTCCAAGGAGGAGGAGACACAGGTGGAGCCAAGCCTCCTCTGCTAAGCCCAACCCAGATCAGCTAAGCCCCAGCCGACAGATACATAAGTGATGACAGCCGATTGTTGTTTTAAGCCACAGAATTTGGGATGGTTTGTTACACAGCAATAGCTAACTGATAAACGGGATAAATTAAAGGTTCCACTTAGATTTCCACCCTAAGCCACATACACCAACTCAGCCTCGCCAGTATCCTGCACTGAGATGTGGATAAATTCTCAGCTATTAATCAAGGGTTATGTTGAATCTTCTCATGTGAAGAATTTCCTGAGGAACGCTGTGGCTATAGGTGGTAATAGGCAAGGCAAAAATTGGGCATTCCAGAGACGCTGACTCTCTAATCCCGTCCAAATATCACCAAGAGCACACCCAACAAACCGCAAGCATGGAAACGCACAAGAATCTCTTTTGTGCCTTCCATTTCCCGCTGATCTTGATATTGGCGTTGCTGATGGAGAACTTAAGGCCCACATTGGGCACCATGCTTATCTGGGAACTGGGAAGCTGGAATTCACGGATGTCCATGCTGCAAAGGAGAAATGTGAATGTCATATAATTTCATATACTCCTAGGTGCACACATGAGGACTTCGTTAATGGTTAATGCAGACTCGTCCCCCACCACCTGGTCCTTCACTCCATCCATTCCAGGAGGAGCCCAAAGCTAAGAAAGCAGGCTTGGCAGATATGTAGGCAACTGGAGTGGCTTAGGTTTTGAAGTCAGAAAAAACTTGCATTTAAATCCTGCTCTTTAATATACTCTTGGGTTACCTTGGGCATAATTACCCCAGCCTCAGTTTCCTCATCTGTAAAATGGGCACAGTGATTGCTATTTTGCAGGGTGTGTGGCAATCAATGAAGATAAAATAGAAGGCCCTTTCACTGGAAGCTCTGTACAGAAGAGCTCTGTATAGCTCTGTCTTGTTTCACTATTGCAGCCCCAAAGCCTGCTGTGTCAGACACACAGTGGGTGCTCAAAATATCTGTGAATGAATGGGTGTATAAAACTGTAGAGGACTTTTATGGGTTTTCTGCCCAGTGCACAGCCCCCTTCTTGTGATAACAGAACTACTAGATTATTTAGGGGAAGCCCCTCCCCATATCTGTTCCATGCCACTCCAAAGAAAGTTGACCTCACGTCCATCTTCGGGGGTGGAGCTTGCAACTTAGGCTCGGCCAAGTAGTGTATTTCATTCCCTGGCTACAGTGATTGGCTCAGGGCTGTGTATATAATCTGAGGTGGGCCAGTCAGAGTGAGTCTTAGGGCTCTTTGTTCAGAGTGCTGAGCAGGAGATCTAGAGAGACTTACTGGTGGCTGTCTTGCCTCTGGAGGGGACACACTGCCTGCGAATTAGGCCTGTCCAAGGAAGTGATGCTGAGAGGTGGCAAGAGAGAAACAGGGCCCAGTGACATGTAAGCCTGCCTCAAGCTGAACCTGAAGCCAGACTCTTCCAGAGACTTTCCGGCCATGTGAGCCAATGCATTCTGCCTTAAGCCATTTTAGAAAAGATTTTCTGACCTTGAAAACTTGCACATTCTAATTGACATATGGCGCAGAGTTTGGGGGTTCATGACACACTTCCTGGGAGTCGTGGTTTTTGTGGCTTCCTCCACGCTCAGCTGGGAGGTTGCCTCCCCTTGGGATGATGTAAATGCAGGCTTTGGGATATGAAACTCTGTGAGTTGAGGAGTTTGTGGCTCTGCATTCTAGCTCTTGGTGTCCCCAGAACACTACAAGTCCTGCAAATCGAGGATTGAGCTCTGATAGGCCTCACCTGTAGAAGCTATAATGCCCCTTCCCAAGATGCTTGATCTTAAAGCTGTCTGAGTAGTCAGGAATCTTGATCCTCTTCAGCTCCTTCTGCAGAGCGGCCGTCCCCTGCTGGCTGGCTGAAGGGAGAAGGCAGGGGTGACAGTGAGAGGCACAGCCTGGAGCAGGGGACAGAGGGGCAGGGCAGGCTCTGGACCCTGGGCCCCTGTTCGTAGCATGGACAGTGGCACTGGAAGGGTCAAAAACAGGGATCAATTAAGGTTTCCTAGAAAAGGCCAAATAGTAAACTGACCCTTTATAGGAAACCATATTGCCTCTGTCACAAATACTCAGCTCTGCCATTACTGCACAAAACAGCCATAGACAATATCATGTTCTTATATGTGCCTGTATTCCAATAACACTTTATTTGTTGGCATTGAAATGAGAATTTCATATAATTTTCACATGTTGTGAGATAGTATTTTTCTTCTTTTGTTGTTGTTTTGAGACAGGGTCTCGCTGTGTCGCCCAGGCTGGAGTGCAGAGGCATGATCACGGCTCACTGCAACCTCGACCCGCTGCACTTAGGTCATTCTCCCACCTCAGCCTCCCTAGCAGCTGGGATCACAGGTGTTCGCCACCACACCAGGCTAACTTTTTAAAAATTTTTTTTTAACATTTTTGCAGAGATCTGGGGTTTCACCATGTTGCCCAGCTGGTTTCGAACTCCTGGGCTCAAGTGATCCTCTCACCTCAGCCTCCCAAAGTGCTGGAGTTACAGGCATGAGCCACCATGACCGGCCCTTTTGATTTTTTTCCCATCATTTAAAGACATTAAGGCCATTTTTGTCTTATAAGCCATACAAAAACGGAGGGCTGTAGTTTGCTGACCCCTGGTCTAAAATATCACCCCTGAAACACCCAGTTATGCCTCCTGCTAGTTTTTGTTGGATACTTAATTTGTTATTTGCTCTATGCTACACCCCCACAGATCTCCCACCTCTCTGGGTTTTGGACTGTCTCCCCAGGGCCTTTGCACATGCTATTCTTGCTCCCTAAGAAATTCTTCCCTCCCATATTCACCCGGTCAGCTTCTAGTCAGCTCATTCATCACTTCCTCTGGGAACCCTCCCTGGCTTAGTAGATCAGAGCAACGCCCTGTGTTATTCTCATGATGCTGTGGACTGCTCTTTCGGAGCCCCTGTTACCATTTGTAATTATGCATTTATTCACGTGACTCTGACGAATGTCTCTCCCCTATTACATGTAAGCCCCCTGAAGTCAGCAGCAATCTGTTTTATTTACTCGTGTGTCCCTTACATTCCCATTGTGCCTGACACTTTGAAGGCACTTAAGATTTGTTAGATGAGGCTGGGTGCGGTGGCTCACGCCTGTAATCCCAGCACTTTGGAAAGCCAAGGCAAGTGGATCACTTTAGGTCAAGAGTTCAAGAGTTCAGCCTGGCCAACATGGTGAAACCCCGTCTCTACTAAAAATACAAAAAATTAGCTGGGTGTGATGGTGCACGCCTGTAATCCCAGCTACTTGGGAGGTTGAGGCAGGAGAATCACTTGAACCCCGGAGGCAGAGGTTGCAGTGAGCTGAGATGGCACCATTGCACTCCAGCCTGGGCCACAGAGCGAGACTCGGTCTCAAAACAAAACAAAAAAAGATTTATTAGATGAATAAATAATGTCCTAATGGCAGGAATTCTACCACCAGTTATAATGTGGCTAACAGCATCAAAGAACCAATTAAAAGGCAGACACATTACCTGAAAAGGAGTAAGTAGTAAGATGAGGGAGCCCAGACTTTGGGTTTTCTCGGAGCCAGTTAGGAAATAATAATATCAATGAAATGTATCGAGCTTTACTCTGTGCCAAGCACTGTTCTAGGCTCCGTATATGTATGAATTTGTACAATCCTAGGAAGTAGGTCCTGTCACTACCCCCATTTCACAGATAAGGAAGCTGAGGCTCAGAAAGCTGAGGTGACTTGCTAGGGGCCACACAGCGGACAAGGGGCAGAATTTGAACCCAGGCCTTCTGGTCCCAGAGCCCATGCCCTAGAGAAGGCTTTCTGGGGGTTCAAAAGTAAATGACACATAACTGGTCACTGTGTGGAGGGAAAAAAAAATGTGCAGTGGCCAGGATCTGTAAGTTGACAGGGGCCAGGCCTCGAAGGGTCTCAAATGCCATGCCAAAGGGTCAGGATAGCTTCTGAAGGCAGTAGGGAGCCATGGAGAATGTGAGCCAGGGGAGGATGTGTAGGGATTTGCTGCATTTCAGAAAACTCACTCCGATTGGCACAAGGGGCCTGGGTAGAAGGGGAAACTCAGGCTGCTATGACGGAGCATGAAGACCACTGAACTTAAAGACCCTGACTGAGCCTCTGTGTCGACAGGCTTCAGGGCCATACTCCTTCCCCCTAGCTCTTCTGTCTTCTGTGGCCTTCTGTCTGCAGCTCTAGGATTCAGTGATGTCCTGCTGGGCTGGGGTGGGAATTCAGGGGTGGGATACCAGGTCCCCTGAGTCCTGTCTGTTTTCCCAACGCACCCCAACTGGTGAGGCTCTGCCTTCCCCTTGGTCTGATTTCCCTGGGGCTGGGTGTCACCCACTGTTTTGCAGGTCATCTCTCTGCCATCGGGAGGCAGCATCGAGCAACCCCGTGCTGGGGCATCAGGCAAGACCAGAGCTCAAATCCAGGCTGCCCACTTCTCACGTGTAAATGTGGATAGCAGCAGTTTGTCTTACACAAGGCTGAAGTGAGGGTAAAAGAGACTGTGTGTGTAAAGTTCCTAGCTCAATGCCTGGCACAGGTTAGAGCAGGTCTTTCTCTCCTCTGCCTGGGCTGGGGTGAGTGGTCTGGGGGGACCCTCTTTGTGTCACCCAGTGGAGCACTGTGCACAGTATGGCCGCCAGCCCCTGCAGTGGGGAGAGCACGGGGTGGGGAGGTCCTCCCACACTCTCCCTCTGACCCTGCTCAGCCTCCTCAGCAACGAGAGGCAAATGGCAAGGCTGAGAACTGGCTTTGGAAAGAAGAGAAGGGCTTATAAGTCAAAGGTGGAGGTTACATAGAGGGAAGGAGGGGACCATGAGGACCCTCAGGGGTCTGAGCACTGGACTTGGAGTCCTCTAGACCAGTGCTCCAATCCCAGCTCTGCCATCCCAGCCCTGCAATCTTAGGCAACTCGCTTTGCCTCAGTTTCTTCATATATAAAATGGGGGCAAGGGGACCTGCCCTGAGGTGCTATGAGTGTGCCAGGTGCTGGATCTAAAGGGGTGCACACAGTAGATGCTAAGTAAGTGCTCCTCAGGGGTGGAGAGGAGGGAAGGGAGGCATCCAGTTACCGTAGTCCAGGCCCTTCTGGGAGATCCTGACCACGACGCCAGGGTTGACGGCCGCTGTCACGGCGGTGCCTATGGCGACCAGCACCATCAGGGACGCCCATCTCGGCGCGTTGCAAGGGCCCCTGGCCATGTTCTCTCTCATCCTCCAGAGCTGCCAAAACCTCAAGGCCTTGAGGTTGAACCAGGGAGCTATAAAAGAGTCGGCTGGGGAAATGCAAGTCAGTAGAATGTGGAAAGGAGGAAGGAACCTGGTGAGGGTGGGAAAGAGGGAGGGCCGCTGTGGTTTTCCATTGTGGTTAGGGCCCCACAGGCAGGGAGAAGTGCAGCCTGGGAGGCTCGCATGTCCATGTATGCATGCGTGTGTGTGCGCGGGCGTGCGTGTGTGTATGTGTGTGTGTAGATTGGTTCCCCTCCCTAGGCACCCCATTCCCCGCTCTGTGTCCCCACCCAAATGCCCCCATCTACAGACTCCCTTGAAGGTGGGTGGCACAGACATAAGGATTCATATTTTTCTTTCTACTTTTGATTTCTTTTGTATTTTTGATAGTAAAACATTTAAGAAAACAGATGCTTTCGTGTTTTCTTGTCCTGAGAGGCAGTAGTGGTAATGATTCAATGCTCACATTTTAGAGTCTAGTATCTTGGCTATGGTTTTAAATCTTAGCCCTGTCATTCTCTAGTGGTCCGACCTCAGGCAAGCCCTTTAACCTCTCTGAACCTCGGTTTTCTCTTCTGCAGAAGAGAAATACATAGTACTGCTCCCTCTCTGGATTGTGGAGAAGATAAAATGAGCTTAAAACCACGTAAAGCATTTAGCATACTGCCCGTGCAAAATAAATATCCAAATGCTAGCTATTAATGTTATCCTGATTTTAAAAGTAACCCATGTTTATTGGCCAAAATTTGAGAAAGAAACAAGAGAATACAAATTACATATAACTCCCTCTTCCGGAGACAAGCCAAAGTGTATTTTAGAGTATTTCTTTTCTCCCTCTTTTGTTGGTAAGCATAGGTAGAGAGTCCATGTTTGTTTGTTAACCAATATGGGATCACCTGGTCAGTTTGGTAAAGTTCCCTTTTTTCGAGAAACAATAGGTAGCAAATGTTCTTCTCCAGCATTAAATATTTCATTGCTTCCTCATCCCACAGCTTTCTTATCCAAGCTTCTGTTTTTGTACATTTTTACTCCTTCCTTTGGCAGATGTAGAACCTGAGGCTTCACCAGGGGAAGCGTTCTTCCCACGGTCACTCAGCAAGCTGCTAGCAGAGCGAGGATCAAAACACAGCCCTCCAGATGCATCCCACACCAGCCCGAATCCCTCAGCGCCTTGGGAGTTGGGGGGATGTAGACACTCCCCACCGCCAACCCAGCTTTCCAGACAGGTCCCTGTCTGCTCAGCCCCTGCCCCTCCCTCTGCAGCAGCCTCAGGCCTCGGGTGGGCAGGAACCCCACTGGGCAGCCTGCTCCGTCTCCATGGTGATGAGAGGAGGGGCGGGGCTGCAGAAGGGGCAGCCAGCTTCTCTCCCGCTGGGTCCTCATCAGCCCCCTAGTGCCCTGTCTCCCCGACTTTGGACTTTATGAAAGTCTAATGAAGTCCGCTGAGCTCGGAGGACGTGAGACCTTCTGAAGTTTTCTTCTTTTTTTCTTAAAAGTTTTTTTCTTCCTCTCTTCGTTTGGTTCTAAAAGAGTCTCCCCTCCTGCTTCCATCTGCAGCAACTAGAATTCTTCTGGCTTGCTTCAGAATGAAAGCAGTGGCCGTGTGTGAAGCATCCACTGTGTGCCAGATGCTTCATATGCATCATCTCCAAGCCAAAAAACAACCCTGAGAGAGGGATGATTCTTCCCCATTTTGTTTTATTATTATTATTATTATTATTATTATTATTATTATTGAGATGAGGTCTTACTATGTTGTCCAGGCTGGTCTTGAACTCCTGAGCTCAAGCAATCCTCCTGCCTCAGCCTCTCAAAGTGTTGGGATTAAGGCCGAGCCACACCGTGCCTGACCTCTTCACCATTTTGGAAACAAGGAAACTGAGATGCAGCGATCACATCACTGTCATGGTCATTCCTCCTTTCACGCAGAGAAGATTTTCCCTTACCTGAGGCAGGTGCCAGGAGGACTCATGACTGTAGGCCCTCACCCCAGCTCTCCCTTTTTCCAAGTGATTTGAGCCCCCAGACTCAGATGTCTGCATCTGTACCAGGAAGATTGCTCTAAGTAGCAGCCAGAACACATAGATTGATGACTTGTCACAAAAATTAGATTTTTGAAAAATTATCTTGCACATTTTTGAACACTTCCAGCTCTTAGTTGCTCGAAGTTCCTGAGTTCCCCAAGGCCCAGGTAGATGTGGTATCCGTGAGGGTGTCAGCTAGGAAAGGAACATTAAGATGAAATCACATGACAATGACCTACATTGCTATAAAATTAGAATCTTAAAACCAGCTGACGGCCGGGGGTGGTGGCTCACACCTGTAATCCCAGCACTTTGGGAAGCCAAGGCAGGTGGATCACTTGAGGCCAGGAGTTCGAGACCAGGCAGGCCAACATGGTGAAACCCTGTCTCTACTAAAAATACAAAAATTAGCCAGGCATGGTGGTGTTCACCTGTAATCCCAGCTACTCAGGAGGCCAAGGCATGAGACTCTCTTGAACCCATGAGGCAGAAGTTGCAGTGAGTCAAGATCACACCATTGCACTCAAGCCTGGATGGTAGAACAAGACTCTGTCCCCCCACAACCTCCCACCAAAAAAAAAAAAAAACCCAGCTGGCAAGTTTCTGAACAAGCAACCCCACTGGCTTCCCCGATGTCTCATGCCCAGCCACATCTAGATGAGCCACATCAGTGACTTTCCACAGTCTCCTTGTCAGCACTGCTGCTGGCCATGGGGCTGCCCCACTGCTTCAGATCTGACCCCGTATCCTGTATCAGTAACAGTGTCTTCAACCCAAGTATCAGAAACCATCAACTCACATTGCTTCAACGATAAACAAATTTATTATGGCAGAGAGGAAGTCCAGAGGGAGGAGGACAGGTTTGAGATTCTGATTGATTCAGCAACTGACCGACATCTGCAGGATCATCTTTCCATCTCTCTGCTCTCCCATCCCCGTGTCTCAGATTTGCTCTTACACTGGCTTCTTTCATGGTTGCAAGATGGCCGCAGCAGCTCCAGCCATCCCATCTAAACAGACTTTCCCCAAATATCCTTTTCCTCTTCCTCCTCCTCCTGCTTTTTGTTTTTTTCTTTTCCCTAAAATTATTATAAAATATTTCAAACCTAAGAAAAGAATAGACCACATAGGTTTATAAAACCTTAACATTCTGCCATATTTGCTTCCTAGAGTTCCTTTTAGTTCTAGGAATTTTGATACATGTATAGCTATGTGTTGTAACCAGGACCACAATCAGGATATAGAAGAATCCTGTCATCCCCCAAAACTCTTCTCCTGCTATTTCAATTTGATGCAGCTTAAATCATAGGGAAAATATATTCTTCTCAGTAGAAATTCACAGATGGGGTGGATCAAGAGTTGGTCAGTTCAAGGGCTGGATCTGTCTATTTTCCTGCTCTTCCGTCCTTAGGCTGACGACTTTTTCCAGAAGAAAGTGAATTGGGTTTAGAGCCAGGCAGTCCTGGGTTCATAGTCCCAGCCATGCTACCCTATTCTGTGAGCCTGGCCAAGTTCCTCCACCTTTCTGAAATTGGGGTTCCTCATTTAAAGATGAGGAAACAGTGCTCATCATGGCAGTTGTTCCTGAGGATGAAATGAGATAATAGGTGTGAATCGATTTGCACAGAGAAGGTGCTCAGTAAATAATCGTAAGTCAACCTTCATCACTAGCTGGCTGGAGAGCCTCAGAGCCCCCAGGAAAACAAGCCAGGGGCACTGGAAACTGAGCTCTTGGCCCTCTGGCCTCTGGGTTTGGACTGGATAGGGGCAAAGATAGAGGAATCTGTGGCTTACATTGCCTCTGTGAGCCTTCCACTCCGCCAGGGGCTTGGAGGAGAAGCAGCCACTCCCTGCCTTATGTGAGCCCCCGCAGCACAGCAAGGCTGTTAAGGGCATGGTTTGGAACCTGACAAACCTGGGCCCAGATCCCAGCTCTGCCACTTCCTCGCTCTGTGACTGTGAGCTTGCTGCTTAAACTTGCTGAACCTGTTTCCTCGTTTGTCCCCACGCTCCATCCTCAGGCACAGGTCTTGCCTGGGTTTAACATGAGGTCACCTCTGTGGTCACCTGAGGCCCTGTACTCTCCCTCCCCTCAGCTCTGATTTTCTAGCCCTTTCCCTCCCTCACCCACCAGGGTCCCCCTTCCTCTGTGTGTCCGGCTTCCAGGCTATGCTGCCAGCCATTCTTTCATCCTGAGAGGGGGTTGCAGGTGAAGGAGGAGCTTGTGGTAGATGCTGGAGGGTGAAGGGGAGGAGAGAAGCAGGCCCACCTGGAGATCCAGCCTCAAGGTGCAGTGTGGAAAAGACAATCAGGCCAGCATGGTGGGAGGCCGAGGTGGGCAGATCGCTTGAGTCCAGGAGTTTGAGACCAGCCTGGGCAACATGGCGAAACCCCGTCTCTACAAAAAATACAAAAATTAGCCAGCATGGTAGCCCACGCCTGTAGTCCCAGCTGCTTGGGAGGTTGAGGTGGGAGCATCACTTGAGCCTGGGAGGCGGAGTTTGCAGTGAGCTGTGATCTGCACTCCAGCCTGGGTGACAGAGCGAGACTCTGTCTCAAAAAAAAAAAAAAAAAAAAAAGAGAATCAGACATTTTGTACAATTTGTATTAATTTTGTATTATGGCATAAACTCTTAAGAGGGTGTCTCCCCTGCTTTGTTATGCTAAAAAACACTGTCTGTCTCCTTCCCAGCTTCACGTCTCATAAAAGGGCTCCTTTGAGTAATCTGGTCAGAAAGATATGAGCCTCCAAGGGGCACAGGGTAGGGGCTGAGCTTCCTCATTATTATTAATACTAATATTAATTATTATTATCACAGCAATCCCAGAGTGGGACACAAGATTTACTCAATAGTGAATAAATTAAAAGAAGAGTCAGAGCATAGTTCTAGACCCTAAGTGCTTGGAGACTAAGGACAAGCTCAGTCTGGCCTGGCAAACCCCCAACGCTTCCGGGGGGAGGCATCTGCATCGGTGCCTGGGGGCTGATGGAAGGAGGGTGGTTTCTCAGACTGAAGGCCTGAGCCCTGCACAAAGGGCAGTTTCTGGGACAAGCTGAAGGCTGAGAGAAAGGAAAACAAGATAGAGCAGCTCTCCAGGGGTGGGTGGAAGGGAGGGTGCCTCTCTGGCTTCTTTTGCTCAGGAAACTGGAGAGCTGCGCCTGTGTCACAATGTTGGCTCACGGCAGGCCTGGCCTCCTCCAGCCCGAGGGAGGATCACGGGAAGAAAAGCAATACCGGCAGTTGGCTGTTGCCAAATGTGCAACAGCCTCTGACACTTGGGGCTGTTTCCCCTCGGCCACATTAGGAAATACGTATGTGCCCAGCCAAGGCCCAACAGGCTGAGCCCCGAGAGAACCTCGGCTGCTAGAGAGCTGCTCGTGGCCTGGCTCTGCCCTATGCTAGGGAGAGCACGAGCTGGGAACATTGGCAGGCTGGGGTTCGGGGGAGGTTAGTGGGGACCAGGGCCTGGGGTGGAGCCTTGGTTTTGCCTCTGCTTGGCTGTGTGAACCTGGACCAGTCTTTGCCCCTCTCTGGGATCTAGGGTCCTCATTCATAAGAACAGCCACCATCTTTGATGGGCTTAATCCATATCAGAAACCAAGCCAAACCCTTGGCTGACATTCTCTTTTAATCCTTATCTAGCCCTGAAAGTAGGTATCATTGGCTCCATTTCACAGATGAGAAAATTGAGGCTTAGAGAAGTTATGTAACTTGCCTAAGGCCACACAAGCAGAAAAGTGGCAAAGGGATGCTGAAGGTTTCAAAATGAGGGGAAGGGGCACCTCCTGTTGTGTTATGTGACGGAGGTGAATGTGGATTGTGGACTCATGGAGAAGCATGAGGGGCACTTTGTAGGCAATGACAAAAAGCCAGTGACACTTAATGTAACCACGTTTTTACCCACAGGGTGGTGAGGCCCAGAAAAACAACCTCCAGGGACCTATCCTTTCAAGCTTCTGCGCCCTTGACTATGCCATTTCTTCTACCTGGAGACTTTCTTTCCATAAGTGGAAAACTTCTATACATGCTTCAAGGCCCAGTTCAAATATCGCCTCCTACATGGAGCCTTCCAGGTTATCTGGGCTCCCTTCAGAGTCTGTCTCCATAATTGCCACCCTGTGTAATTGTCGTCTGTTTACTTGCTCATTTCTCCATCTCTCAGAGGTTGACAGCACGGATTCTTAAGCCAGTATGGCCTGGGTTCAATTCTGGCCTCTGCTGCTTTCAAGCTGTATGACCTCGGGAAAGTCACTAACCACTCTGAGATCTTTCGTTTTTTGTAAAACAGGACGAATAATATCTACCTTGTGTTGTTAATGTTAGATTAAATGAGCCAATGCATTGGAGTCCATACTAGATGCTCAATTATGGTAGCCATGTCTATTATAATTTGTGGTTGTTGAGACTGTAAAATTGCTTTCAATTTTTTATTTTGAAATAATACCAAACTTACAGAACAGTTTCAAAAATCGTACAAAAATTCCTATATTTATCTCACACAGATTGTCCAAGTTAGTAATGTTTTACTACACTTATCTTTACAGATGTATCTATATATGAATATATATGTGTATACATATATATATGTAAATATTTTTCCAGAATTATTTGGGTGTAAGTGCACGCATAATATTTTAGTTTGTATTTCCTAAAAACAAGGATGCTTTCCTGCATAATCACAGCACAAACAGCACTTTTTTTTTTTTTTTTTTGAGACAGAATCTCACTCTGTCACCAGGCTGGAGTGTAGTGGCGCGATCTCAGCTCACTGCAACCTCCTCCGCCTCCCGGGTTTAAGTGATTCTCCTGCCTCAGCCTGTCAAGTAGTTGGGATTACAGGCACGTGCCACCATGCCCAGCTAATATTTGTATTTTTAGTAAAAACGGCGTTTCACCACGTTGGCCAGGATGGTCTCGATTTCCTGACCTTGTGATCCACCCGCCTCGGCCTCTAAAGTGCTGGGATTGCAGGTGTGAGCCACTGTGCCCGGCCTATCACAGCACAAACATTCATACAGTATTACCAGCTAATCCACTGACCCCATTCCCATTTCACCAATGGTACCAATAATGATGTGAATGGGTCTAGGGTCCAATATAGGACCTCCTGTTGCAGTTTCTTCTCATGTCTCTTGGTCTTTTTTTTTTTTTTTTTGAGATGGAGTTTCACTCTTACTACCCAGGCTGGAGTGCAGTGGTGAGATCTCGGCTCACTGCAACCTCCACCTCCTGGGTTCAAGCAATTCTCCTGCCTTCGTCTCCCGAGCAGCTGGGATTACAGGCAAGCGCCACCATGCCTGGCTAATTTTTGTATTTTTAGTAGAGACAGGGTTTCACCACGTTGGTCAGGCTGGTCTCGAACTCCTGACCTCATGATCCGCCCACCTCAGCCTCCCAAAGTGTTGGGATTACAGGTGTAAGCCACTGTGCCCAGGCTCTTGGTCTCTTTTAAGCTGGAACAGTTTCTCAGTGTTTTCATGACTTGACATTTTTGGAGAGGACAACCCAGCTGCTTTGCAGAATGTCTGTCGGTTTGGGTTTGGCTGTTGTTTCCTTGGGACTGGATTCAGGTCGTGCCCTCTGAGCAGGGAAACCACAGAAGCGACGCTGCGTTCTTCTCAGTGCAGCAGATCATGCGACATCAAATGGCCCTATTGCTGGGGATATTGCGGTTGGCCGTGTGATTAAGGTGGAGGTGTAATACATGAGGAGAGGCCAGCAGGTGGGAGTCACTGGCCAGTGGGTGCCAGGGTGGCCTCCCCAAGGACCTCACCTGAGTCACCCCATCTGGGGTGGCCAGGGTAGCAGGAAGGCACCCAGGGATATCAGGGCAGTGTCTAGATACCAACCAGCAGCAAGTGTCCCTGCACCCACGGCTGTCCTTAGGCAGAGCCCTGGGCAGGCAAATATTTGGAGTCACCTCAAATCAGCATTTGAGGACCATTCTGGCAGCCCAATTTCACATGACCCCACCAAAGTAACATTGCGCTGGCCAGCAGGGATGATCAGCTCTCCAGGCACCCTCCTGAAACTGGGACCTGGCCTCAGGGCCCCAGGACACTTCATAGGATGAGTCCCAGAGCTCTCAGGGCACCTGGCAGACCCCTTCCTCAGGGTCCAGGGCTGTAAAGTGTCCCATAGAGAATAAATGAGGAATGAGACAGCAGATCGGGGCCTGACCCTGGGCCTGGGGTGCCCACACGGATGACACTGCCATGCCTAGCTGGTTCTAGGTGCCAGGTGGGACCTAGAAAGTTCTGAGGAAGGCACTCTAAGGTGTGGGGCACCCTGAGGCATAGGGCCTGTGGGGTCCTGACCTGCCCGGGTGTAAGGGCTGCACTGCTGTCTCGGCTCTACCAATTCTCCAAACCCAGCCCCCTCTCGCCTCCTCCATAAAGCTGGAACCTGGAAGCCCTCCTCAAGCCTGCCTTCTCTCTTTCTCTATTCTTTCTATCCTCTTGACCACTCTGAAGTCCAGACCTTGATTCCTGCTGTCTGGCCTCCTGATGGCTGCTCCGGCCTTGTCTCAGGTGCCCAGGCTCCAAGCTGGTCACCTACACCTGCCAAAGAGATCTCTCTGAAGCCGACACCAGCACCATCCCCCCTCTGCTTCACATCACCAAGGGGCAAGGCCCACTTCCTTAACAGGCTCACAGGGCCCTCCACATCCCACCCCATTGGTTCTCGCACTGCCACTTTCAAGTACAACCACCCAGGAGCTTATGACCACGCAGATTTCCAAAAGCAAGCCCCACGCCCTGATCCTGAGTACAGGGTAGGTGACAAGGCTTGGAAAGCTCCCAGTTGATGCCACCCCTCGAGAAACACTAACTTAGAGAAATAACCTTGAACATGTGAAACTTTGTCACACCTCCATGCCTTTGAAGATGCATTTCCCATTGCCTGGCATGCAGCACCGTGTCCTCCAGGAAGCCTTCCCTGAACTCCCTCCCTCCCACAGCATCTTAGGTTTATTCCACACAGAATGTACAGCCTTTGGCAAGCCAGGCCTGGGCCACGGGGGCAGTTATTACTCTTTGTTGGGGGGATAAATGCTGACTGTGTGGCTCAGTTCAATCCCACTCCCACCCATTAGGAAGGGTCGCTACCTCAGCCACCTTCAGTTCCTTCATCTGTAAAGTGGGATAGTAACGCCAGCCTTACAGGGCTCGCCGGAGGAGTCAGTGTGATCAAACGCGTGCGTGGCACTTAGCAGCCGGTCTGAGTGTTTGCAAAGGTTTGGGTTCCGTTTTCCTTCTCTCCTGAGACTTCCAGCTCCTGCCACTGACTGGAGCCACGGGGGAGCCTCTCAGTGGCTCAGGTGACTGAATATATTCAGGCTGGGAAACTTAAGGGGCATTTTTTTTGGCTGGGTCTCCCTCTGCCGCCCAGGCTGGAGTGCAGTGGTGCAGTCCCAGCTCACTGCAACCTCTACCTCCCAGGTTCAAGCAATTCTCCCACCTCAGCCTCCTGAGTAGGATTACAGGCACACACCACCACATCCAGCTAATTTTGTTGTTGTTGTTGTTGTTGTCGTCGTCGTTTTGGTAAAGATGAGATTTTACCATATTGGTTAGGCTGGTCTCAAACTTCTGACCTCAGGTGATCTGCCCGCCTTGGCCTCCCAAAGTGTTGGGATTACAGGTGTGAGCCACCACGCCCGACCTTGAGGGGCATCTTACAGGCCAGGAAGCAGCAGGACTCACCCCTCCTCTGTCAGCCGGGGCAGGACCGTCCTGTGGAAGGGGAAGGAAGCGAGGGTCAACCTGCTTTCCCTGTTGCTTCATCTTCCTGATTCTTAGAAACCTGGGCCTAGGTCTGTCACCATCAAACGGCCACTGTCCCAGAGGAAGATGACTAAGCTAAATGGATGCCTGGTGGAAAACCCAGGTAACTGACTGCAGGGCAGGGCTCAGTGCAATCAAGGTGACCAGGTGTGCATTTCTGGACCCGTCCGTCTGCCTGCTAGACGTATGGGTGGTCAGGTAGGGAGCACCGAAGGCTAGAGGCTGTGAAGAGGCTGGTGACACAGTCCAGGTGGGACACCATGCAGCCAGCAGGAACTGCCCCTCTGAGCTGGCATCTGTGATGGCCTAGGAGGGGCATGGCAGAAGGGCAGGCCAGGTGGAGAGAACTGTTTAAGCGAAGGCACTGACAGCCATGCTTTGGTCTTGATCTGGGTGGTGAGTGACCCGCCAAGTTTTTCAAGTATAAAGGTCTTCCTATGATAGTAGTTAGATTTGCAAAACACTGATTGAGAAAAAGTCACTGCAAATTTAGCAACTCTTAAACATATTTGCATTTTGTAGTCCCCAGTTTACAGACATCTGAAATGGAGAGCCAGGAGCATGTTGGATGAGATTTGATAACGTTTGGCTAGAGGGACCTCGGAGCAGAATGCCCCAAACTTGCCCTGCCCGTTCCCTGCCCCCTGCCCCCACTCTACCTGGGGAAACAAAGTACTGATTCATTGGCAGCTGGGCCAGTGGCCTTTAAGACACAGAGCCTCCTGCCCACTAGAAAACAAGGCTCAATCAATGTCCCAAAATCCAGCCAATCAGAGTGGCAATGCTGAATTCCTAGAGGAGGGAGAAGGAACTAGGAGAGCGGAGAAGCAGGCAGAGGGGTGGAGGATGAGTGCTGGCCTACAGACAATGCTTCATGGCTCTGCGGGTTTGCAGACTATTGGAAAGAATTCGGAGCCCGCACCACCTCTCCCATCACAAGTATCCACAGCCCAGAGGCCGGGTTTCCATGGTAGACAATTGGATCTATGAAAGGATTTTGAGCAGAGGTGTCACACCATAAGACATGCTTTCATTATTATTGGATAACCTTTCCTGAGCAGTTACTCTGTGCAAGGCACAATGCTAAGTGCGCATCTCAACTGATTTTAATAAGGTTCATTCTGCCTTCCAGGTAGAGACCTGGATGATTTCCTGTGATTCCATAAATCAAATAATATTCTTTTGAGAAATTCCTTTTCTGCTTAAGTCAGTCATGGTTGCTTTCTGTTGCTTGCAGCTAGGAACCCTGGTTGATATAACGCCCGTGAGTTTCTGTGTATATGTGGGGGATGCACGAACATGCATGTGTGGCTTGAGTAACTGAGGTGACCATGGGTGGCAAGAGCCACAAAAGGCAGTGTCCTGGGGTCTGTCCCCAGGTGCCTGATAGTCTGAAGGTGGAGGCTTTCTTCCTGAGGCAAAAGGGAGAATGAGCACTTACAAAACCCTCACATGCCTCCATATGCAACATCTCATTTAATCCTTTCCACCAAAGAAGAGACTAATATATGCATTTTACAGATGAAGACACAGAGGGTCAGGGTGGTTGCTGACTTCTCATAGGTACTAAGAGGTAGATCTGAGGACAAGTCCACACCCTCATCTCCTCCCATTGCACCCACTACCTGACCCATGGGACTCACAGATGTACCTTGAGGACTAATGGATGGGAGATGAGCCAGGTGAGGGCATAAAAAGGGGTGAGGCACTGTACTGGCTTCGAGCACTGTGACTTTTAAGAGGAACCCTGGCTGGGCTGGTGAGCACCACTTCCAACCCCACCCCAGCTCGCCTCCCCAGCACATTACTGGATTCTGACATGGGCCTTCCATGGGCTCAGCAAGATATTCACCCATAGGATGCCCCAGAGGGCCCTGCCAGCCACCAAGTGCCTACTGTGCACCTTGCCCTGTGCTGCAAGCTCCCCAAGGAGTGAACAGTCGCTCCTCGTGCCCCGAAGCTGCTGCCAATCCAACTGGGTACAAGACAACCACTGTACAACAAAGCCACTCTTGATGAACTCCTACTGTTTTCCAGGCCAGGGCTGGTGCTTTCCACAGGTAATGGGACACAGTTGCTGATGGCTGAAGGTGCCCAGCCTCTGCTGGAGCCCTGCCTGCTGGAGAGCCTGGCTTGGCCAACTCAGATCTTTCCTCTCTCCTGCCCTCCCAGGAAGGGCTGCAGCGTTTTCTTGGGTTCTGGGTGCAGAATGAGGAAGAAAGAGGCAGGGGAGAGGAAGGCCAAGGGCCTGGGCTTTGCTCTGGGGAGACGTCTAGAATCTACTTGTGAACAATGAGAATTTTTCATCTATTTGGTTTTCTGATTTATTCTAAGAGCCTAGAACAGCAGCTGGCTGGCACAGAGCAGGTGCTCAATAAACGCTGTTGGCTGAATGAAGGAGGTCTGGAGAAGGGGGACCTCCAAAGACATACAGGGACTGTGCTGAGGAAGTGGACAGTTGAACTAAGGGGAGCATTAGGAAGTAGTTCTGTAGACTGTGCCTATTTCCTTCAGGATGCTCAGAAGCATAAGTGAAGTCCTTGAGTCATTTTAACATTATTTTTGGGCTGTTAGGACTACGATCCTGTGACACCCACATGCCCTGAGATGGGACCATAGGCTTACACATCAGTCTGCTGGGTTATCACAACAATCCTCCTAAACATTTACTGAGCATGTAAATGGTACCAGGCGTGGCTCTAAGCTCTTTGCACACGTGTGTATGCATGTATACACACACAACATCCCCACGAGGCAAGCACTGTCTTTATCCCCATGTTCAGAGGAGGACCCGAGGCACAGAGAGGTTGAGTAGTTGGCCCAGGGTCACACAGTTAAGTGATTAATTGGGAGTCGATCTAGTGGGCACCAGAGGGCGCCCTCTTGGCCTTCCACTCATCCGCAGGAGTCCAGGCAGAGACAAGGGGCCAGTGAGTGGGAGCCACTGGTTCAGAGAGGACCAGGCTGCCTTGTGGCCTCTGGAGGGGGCTTCTGAGTCTGAATTTCTGGCCCCTTCTTCCAGTCTCCTGTCTTGTCTGCCCAGGGAGAAAAAGTAAACATAGACAGGTCGTCAGCCAGGGTTCATCGGGAGGCTGCGGTTTTCCCAGCTGTGGAGTGGCCACCTCCTCCCAGCCTCCCTGAGTCAGCCATGGACTCCAGCGGGGACACACTGTGGGAAACGTCGTGGGAAAACAGCAAACCCAGGGAGCGAAAGAAAATAAAGACCAGCAGTGACCCCTCCACTCAGAGAGACCTGTGGACACCATTTGCGGCGTTTATCCAGCAGTTTTTTCTTTCTACCGGTGTGTGCATGTATGCATGCCTTTGTGTACATAGACTTGTGTATTACAGCGTTGTGCAACATGGATATTCATTTGACGATACTGTGAATGTTTTTCCATATCATTAAATGTTCTTACATCACATATTTTTCTTTAGCTTTCACATTGTTGGTGTATTTTAATTTACAAAGGTATAACCTGCAACACCTTTTATAGCTTGCGATTCTTTATTGAGGTGTAATTTACATATTGTAAAGTTTTCCCTTTCTAGTGGGTAGTTTGTAGTTAGTAGGTTTATGAGTTTTGACAAACCCATAGTCATGTAATCATCACCATAATCAAGATAGAGAACAGTTCCTTCACCCCCAAAATGTCCCCGTGCCCCTTTATAGTAAATCTCTCCCACCATCCCCGCCCCTGGCAACCACTGATGTTTTGCTCTCCTATAAGTGTGCCTTTTCCAGAATGTCCATATAAATGGAATTATAATGTATGTGGCCTTTTGGGTCTGGCTCCTTTCACTTAGCACAGTGTTCTGAAGTTTATCCATGGTGTCGCATCCATCAGTAATGTTTCTTTTTGTTGCCGAGTAATATTCCATCGTGTGGATGAACCACAGCTTATTTATCCATGCACTGGTTGAGGGACATCTGGGTTGCCTCCAGTTTTGGGTGAATGGGCTTATGATGAATATTCACATACTGGCTTTCGTGTGAACATAAATGTTCTTAGATTCTTAAGAAAATACCTAGGAATGGGTTGCTGGGTCTTATGGTATTATCCTAAGCATATGCAACATCATTTTTTTTTAACATGGAGAAAGTGAACTATGTTTTATTTATGATTGCCTGATATCACTATAAAAATTCAGATAATATACTGGGATGCTAGGATGACAAATTTTTTTTAAAGTCAGATAATATAGATCAACTGCTTGCATGTCCCTCTTTTGTAATTTGTCTAAGAACATGCCTCTAGATTACATAGTGAGGATTATACTGTATCTGTATGTGGTTCCATAGTCTGCGCTTTTCAATTTTTCTTTCCATGTCACCTCCTTAAAATCTACCATATCTTTTTAGATTACTGCATAATGTTCCATTGTATAGATGTACAAAAATTTATTTAAACAATTTCTTTTGTTGCATATGCAATGAGATTGTTTGCTAATTTTTGGCTCTTATAAACCACATCTTTGCGACAAATCTTTTTTTTTTTTTTTTTTTTTTTGCATTTACAGTTATTTCTTTAGGATAAATGCTTAGACATGGACTTGCTGGGCCAAAGTGTTGCCTACCATTTTATTTCACTTGGCTTTTTCCTTAACATTTTTTTTTCTCATGCATATATGAAAAGGTGATAACACAGCCTGCATCGCGAATCCAGGAGAAAAGGATGGTCTTCCCAGGAAATGGTGCCAGAATAACTCGCTATTCATATGGAAGAAAATGAAAATGATTCCGTATGTCATCCCACACATTAAAAATCCATTCCAGATGGATTAAGGATTTAAATATAAATGGTAAAACTTTACAACTTTATAATAAAATATAGGAGAGCATCTTTATGAAAAGATTCTTTAATGAAACTTAAAAAAATGAGATTAAAAAGTTTAACCCATAAAGTAAATAGTTGACAAATTTGACTGCATTAAAATTTAGAGGGCCCTTTCATGAAAAGACCCCATTCAGAGAATGAAAAGACGAGTCACAATTAGCAAGATTTGAAACACACATGACTAACCGAGGAGTAGCATCCATAATATAGAAAAACGCCTATGAACGATAAGAAAAAGATTGATAAATAACACAATAGAAATTGGGGAACAAAAGAACAGGAATTTCATAAAAGAAGCATAAGTGATTTAAAAACATGAGAAAAATGCTCAATCTCATTATCAATCAAAGAAGTGTGGATTAAGATCCACTGAGATATCTTTACATACCCACTGGATTGGCAAAAATCTTAAAGTCAGGCTTGGCGTGGTGGCTCACACTTGTAATCCCAGCACTTTGGGAGGATGGCTTGGGTCCAGGAGTTTGAGACCAGCCTGGGCAACATAGGGAGCCCCCATCTCTATAAATAAATAAACAAACAAAGTCAGACAGCACCAAAGGCAGATGAGCGTCTGGAGGGAGCTGGTGAACACGTAAACTTTCATTTTTAAATTTTTATTCTTAATTTTATTTTTATTTTTGCATGATAGTTACATCATGTTAGGCAAGTCAACTTTGGAAAACAGTTTTCCATCTTCAGTAAAGGTGTAGAGGCTGTGCTGTAATTTGACCAGTATGTCTATGCACTCCCATTCCCAGGGATGCCCGGAAGAAGCCTTGCATCTGGATATCAGCCACAGACACGGAGATACTCAAAGAAGCATTGTGCACCTGGAGAGAAACCAGATCGCCATTAACAATCGAACATAGAAACATTGGCTGGGGGCGGTGGCTCACGCCTGTAATTCCAGCACTTTGGGAAGCCGAGGCCGGGCGGATCACTTGAAGTCAGGAGTTCAAGATCAGCCTGGCCAACATGGTGAAACCCTGTCTCTACTAAAAATACAAAAATTAGCTGGGTTTGGTGGCTCACACCTATAATCCCAGATAGTCAGGAGGCTGAGGCAGAAGAATCGCATGAACCCAGGAGGTGGAGGTTGCAGTGAGCTGAGATTGCGCCACTGCACTCCAGCCTGGGTGACAGAGCAAGACTCTGTCTCAAAAAAGAAAATAGAAGCGTTGTAACATGAAGATGATCATATGCTATACAGCAGCCCCCGCTTATCTGCGGTTCCACTTTCTGTGGTTTCAGTTACCCGTGGTCAACCTCGGTCCGAAAATAATTGAAAAGTTCCAGAAATAAACAATTAATGAGTTTTAAATTGTGTGCCGTTCTGAGAGCACGATGTTTAGTCTGCCTTGCCTTGCATTTGTCCTGGAAACTCCAATAAAGCCTCTGGCCCAGTGCTGTCTTTGCCCCTGCTTCTACCTCCTCACCCAAGGGTGTACACTCCACAGGGTGTGCAGGAAGCATGACGCAGGCATCTGCACGGCTTCCTGGTGCTGCCTCCGTGGCCCTCTGTGGCACTGTGTGATGCCTTGTCTTGGAATTGTAAGTAATCAATTCTTTCTTTCTATGTCATCAGTCACCCCCATAAATTAACATCCCTGCTTCAATCATTGAGGCTGGGGGGTTTGATCAGGAAGGAGCATGCAGAGTGTCGGGGGTAACAGCAGTATTCTATTTCTTAAATGGATTGGTGAGTTCAAGGGTATTTATTGTTATTCTTCAGACTGTACATATATGCCTTTGTCTCTATGGCATGTTCCACAATAAAAATGAAAAAAATCCATAATTACTATCATTTCCTACAAAAGTAACACATCATTGTACCAATGTTAATGTCTTAGTTTTGATAAATGTCCTATGGTGATGTAAGATGTTAACATGAGGGGAACCGGAGAAAAGGAATACTGGAATTTTTCATACTGTCTTTGCAACTCTTCTGTAAAGCTAAAATTATTTCAAGATAAAACGCTGCTACAAAGCAATGCAGAAGCTGAAGCATGCAGAGCCTTGGAGGTCACTTTAAAGTGTTTGGGTTTTGTTCTCTGAGCAGTCGGGGGTCCCTGGAGGGTTTTCAAAAGGTGGGCAGGACCCAATGGGTGTGATAACATAAAATGCAACTTCTGAAGAATTTCAAATATTGTCATAGTTGTGGAGGCGGAACTTCCCTGTGGCCAGATGGAGATTGCTTTGACCACAGGCCTGTGCACCCCCGGGGTGAGGCCATGGCCCCTGCTAGGCGGGGACACGTGGAGGGGAGCCAGAGAGAACAGAGCATCCATTGATCAGCAGGACAGCTGTGGGGAGGGACAGATCCACGGGCCGTAGGAGGGACCCTGGGAGAGATGGGAAGGAAACGGAAGGATAGAAGCTGCCGGGGTGGGTCGGGGATTGGGAGGGAGGTCTGAGGGCTGAGAGAGGGCTTGGGAGCCCCCACTCCCTGCAAGCTTCCTGTGTCCCTCAGCCAAACCCTGAGCTTTCTCCCTCCTCAGGGCCCTTGCAGCCTGGCACCTCCTTACTCAGCAGATCTCCTACCCCACACCATGCACACACACCTGCCTCTCCTCCCTCCCTCTCTTCCTCTCCGCACCCAGAAGAGGCCCAACCCTCAACCTGCGGCCTTGCCCTCCTTTTCTGCATTTTTTTTTGTCTTTTCAGCTTACAAGATTTTTCATCATAAAATCAGATAAGACTCCCTCTAGATCCCAGGTTTCCCTCCAGCCACCACTCTGGACTCCCTGCTCAGCCAAAGCTCCTCAAAGCTGCACGTGTCTCCTGGTGACTCTCCACCCTCCATCCACTTCTTCTGCTCCCACCCACTTTCTACCCACAGGCCAACCCTGCCTTTGCCCATTGTGGACCTCCCCCGGGGCTGCTTTCTCCCTCTCCAGCTCCCTGGGCTCCTGAGGCCCTATAGACCCCTTTGCTTATCATCTCCCTCACTCGACGTAAGGCCAATGTTACGAGTTAAATTATGTCCCTCCTCTGAAAATTCCTATGTTGAATTCCCAACCCCCACAATATCACAGAATGTGACCTTATTTGAATAAATAGTCTTTACAAAGGAACCCACATTAAAATGAGGTCATTAGGGTAGGCCCTAATCCAATAGCCTGGTGTCCTTATAAAAAGGGGAAATGTGGGCACTCGTACATATGGCAAAGATGCCACGTGAACATGAAGACGGCCGCCCGCAAGTTAAGAAGCCAGCCTGCAACAGAGCCTCCCCTCACAGCCCTCAACATAACCGACCCCGTTGACACCTTGATTTCAAACTTCTAGCCCCCAGAATGGTGAGACAATACATTTCTCTTGCTTATGTGACTCCATCTGTAGCATTTTGTTATGGCAGCCCTAGGAAAAGAACCCAGCCCATGAGGGTGGCGAAGCTCTGTTCCCTTCACCATTTCCAGTGCCAAGAACAAAGCTTGATGCACAGTAGCAGCTTCGCAAATATCTGTGGGTTGGATATATGAAAAAACGTATTTCCAAACTCAGTGGACACTCCTTTTGATTATCCGATAATTATTTTTAAAACATATATTTATTAGAGGAATAGAAAAATGTGAGATTCAAAAAGTTAGTGAACAGTACATCCTTCCAGAGATGTTCTAGGACAGTATAAGCACAAGATTTTGTATTAGTCCATTCTTGCACTGCTATAAAGGAATACTTGAGACTGCATAATTTATAAAGAAGAGATATTTGGCTCACGATTCCACAGGGTGGACAGGAAGCAGGATGCTGGCATCTGCTTGGCTCCTGGGGAGGCCTCAGGAAACTTACAATCATGGTGGAAGGCGAAGGGGAAGCCAGCACTTCACATGGCTGGAGCAGGAGGAAGAGAAAGAGCAGGGAGGTGCCACACACTTAACCAGATCTTGTGAGAACTCACTCATTATACAGTACCAAGGGGGGATGGTGATAATCATTCATGGAAACTCTGCCCCCATGATCCGATCACCTCCCACCAGGCCCCACCTCCAACCCTGGGGATTACAATTCTACATGAGATTTGGTGGGAACAGAGATCCAAACCATATCAGCTATCGTGTGTTATGTAGTTGGGGGGCCTTTAAAAAGCTTCCACAAATCTTTGTGAATGAAACATACTGCTGAGAACTTCATGTTTACACTTTCTTTGTCTTGGGGATGCCAGCCTCAGATGGTCCCCAGGAATCCCTGCCTTCATGAATATCCCCTCCCACACTGGATAGGGCTGACCGTGCTAGGACATTGTGGAAATAGTGTGTGACTTCTGAGGTTAGGTCATGAGACACGGTGGCCCATGGTGCTCCCTCTGGGATCACTCGATCTGGGGGAGACCATGCTGTGAGGACACTCAGGCAGCCCTGTGGAGAGGTCTACAGGATGAGGAACTGAGGCCTCCTGGCAACACCAGCACCAGCTCATCAGCCATGTGAGTGAGCCATCTTGGAAGTGGATCCGTCAGCCCCTGTTGAGCCTTCAGATGACTGCAGCCCTGGCCAGCAGCATTGTGACTGCAACCTCATGAGAGGCTCTGAGCCAGAGCCACCCAGCTAAGCCATTCCGGAATTCCTGGACCACAGAAACTGTTCATTGCCACTTTAAGCCCCTAGGCTGTGGAGTCATTTGGTACCTAGCAGTAGGGAACAAATACAACCTTTCTTTTAATTTAATTTTATTTTTTGAGACAGGGTCTTGTTCTGTCACCCAGGCTGGAGTGCAGTGCTGTGATCTCCATGCACTGCAGCCTCGACTTCCCAGGCTCAGGTGATCTTCCCACCTCAGACTCCCCAGTAGCTGGGACTACAGGCATGCACCACCATGCTTGGCTAATTTTTGTATTTTTTGTAGAGATGGGGTTTCACCATGTTGCCCAGGCTGGTCTTGAACTCCTGGGCTCAAGTGATCTGCCTACCTTGGCCTCCCAAAGTACTGGGATTACAGGCATAAGCCACTGCACCTGGCCTCTTTTAATTTTTATTTTTAGAGATGGGGGGATCTTGTTTCATCACCCAGTCTGGAATGCAGTGGTGCAATCTTGGCTCACTGCAGCCTCCACTTCCCAGGCCCAGGTGATCATCCCATCTCAGCCTCCTGAGTAGCTGGGGCTACAGGCATGTGCCACCACGCCTAGCAAATTTTTGTATGTTTTGTAGAGACGGGGTTTCGTCATGTTGCCCAGACTGGTCTTGAACGCCTGGGCTCAAATGATTTGCCTGCCTTGGCCTCCCAGAGTGTTGGGATTACAGGTATGAGCCACCGTGCCTGGCATTTTTAAATTTTTACTTTTAGAGATAGGGTCACATTCTGTCACTCAGGCTAGAGTGCAGTGGTGCGATCATAGCTTACTGTAACCTCAAACCCCTGGGCTCAAGCGATCCTCCCACCTCAGCCTCCTGAGTAGCTGGGACTACAGACACATGCCAACCTTGCAGATAGATCCACATCAGTCTGTTGAGAGCAGTGTCATTCTGTTTACTGCCTGCCAACATTCCAGGGACATATTTTCGTCCTTGATTTAGTAGGTCTGGGGACAACTTTAACATTGCCTGTCTCTTTCCCACTGAAGCATCCTTTGGCACTCCCCTCATTCTCCTTGGGGCCTAGACAACTCCTTGGTTCCCTTCCTTGTGAGCTTCTATTCCATCTTTTAACCCTGGGGGTTTCCTGGGTTCTGGGGTTCTGTCCTGGGCCCCCTTATCTCCCAGTTCAATAGTCATGAGCCAAGGCAAATGACAAGTGGGTCAGGCAGTACTCCCAACCCCCCATCATGATGACAACTCCTCAACCTCCTCTCCAGCTCAGATCTCTCTGGAGCCCCAGATCATCATCCCTGAGAAGGGATGTCCCATAGGAGCCTCAGGCTCAGGCGTTCAAAACTAAATGTGTCTTTTCCCCAGCCTTGCTCATCCCTGCTTGCCTCTGTCTAAGAGGTGGGCCTGCCTTCCTCCCATGACCTGCCATCACCCTGACCAACCCAGCAACAGCAACCAGCCTAGCCCTATGGGTTTGCCCCTTTGCTAGTTAGTTCAGCACCCCATTTCTCCTCCTCAGCCCCCCATGCCCTCCGTCCACCATCCAGGCCACCATCACTTCCAGCCCGGTCCATGTAACAGATGCCTCACTGGCCCTCCTGCTGCCACCTGGTCCATTCTCCACATGGAAGTCAGAGGAACTTGAAAATCTAACCTGGGGCATGCCCCCACCTCTCTGTTTAAACCTTTTGCTGGCATGGGGCCAAGGGAGAGCCCCCTAAAGGTTCTCTGAAAAATCACCTTGCAAAAGGCACATTAACTGGAGAAAAGGTACACAAATGTATTTAATGTGTATTCACGGGAGTCTTTAGAATGAAGACCCAAAGATACAGAGGAAATTGTTCATTTTTATGCTTAGGTTCCATGAAGTATAAACAGCCATGTAGAAATACGACTGGACAAAAAGGTCTGATCGAATGCTGATAGAATGAGTGGGAACCCAGCATGACCCGCCTATCTAGATTATTCTTGGCCTCTCTGAGCAGTGCTCCTTCCTTCTGGGGATGGGGCAGGACCTTTTCTGGAATGGGGGGTCTTATGACCTACAGTCAAAGGAAAGATCATTTCTTTATGGCCAGTTTTTATACAGAAAGTTGGAGGGAAAATTAGAGTAGTATTTTTAGGTTTTATGACTAGCTTTGGGGAGAAGAGGTTCTGGTTTCTATAGCACATGCTAGTTTCTATGGCTAGCCTTCAGGAATAGGACTGAGAGCTAGGAGGGCAGGAGGGGGTCAGAGAAGAAACTCACTTCTGAGGCCTTCATTTTGGGGTATTGTTTTCTAAGTCTGATATGGTTTGGCCGTGTCCCCCCCAAAATCTCATCTTGAATTATAATCCTCATAATCCCCAAGTGTCAAAGGGGGGACCAGGTGGAGGGTTCCCCCATGCTGTTCTCATGACAGTGAGTGAGTCTCACGAGATCTGATGGTTTTATAAGGGGCTCTTCCCCCTTTGCTTGGCACTCACTCCATCTTGCCACCCTGTGAAGAAAGTGCCTGCTTCTCTTTTGCCCTCCACCATGACTGTAAGTTTCCTGAGGCCTACCCAGCAATGTGGAACTGTGAGCCAATTTAAATCTCATTCCTTTATAAATTACCCAGTCTTGGATATTTCTTCACAGCAGTGTGAGAACAGACTAATACGGTAAATTGGTACCAAGAGTGGGGCACTGCTATAAAGATACTAAAAAATGTGGAATTGACTTTTGAACTGGGTAACAGGCAGAGGTTGGAACAGTTTGGAGGGCTTAGAAGAAGACAGGAAGATATGGGAAAGTTTGGAACTATCTAGAGACTTGTTGAGTGGCTTTGACCAAAATGCTGATAGTGATATGGACAATGAAGTCCAGGCTGAGGTGGTCTCAGATGGAGATGAGGAACTTTTTGGGAAATGGAGTAAAGGTCACTCTTGCTATGCTTTAGCAAAGAGACTGGTGGCATTTTGCCCCTGCCCTAGAGACCTGTGGAACTTTGAACTTCAAAGAGATGATTTAGAGTATCTGACAGAAGAAATTTCTAAGTGGCAAAGCATTCAAAAGAATGCAGAGCATAAAAGTTTGGAAAATTTGCAGACTGAGGATGCAATAGAAAAAGAAAAATCCATTTTCTGGGGAGAAATTTAAGCCTACGGCAGAAATTTGCATAAGTAACCTGGAGCCAAATGTTAATCACCAAGACAATGGGGAAAATGTCTCCAGGGCATGTCAGAGACCTTCATGGCAGCCACTCTCATCACAGGTCCCAAGGCCTAGGGGGGAAAACGGTTTTGTGGGCTGGGCCCAGGCCCCCGCTGCTCTGTGAAGCCTTGAGGCATGGTGCGTCCCTGCTTCCCAGCTGCTTCAGTTCCAGTCGTGGCTAAAATGGGCCAAGTTACCACTCACGCCATTGCTTCAGAGGCTGAAAGCCCCAAGCTTTGGTGGCTTCCATGTAGTGTTGAGCCTGTGGGTACACAGAAGTCAAGAATTGAGGTTTGGGAGCCTCTGCCTAGATTTCAGAGGAAGTATGGAAATGCCTGGATGTCCAGGCAGAAGTCTGCTGCAGGGTTGGAACCCTCATGGAGAGCCTCTGCTAGGGCAGTGTGGAAGGGAAATGTGGGGTTGGAGCCCCTACATAGAGTTCCCACTAGGGCACCACCTAGTGGAGCTGTGAGAAGAGGGCCACTGTCCTCCAGATCCTAGAATGGTAGATCCACTGACAGCTTGCACCATGCACATGGAAAAGCCACAGGCACTCAATGACAGTCAACTAAAGCAGCTGAGAAGGGGGCTGTACCTTCTGAAGCCACAGGGGCAGAGCTGCCCAAGGCTTTGGAAGCCCACCCCTTGCATCAGTATGACCTAGATGTGAGACATGGAGTCAAAGGAGATCATTTTGGTTTACTTAAAGTTTACATAGTAAACTTTAAGGTTTAATGACTACCCTATTGGATTTCAGACTTGTATGGGGCCTGTAGCCCCTCTTTTTGGCCGATTTCTCCCATTTGGAATGGGTGTATTTGCCCAATGCCTGGACCCCCATTGTATCTAGGAAGTAACTAACTTGGTTTTGATTTTACAGGCTCATAGGCAGAAGGGCCTTGCCTTGTCTCAGATGAGACTTTGGACTTGGACTTTTGGGTTAATGCTGGAATGAATTAAGACTTTGGGGGACTGTTGGGAAGACACGATTGTGCTTTGAAATGTGAGGATATAAAATTTGGAAGGGGCCAGGGGTAGAATGATATGGTTTGGCTGTGTCCCTACCCAAAATTTCATCTTGAATTATAATCCCCATAATACCCATATTTCAAGAGCAGGACCAGGTGGAGGTAATTGGATCATGCAGGCAGTTTCCCCCATGCTGTTCTTGTGATAGTGAGTGTGTGCCTGATGGTTTTATAAGGGGGCTCTTCCCGCTTCGCTTGGCACTCACTTCATCCTGTCACCCTGTAAAGAAGGTGCCTGCTTCTCCTTTGCCTTCCACCATGATTGTAAATTTCCTGAGTCCTCTCCAGCAATGTAAAACTATGAGTTAATAAACCTCTTTCTTGTATAAATTACCAGTCTCAGGTATTTCTACTTCTTCTTCTTCTTCTTTTTTTTTTTTTTGAGATGGAGTCTTGCTCTATCACCAGGCTGGAGTGCAGTGGCACGATCTCAGCTCACTGTAACCTCCTTCCAGGTTCAAGCGATTCTTCTGCCTCAGCCTCTCAAGTAGCTGGGATTACAGGCCTGTGACATGATGCCTGGCTAATTTTTGTATTTTTAGTAGAGATGGGGTTTTGCCACGTTGGCCAGGCTTGTCTTGAACTTCTGACCTCAAGTGATCTGCCTGCCTTGGCCTCCCGAAGTGCTAGGATTACAGACATGAGTCACTGCACCCAGCTGGGGATTTTTTTATAGCAGTGTGAGAATGGACTAACACAAAGCCCCAACACTGGCTTCTTATACTTTACTAGAAGAAGAGGAAAGTGACTTCTTAGCATGTCATGTAAGGTCCTTTTTTGAACTGGCTCCTGCCAACCTTCTCCAGCCTCACCTTGCTCAGGCCTCAGGACCTTTGTGCTCACTGCTCCCTCCTCCTTGAACATGCTTTACCCAAATGCTTCGCCACTCACTACCTTGCCTCCTTCAGGTCTCCGCTAAGGATGTGTTCATCAAGACGCCTTTTCTGGCTACCTGTCATGAAATAGGAGCCCCTTACTCTGCATTATTTCCCCCCTCAGCACTTACCTCCTCATGAATATTATGCCTTGGTTTGCTTATTGGTTTGGTTTTTTTCTTGTCTTTCCCCTAGAATGGAAGAGCCATGAGGGCAGGGGCTTTGTGTACATTTGCTCATGGTGCCTAAACCCAGTGCCTGAATAGGGCCCTGCATATAGTAAGCACTCAGCAGGTGCAATAAACTTCTTGCCTCTTCCTGCCACACAAATCTGGGCTCCTGCAACACTGAACTGCTTTTTGCTGCCCACCCACACCGCTCTTACCTCCAAACCTCTGCTCATGCTGATCCTCCTGCCTGGAGGGTCCTTCCTCCTTTGTTTTTCAAATTTTCATTTAATTAAAAAAATTATTTGTACACATATTTTCCAGAGATGGAGTCTCACTCTGTTGCCCAGGCTGAAGTGCAGTGGCACAATCATAGCTCACTGAAGCCTCAACCACCTAGACTCAAGCCATCCTCCCACCTCAGCCTTCCAAGTAGCTAGGTGCACACCACCATGCCCAGCTAATTTTGTATTTTCTGTAGAGATGACGTCTTGCTTCTCTGGTCTCAAACAAACAAGTTCAACCAACTCCTTCCTCAGGCTGGTTTCAAACTTCTGGCCTCCCAAACAACCTTCAGCCTCAGCCTCCCAAAGTACTGAGATTATAGGCATGAGCCACAGTGCCTGGCCATTTGCATAGATATATTCTATGGCTCCTTTAGGATTCTGCTTGTGTTATCAGCTCCCCTAGGCATCCCTCCCTGACCACTTCCCCTCTGCCTGGTCAAGTACCCTTCCTGGGCTCCTGTGGTATCTCAGACATCTCAATTGCAGTACTTGTCACTGCACTTTTGAAGGATGTTTGTTGTATACATGCTTGCTTATTGTGAGCATCTTGTGAGCCAACTCCCGCCCTGCTAAACCCTTGGCAAAGGGCCGGAAGTAGTCAATGCTGAGTGAATGTTTTTATGAATGAATGAATGAATGAATGAATGAATGAATGGAGTTAGCTTAGGTTTAGCCATAGGTCTTATTCAGTGACCCTGAGCAATCTCTGTCCCTCTCTGGGCCCCAGTTTTTCTCAATCTGTATAGTCAAGCTGGGTCTAACTAACCATCTGTGTTTATTAACACTGCAATTCTGCTCCTAGCCCCTGGGGTTCTAATCCTATTGGGGGAGGCAGATGTCTGCCTGGATTGCACCCCCATGGATCATTCTGATGTTTCAACAGCTAGATCCATGAAGACCCATTCCCACTCCGCAGACCCGAGACTCTGCTTTATAAGAAACCAGGTGAAAGCAGCACGTGTAGGCTCCTGGAGGACAGTCTTGGAGGACTCCCTGGGATGGGGGAACACAGGCAGGAAAAAAAGTGACCGCCTCCAGCTTACCCCCTCCCCTATCAGGGCTGCGGACTGAAACGGGGAAGAAAAACAAGCACAGCTGCACAGGACAATTTAGCCCTTTCACCATGACTTAAGCTCCCAGCCGCCTGTTGCGTGAGGCCGCAACATGACCCCGGCCCCCTCCGTGGCGCCACCGCCATAGCATCTGCCCAGTTTTGTTCATACCGTAAGGAAGAGGCCTGGGGTGTCCTTGGGTAGCCCCAGAGCTCTGAAGTGGGGCCATAGAGGGAAAGGGGCCGTCCCTGTGGGAAAAGAGGGAGAGGAAGCTAGAATGTCGGGGAGGGAGACATCTCAGTGCTGAGAATCCAGGGATGGGAGGAAGCTGAGCTAAGCTGTGGCTATTTGGGGTGTGTGTGGTTTGGGGAGCCCCTCTACTATTTTTTTTTTTTTTTGCAGCTGGACCACTGTAAGGGGATGTGGGCAAATTGTACAAGCCCTCAGGGTCCCCCTTACCTTCTCTGTGAAATAGGTGTGGTAACTCTGTTGATGCTGTGAAGAGGCCAGTCAGGTATTTGCCCCTCCCAGCATGCTGTGTGGCCCTGGAGAAGACAGTTACTCTCTCCCTGAGGACATCTTTGCAAGGCAGGTGGGGGCAGAATAGAGATGTCTAAGGCAGCCTGTATCTGAAGCGCCCCATCCTTACACAGCATATCAAGAGTATGTAGCATTAACACAATTTATTACTGTTGATATTGGCCTTGATCACCTGGCCGAGGTCATATTTGTCAGATTTCTCCACGGTAAAGTTACTCTTTCTCCTCTTTCCCATACTGTAACTTTTGGAAGGAAGTCACTATGTGCAGTCCACACTTTAGGAGTGGAAGTTATTTATTTATGCTGTGTCTTCTTGGGGGTGAAGTATCTACATAAACTATTTGGAATTCTTCTGCACAGGAAATTTGCCTAATCTCTCACACTTACAGCCATGTGCTGCATAATAACACTTCGGTCAACAACGATGGTGGTCCCGTAAGATTATAATGGAGCTGAGAAATTCCCATTGCCTAGACCTTCCGGTAGGACAAGATGTGGAGGTGATAGGTAGTGGTACTGATGATCATGATCCAGTGTAGGCCTAGGCTAATATGTGTGTTTGCATTTTTTTTTTTTTTGACATGGAGTTTTGCTCTTGTCGCCCAGGCTGGAGTGCAGTGGTACAATCTCGGCTCACTGCAACCTTCGCCTCCTGGGTTCAAGCGACTCTCCTGCCTCAGCCTCCCAAGCAGCTGGGATTACAGGCCTGTGCCACCACACCTGGCTAATTTTTGTATTTTTAGTAGAGATGGAGTTTCCCCATGTTGGCCAGGCTGGTCTTGAACTCCTGACCTCAGGTAATCCACCAGCCTTGGCCTCCCAAAGTGCTGGGATTACAGGTGTGAGCCACCGCACCCGGCCTGTGTTTGCAGTTTAGTTATTTTTATTTTTTGTTTTAATTTTTAGCAACAAGGTGTCACTCTGTGGCCCAGGCTGGAAGGCAGTGGAGGGATCCTAGCTCACTGCAGTCTTGACTTCCTGGGTTGAAGCCATCCTCCTATATCAGCCTCCAGATTAGCTGAGACTACAGGCATGCATCACCATGCCCAGCTAATTTTTCTTTTAATAGATAGTCTTGCTATGTTACCCAGGCTGGTCTTGAACTCCTGGCCTCAAACTATCCTCCTGCCCTCAAACTATCCTCCTGCCTCTGCCTCCCAAAGTGCTGGGATTATAGGCACCAGCCACTGCATCTGGCCTTCCATTTTAGTTTTTAACAAAAATGTTTAAAAATTAAAACAAATTTAAAAATAGAAAAAAGCTTATGGAATAAAGATATAAAGAAAGAAAATATTTTTTGTACACTGGTTTAATGTGTTGGTGTTTTAAGTTGCTATTACAAAAGAGTCAAAAGTTTTAAAAATTAAAAAGTTTAGAAAGTAAAAAAATTTACGGCTAAGTTTAATTTATTATTAAAGAAAGAAAAATATTTTTAGGGCCTGGCACGGTGGCTCACGCCTGTAATCCCAACACTCTGGGAGGCCGAGGCGAGTGGATCATCTGAGGTCATGAGTTCAAGACAAGCCTGGCCAACATGGTGACACCTCACCTCTACTAAAAATACAAAAATTAGTCAGGCATGGTGGCGGGCATTTGTAATTCCAGCTACTCGGGAGGCTGAGGCAGGAGAATCTCTTGAACCCAGGAGACGGAGGTTGCAGTGAGCCGAGGTTGTGCCACTGCACACCAACCTGGGTGACAAGAGCGAAACTCTGTCTCAAAAAAAAAAAGAAAAAGAAAAATATTTGTATAAATTCCATGTAATCTAAGTGTACAATGTTTATAAAGTCTACAGTAGGGTACAGTAATGTCCTAGGCCTTCACATTCACTCACGACTCACTCACTGACTCACCCAGAGCAACTTCCTGTTTTGCAAGCTTCATTCATGGTAAGTGTATGTTAATGGTTCCTTTTGTATATTTAGATACACAAATACTTACCATTATGTTACAATTGCCTGCAGTATTCAGTACAATAACACAGTGTACAGGTTTGTAGCCTAGGAGCACTAGGCTATACCATATAGCCTAGATGTGTAGCTGGCTATACCACCTAGGTTTGTGTAAGTACACTGACGTTCACACAATGACGAAACTGCCTAACAGTGCATTTATCAGAACATATCCCTGTAACAATGCATTTATCAGAAAGCATCCCTGTCAATAAGGGACAAGTGACTGTTTATTTATGCACTCATTTATTTATATCAGTGTATGCTTTATTTTCTTGTTCAAGTTGTTCCATCCAGCTTTGGTCATTAGAAGCTCTTTCAGTTGTTTTCTGTGTCCCTTTCACATCCTTCCATCATTGTGGATTTCTTTGTTTTTTTAAGGCATTTTCTTATGATGCTCCAGGCTCATCTTGTACATTGTACATTTTCTACCCCAGTCCTTGCTTGAATCACCCATTTCTCTCTCTCTCTCTCTCTCTCTCTCTCTCTTTCTCTCTCTAAGACAGAATCTTGCTCTGTTGCCCAGGCTGGAGTGCAGTGGTGTGATCTCAGCTCACTGCAACCTCTGCCTCCCAGACTCAAGCCATCCTCCCACGTCATCTTCCTGAGTAGCTGGGACTACAGGCACATGCCACCACGCCCAACTGATTTTTGTATTTTTTGTAGAGACAGAGTTTCGCCATGTTGATCAGGCTGGCCTGAACTCCTGGGCTCAAGCAATCCACCTGCCTCAGACTCCCGATGTGTTGGGATTACAGGCATAAGCCACCATGTCCAGCCTGAATCAGCCATTTCTCCAGGGATCCCTGTTTTCTTTTACTGGAGAATGGAATTAGACACCAAAACCTGGATGTTAAGTGTGCTTGTTGCTACTGCAATGTCAGTGCTTCTAAGTGTTCTCAGCTGATAGAACAAGAAAATATATGTATATATGAACTTCTTTATATACACATACCTATAAACATTTCTGTATGCAACTATCTATCAACTTACCTATCTGCATTGGGAAGCTACTGTCTCCAAGTCAAATCCATTGCCACATGGATCATTCTAGTCCCTTGCTTGTTGGTAATCTCTCACTCCAACAGTGAGAAACCTCATCGTTCTTCTCTTGAGAATCAAATTGTCTGGACTTTGGCTAGTGGGAGCCCCTTTAAGTTGGCTCCTTTAGACTTGGCCTCATCATTCATTGAGTGTTTCCTTGCATTTTGACATGAGATGCTTCAGGTTCACCATTCACTTTCCCTGCCCAATCCTGGAATCAGCCATTTTTCTAAGGACACTAGTTCTGTTTAGTAGGGAATGATGGCATTTAGGAGACAAGATCTGGGCCCTGGGTGTGCTAATTGCTATAGGTATGTTGCTTTTCCCTGGTCTGCTCATATCAATGTCTCCAGTTAACACTCATAGCCATAGCCACAGATCCTTCCTCCACTCCATATTTTTGACTTCCTTTTCCCATAGTGAGAACGCTGAGTCCCAAAACATCAGCACATTTACTCATTTCTTCCATCATACAACACAGAGATAGTAGTTTTAGAATTATAACACTAAATACCTAGACTCCTGTGGTTACACTTACTTAAATTATTTTCTTTGTGTGGCTATATTATTATTTGACATTTAGTTAAGCTCATCTCTTTACTCTTTGTTTATAAGTTTACAGTTTACATTTTTATCTTTTTATTTAATTTTATTTTTGAGAATGTAAAATATTTGCATGGTTAAAAAGTCAAAAATCCTGTACAAATATATTCAGAGGAATCTCACTCCCATCTCTTTCTTCTCCATTGATATTCCCACTAACTTCTTATGAGTAACCATTTGCAATAAGTTTCCGATTTATCCTTCCTGGGTTTCTTTTGCATAATTATTTAAATATGTATGTAAATAAATAAATGTTTTCTTTTTTATTTTCTTAAAAGTTTGCATAGTATAGGTAGTCCTTTATTTTGCTTTTACCTTATTTTGTTGTTTAACAATATATGCTGGAAATCACTCCCTGTAGGTTTACAGAGATCTTCCTTCTTGCCTTCATGGCTGCATAACATTCTCTCATGTGGTACCATAGTTTATTCATCCAGTTTTCTACAGATGGGCATTTGTGTATTTTCAACATTTTGTATTATAAATAATTCCTCAATAAATAACCTTGCATACACATTTTTCATATTTGTGGAATTATATCTTTAGGATAAATCCTAGAAGTAAATATCCTGGATCAAAGAGTAAATGCATATCCTGTTTTGTTCTATATTACAAATTCCTTCCTAGAAGTTTTATTGCCAACAGGCATTATTGACAATTTATAAGAGTAGCTATTTGCTCAAAGCCTCACCAGCAGGTATTGTCAAGCTTTTGAAATTTTGCCAATGTGATAGATGAAAAATGGCATTTCAGTGCAGTTTTGATTTACTTAAAAAATTCTCATATGTGCCAGGCCCATTGTACATATGTTTCCCGAGGACATGTGTTGGGTCATTTCAAACAATACCAATATACTGGATCTTAGGGCTGACCTAATCCTATGGATGTTTGGTGGCTGTGGCTCTCCACCATGCCTTTGGGGCCAGCAGGGTCTCCACAGAGGGTCCCAGCTTCTCAATACCCTCCTCTGGTTCCTGAAGGCTACTGACCCTGCCCTGAGTCCCCCACCAGTCGAGAAACTGCTTCCTCCACACAAAGAAGACTCTGAGTGAGGAGGATGACTTGGCTTCTGAAAAATGCTGAAGTCTTGACCTCCTCCACAATTCTGAGGGCCAGCTGGGGCCGAGGAATGATGGAGCCAGGACCTCAGGGTAGGAAGGACTAGTATGAACTGCTGCTTGAGGAAGCTGGATTTGGAGACACAGGGCAGGCTGTCTCCCCAGGATGAGTGGTCTAGCCTCTGATGACCTCTTGGCTTCAAAACTCACTAACTCTCTCCTCCTCTGGCTGCCTGAATAACCTCCCTAAAGCTTAGAGATGACCAGGGATTACAAACTTCTTCTGGCTCTCCAGGCTCTGACCCTCTTTCCCAATGGGACTTCCTCCATTACCTAATGCGCTCTATATAAATCTATCCAGCCATCCAGATACCCAGCCATCCATCCATATTAGTTATCTATTGATGCGTAACATAACAAATTATTTCATAACTCAGCATCTGAGACAACAATAAACATTTATTGTTTCACACAGTTTCTGTAGATCAGGTGTTTGGAAGCAGCCTCACTGGGTGGTTGTAACTCAGGGTCTCTCATGAGGTTGCAGTCAAGCTGTCAGCTTGGGCTGCAATCATCTAAGGCTAGACTGGGCTGGAGAAGCTGCTTCCAAGGTGACTCACTCACATGGCTGGCAAGTTGGTGCCGGCCATTGGCAAGAAGAAGCCTCAGTTCCTCGCCACCTGGGTGTTTCCACAGGGCTGTTTGAGTATCCTAACAAAATGGCAGCTGGCTTTCCCCATAGCAAGCAATCCAAGAAACAGCCAGGCAGAAGCCACAGTGTCTTTTGTGACCTAGTTTCTGAAATCACAAGCTATTACTTCTTCTACATTTGGCTGTCTACAGGGGAGTCTCTAAGTTCAGCCCACACTGAAGGGGGCTCCAGAGTGTTAAGAAATTTGGGGACATATTTTAAAATCATCACACCATCTATCCACTTAGCCAACAAAGATGTATTAGGCACCTGCTGTGTGCCTGGCCCTGTGAGTAGCTCACAGTCCAGAACCTTGAGGAGTATAACAAGTAGGTAGGGGTGCAAATTCAAATGTCCACAGGGCCCAAGGAGTAGCATGAATGAGTAAACTGAGCCAGGTGGGGACTCTGGTGAGCTGGATAGCATGCGCCTAAAGGCAGAGGATGCTGCCCAGCTCCGGAGTGTCTGTGAAGCCTCCCAATTTTTAGATGTTGAGAATTAATTCCATTTTCACTTTTTTTTTTAACCTTCTCTTTGCCTGATTTGGCCTATCCACTGACAGTTTGCAAGCTCTGATGCAGCCACACCAAATTTCTCAATGTTCCCCCAAACATTGATTCATTCAACAAACATTTACATGCACTGGGCCCCTTTCATGCATTACAGAAATAACTTGCACACACTGTTTCTTTGGCTTGGAATGCCTTCTTATTTTTCTCCCCATGATGAACTTCTATTCCTCCTTCAAAACCCAGGTGTAAATGTCCCTTTCTCTGGGAAACCTCATCTGACCCAATCTCTAGGGGGTGTTATTGGTTCCCTCCTCTAGGTTCCTACCATATTTGTGTCTGTAGTTCCATCAATACACCCCTGCCTCACTCACCAGAAGGTGGGCTCCTGGGGGTTGAATAAAAAGACAGGTGCCACTGAGCAGGGTGGAGAAGATTGTGCGGGGCCACCTAGCAGGGCTTCCCAGGGGAGGTGGTCCTGGAAGGAGGAGCAGGACTTGCAGAACAGGGGTCCCCTGGCGGGGGAAAGAGGAGAGCAAAACCAGAGGCAGGAAAGCATGGGTGGGGCCTGAAGCTAGGAGGGTCCCGGCTCCTTCCTCCGTAGAGCTCACCCAGCCAGCAAGGTTCTTGGCTGCCTCCCCAGATGATGAGGGGCGAGGCCTGCAGGCCCAGAGGAGCCCAAAGTAATCAGGGGAAGGGAGACTGCTGGAACAAGAAACCCAAGTCCTGAATGAGTCATCGATGGAGTCTGTCCTACAATAACAAGAAAGGGCTGGACTGGAAGGGAAAGAGAAACTCCAGAGATGAAGGACTTCTCCAGAGGCTCAGGGATGTGCTGGGGGGAGCTACACAGCCCTCTATGTCCCCTGACTTGGAGTATCCAGCCCCAAGTCCCCCCAGAGCCCTGGCTTTTGGCTTCCACCACCCTTGGAGCCCAACTCTTCTCCAGCACCCCATGTCAGCCCCCTTGCTGGTGGGTCTCCCTGTAGCCCCTGCCCCCTCCCACGGTCTCCTCCACCCAGGCACTGGAGGAACCTTTTGAAGGGAGTCAGCCGGCGGGGGGGTGGTCAAGAAAAACCTAATCTGATAATATTACTCCCTCCTGAATTCCTTCCCATGGGTTTTCATGGCTCTAAGGAGAAAATTCAAACTCTCTGGTCTACGGAGCCTTGCCCATGCCTCCCACCTCCTCTTGTGTCCCTGTCCCCATCACTCTCTGGCTTTTTTCTGCCTCCAACATGCTCTCCTGCCACAGGCCTTTTGCATGTGGTGTTCCCTCTGACTTTAATGCTTTTCTCTGACTTTTTCTTCTTCTGTTTTTTTGAGACGGAGTCTTGCTCTGTCACCAGGCTGGAGTGCTGCAGCGCAATCTCGGCTCACTGCAACCTCCGACTCCCTGGTTCAAGCGATTCTCCTGCCTCAGCTTCCCAAGTAGCCGGGATTACAGGCATGCGCCACCACACCCAGCTAATTTTTGTATTTTTAGTAGAGACGGGGTTTCATCATGTTGGCCAGGATGGTCTCGATCTCCTGACCTCGTGATTTGCCTGCCTCAGCCTCCCAAAGAGCTGGGATTACAGGTGTGACCCACCGAGCCCAGCCTTCCCTGACTTCTTATGTTTTCTCTTTGAATCCCAGCTTAAGCCCTCAGGGCCACCCTCCTGGACCTCCAGTGGGTTCCATTGATTTGTGCTCTTTTTTCCCCTTTAAGACCTTACCACCATTTGTATAAGGCACTCATTATTAAGATCTGACTCTCTTCTAGACTGTGAGCTACATGAAGGCAGGGACTGTCTGTCATGTTCACCCTGATATGGCCAGCATCCAGCACGCTGTCTCTGGCACAGAGTGGACACTCAATAAATGCATCTTATGACCTCCATCCCTAGTGAGACGTGACAAATGCGTGTGTTGTTGCCTCACAGCAGACGGGAAACAGGCAAAGCAGAGGTTATGGGTTCCATTTTACAGGTAGAAAACTGAGGTTCTGAGAATTCAGGCAAACCCCCAAGATGCCTCACGGAGTTAGTGGGTAGAGAGGGGCCTGAACTCAAGGTCTCCGCTTATACAGCACAGGCTGCTCCATCAAGAGGCCGATTTAAGGACAGATGAAGTATAACAGATTGTTGTCCTGGCTGGACAGTGTGACAACGTGAGTCACTCCTCCCTGGGTGAAGCTCCCTGGCATAAATCAGGACAGTTAAACAAGGTAAGTTTTCAGTCTTTTTTAGGAGCTCTAAGAGGTTTTATTTCCATAGGTTATTTCCATCTCATCCTTCCCACCGAGATTGTGGGCATCCTAGGAAAGGGTGAGACAGTGTTTGAGGTCCCTAACCTACCCACAGGTCACTCCCCAAAGCCCATCCTAGGACCTCATCAGGAAACATTTAAACATCAGATTTTCCCCTGTGAAAAGAGGAGGTCATTGAGAGAAGAAGCTGTCTTTTTTGTCTTTTTCCTTCTCCGTGTTTCTGAAGTGGATAATGATCACCAAAGGTTTTGTTGTTTACCTTGTGTTCCCATCCCCCTGTTTGTTTTGGAGAGCTTCTCCTCTCTCTATGCAGCCCTGGTAGAGCCATCATCATGTGCTCCCACCCAGGGGTGGGCATAGAATCTATTCCAGCCAATCAGAATATCTTCATTACCTTGGTCACAGTGATTGGTTCAAGAATTGACATGTGACCCAAGCAAAGCCAATCAGGGTCTTCCCTGAGATTACTATTTTGATGATGTCTTTATACTATTATTGCCAGCTTGAGACCTTATAGGCCTGGAGGCCAACTTCTCTAGTCATAGGGAAGAAGCTATTAGAATGATGACAGAGCTCCGGCACCACTTCTCCATTATAAGGCGCTTAAAGTCCCTTTTTACTTTGAGATTGAGTTGAGTTTCTGTCATTTGCAATCAAGAGTCCTTGGCCAGGCACGGTGGCTCATGCCTGTCATCCCAGCACTTTGAGAGACCAAGGTGAGTGGATCACCTGAGGTCAGGAGTTTGAGACCAGCCTGGCCAACATGGTGAAACCCCGTCTCTACTAAAAATACAAAAATTAGCTGGGCGTGGTCGTGGGCGCCTATAATCACAGCTACTTGGGAGGCTGAGGCAGGAGAATCACTTGAACCTGGGAGGTGGAGGTTGCAGTGAGCCGAGACTGCACCATTGCACTCTAGCCTGGGCAACAAGAGCAAAAATTCTGTCTCAAAAATAAAAAAAGAGTACTTGATAGGGAAGGCCAATTTCGTGCTGAGGGAGGTGCCCTTCAGCCTCCCTGTTCTGGGTCACTCTTTGCCCCTAGCACTCACAATAACCTCTGTGCCACCCCTATTCTCCCCATCAGAGAAGATGAGGACCACTCCTTTCCAGCCCAGTCTTCTGCAGCTCAGTGCTGAGGTCACCTGTGTCCTCTGAGAAACAGAGGCCAAAGACAGAGTTAAGAATGCCAAGAGATGCATGGGGGTAATGCCTGCAAAGGATAATGGGGAGAGGGAGCAGGAGAAAAAAGGGGAGCCTTTGGATGTTGACGCAGGTCTGACTAGGAAAGGAGAGGGGGAATGAAGAAGGATTGGGTAGCAAGAGCTTCAGACTGTGGCGCAGCTCTGAGAAGGTCTTGGCCAGCCCAACAGGGGACTCTGGCACAAAGATTATTCATAGAGAAATCCTATATTAGGCAGAAATAACGAAACCTCATTCACAGTGTGTTTAGCTGCAGGCTGCCCAGGAAGCAGGTGGCCTCAGCTCAAAAGCTGAAGCAGATCCTGAAGACATCTGCAGCTCACAGACTCTGTCTTGAAGGGAGATCTGAGTGGTCCACTCCAAGGCTGATACGCTCCTTTAGTGCCTACACATTATCATAAGGACCTATGGCAAAATGCAAACCCAAGCCTTCTGTCTCTGGAGGCTTCTGCCTCTGGAGCCCATTTCCTCATACATTGTGAACTTCAGATGGTGAATAAGCATCGTCTTCATGTCAACATGTATTGATTGGTAGCAGCTGCCTGCACTTTCTATTGAGGAGGACTCTGGGGCAGTTTCTAGGTTCAGCAGAAAGTTCCATGATGGATTAGTGACATCTGTCATGGGTATGGGAGGGATGAGTATATGCACACCTGCCAAGTATTTAGCATCCTCATACTAGGAGCAAATAAATATGTATTAAATGATTGAATGAATGCATTCTGAATCCCATGACATCCTGCTTAAATTAGGCAACTCCCTTCCTCCAAGTAAGCATGTCCCCTGGTGAGGTGTCCTGGCACTTAGGCCTGGAAATCTCAAAATCACAGGCAGAGCTTCCATTTGCTGAGAACCTGTTATATGCCAAGCACTGTGTTAAACCCTTTCAATGCATTATTTCACTGGATTCTTACAAGAGCCTCATGAGGAGAGATTATATAATCACCATTTTATGCTGAGGAAACTGTGGCCCCATGCAGAGAGCTGCACAGCGAACCAGTAACAGAGCCCATTTCCACAGCCCTTCCCCATTTTCTCACTCCACCATATATGTAAGACTAGTGATGGATTTGGTTATTTCTCAAAATTTAGTGTAGCAATTGGCACATGATTCAGTTATTCATTTGCCAGAGAGAGAGAGGAAGGAAGTGAATGCTTGAAGTCCTTGGAAGATCCACTGGAAAGTCCCAGAGAGATGAACCAAGTCCAGTCCAACAGTTAAGCCTGTGTATTTGGAGGGTGAATCCACAACTCCCGGCCCCTAACATAACACTATTTTATTCTATTTTTATTTTTCATTTTAATTTTTGTGGGTACATAGTAGGTGTATATATTTATGGGGCACTTCAGATGTTTTGACACAGGCATGCAATGTATAATAATCACATAATGGAGAATGGAGTATCCATCCCCTCAAGCATTTGTCTTTTGTGTTACAAACAATCCAATTATACCGTTAGTTATTTTGAAGTGCACAGTTACATTATTATTTGCTATAGTTATCCTGTTGTGCTACCAAATACTAGGTCTTATTCATTCTTACTATGTTTTTGTACCTATTAACCAACCCCCCCCACCCCCACCCCCCACCACTACCCTTCTGAGCCTCTGATAAACATCCTTCCACTCTCTGTCTCCATTCGTTGAATTGTTTTGATTTTTAGATCTCACAAATAAGTGTAGCATGTGATGTTTGTCTTTCTGTGTCTGGCTTATTTCCCTTTGCATACTGACCTCCAGTTCCATCTATGTTGTTGCAGATAACAACATCTCATTCTTTTTTATGGCTGAGCAGTATTCCATTGTGTGTAAGTACCACATTTTCTTTATCCACTCATCTGTTGATGGACACTTAGGCTGCTTCCAAACTTTGGCTATTGTGAAGAGTGTTGCAACAAACATGGGAGTGCAGATGATCTCTTCCATATACTGACTTCCTTTCTTTTGGGTATAGATCTAGTAGTGGGATTGCTGGGTCATATGGTAGATCTATATTTAGTTTTTTGAGGAACCTCCCAACTGTTCTCCATAGTGGTTGTACTAATTCACATTCCCACCAACAGCGTAAAAGGGTTCCTTTTTCTCCACATCCTCGCTGGCATTTGTTATTGCCTGTCTTTTGGATAAAAGCCATGCTCACTGGGGTGGGATGATACCTCATTGTAGTTTTGATTTGCATTTCTCTGATGATCAATGATGTTGAGCAATTTTCATATACCTGTTTGCCATTTGTATGCCATCTTCTTTTGAGAAACGTCTATTCAAATCTTTTTGCATGTTTTAAAATCAAATTATTAGATTTTGTTCTATATAGTTGTCTTAGCTTCTTATATATTCTGGTTGTTAATCCCTCATCAGATGGATAGTTTGCAAATATTTTCTCCCATTCTGTGGGTTGTCTTTTCACTTTGTTGATTGTTTGCTTTGCTGTGCAAGAGCTTTTTAACTTGATGTGATCTCATTTGTCCATTTTTGCTTTGGTTGCCTGTGCTTGTTGGGTATTACTCAAGAAATTTTGCCCAGACCGAAGTCCTGGAGAGTTCCCCCAATGTTTTATTGCTGTGGTTTCATAGTTTAAAGTCTTAGATTCAAGTCTTTAATTCATTTAAATTTGATTTTTGTATATGGCAAAAGATAGGGGTCTAGTTTCATTCTTCTGCATATGGATATCCAGTTTTCCCATCACCATTTATTGGACTATCTTTTCCCCTGTGTATGTTCTTGGCACCTTTGTCAAAAATGAGTTCACTGTAGGTGTGCAGATTTGTTTCTGGGTTCTCTATTCTGTTCCATTGTTCTATGTATTTGTTTTTATGTCAGTAACATGCTGTTTTGGTTACTATAGCTCTGTAGTATAATTTGAAGTCAGGTAATGTGATTACTCCAGTTTGGTTCTTTTTGTTTAGGATAGTTTTGACTATTCTGGGTCTTTTGTGGTTCCACATAAATTTTAGGATTGTTTTTTCTATTTCCGTGAAGAATGTCAATGATATTTTGATAGGGATTGCACTGAATCTGTATATTGCTTTGGGAGTATCTTTCCATTATTTGGTGTCCTCTTCAATTTCTTTCACTTTATATTTTATAGTTTTCATTATAGAGATCTTGTATTTCTTTGGTTAAATTAGTTCTTAGATATTTAATTTTATTTTTAGCTATTTTAAATGGGATTATTTTTAAATTTCTTTTTCAGATTGTTCACTGTTGGCATATAGAAATGCTACTGATTTTCATATGTTGATTTTGTATCCTGCAATCTTATTGAATTTGTTTATCAGTTCTAATAGTTTTGTGGTGGAGTCTTTAGGTTTTCCCAAATATAAGATTATATCATCGACAAACAAGGATAATTTGACTTCTTCCTTTCCAATTTGGATGCGCTGTATTTCTTTCTGTTGCCTGATTGCTCTAGCTAGGACTTCCAGTACTACGTTGAATAACAGTGGCGAAAGTGGGCATCCTTGTTGTGTTCCAGATCTTAGAGGAAAGGCTTTCAGTTTTTTCCCATTCCATATGATACTAGCTGTGGGTCTGTTATATATGGCTTTTATTATGTTGAGGTATGTTCCTTCTATACCTGGTTTTTTGAGGGTTTTTAATCGTGAGTGGAAGTTGACTTTTATCAAATGCATTTTCAATATCGATTGAAATGACCATATGGTTTTTGTCCTTCATTCTGTTGATGTGATGTATGTGATGTGATGTATCACAACAGAATGGATTGATTTGCATATGTTGAACTATCCTTGCATCCCAGAGATAAATCCCACCTAGTCATGATGAATGATCTTTTTAATGTATTGTTGAATTCAGTTTGCTAGTATTTTGTTAAGAAGTTTTGCATCCATATTCATCAGAGATATTGGCCTGTAGTTTTCTTTTTTAGATGTGTCTTTGTCTGGTTTTGGTATTGGAGTAATACTGGCCTCATAGAATGAGTTTGGAAGTATTCCCTCCTCCCTATTTTTTGGAATAACAGCACTATTTTATATGACGCATGTTAATTCTATGTACCAGACACAGTGCAAAGCACTTTACATTCATTAACTTATTTATTCTTCCCCATGACGAATCTTACCCATCTTTTACAAAAGACGATTCTGAAGCTCAGAAAAGTGAACCTCCCTGAGGTCACACACAGTATGACTACAAACCATAGAGGTGTGTGTGTGTATGTGTGTGTGCACATTGTTGGTTGCATATGGAACTGCTATACCACATCAGTAGAGAGGAGTTTTGGAAGAACATGCCTGTGAACAAGGATATAAAGTATGTTGAGAGGCCCAATGGATAGACCGTAATTGCACCTTTTTGTTGTTGTGGTGGTGGTGGTGGTTGTTGTTGTTTTGAGACAGAGTCTCACTCTGTCACCCAGGCTGGAGTGTAGTGGTGTGATCTCTGCTCACTGCAACCTCCACCTCCCAGGTTCAAGTGATTCTCCTGCCTCAACCTCCCAGTAGCCGGGATTACAGGTGTGCGCCACCATGCCTGGTTATTTTTTTGCATTTTTAGTAGAGACAAGGTTTTGCCATGTTGCCCCGGCTGGTCTCAAACTCCTGAGCTCAGGCAATCTGCCCACCTCGGCCTCCCAAAGTGCTGGGATTACAGGCATGAGCCACTGTGCCCAGGCTGTAATTGCACTTGTTTATGGACAATTTCATATTCATTTCTTCTCCTTCTTATGCAATTTAATTTCCTTTTGGGTGACCAACTATTCCTGATATGTGTAGGTGCAGTCTTAGTGAGGCCCTGGGCACATGACGCAATTAGAATTTCTCTATAAAGGTTTTATTTTGTTTGTTTGTTTTTTAGAGATGGGGTCTCACTCTGTCTCCCAGGTTGGAGTGCAATGGTGCAATCATAGCTCACTGCAGCCTTGAACTCCTGGGCTCAAGTGATCCTCCCACCTTGGCCTCCTAAGTAGCTGGGACTACAGGAGCATGCCACCATGCCTGGCTCTTTTAAGGTTCTGAGTCCATCAGTGAGGAACACAAGGGCAGAGAGAATGGTTAGGATTTATGCAGGTAGCATAGCAAAGTGGTTAATAACATAACTTACGGAATTGGATAGCTGTGTCCAATTCTGAAATCCACAGTTTACTAGCTATCTGACATTGGGCAGGCTACATACCCTCTCTGTGCCTTAGTTTTTCATTTGTAAAGTGAGGACAATAATAGAATCTACTTCATAACTGTTATATACTTAGAAAACTACCTGACACATATAAAGTTCTACTTTGGTGTGTTTGTTTGTCTTAATGTAATTCCATGTGTTCAAACGTTTCCAACTCTTTCCGATAACGAGACCCCCCAGAGCATCCTACTTACTCCAGTGCTTTCCAGAGGATAGGCCCCAGCCTTCGCATTGATTCTCTGACTGCCAATCCATTCTTTTCTGCTTAATTAACTCAGAATCCGCTTCTGTTGCCTGCAACCCCAGAACGCTGGCTGTCATGTCAATTCTGTCTCATGGCAACCTGGGACTCTAAAACCTTCAAGCTGTGACCCCACAACTCTCAGTGGAATTCTGTACTGAACATCAAGTCTGTTCTCTCCTAAATTCACATCTGGAGTCATGATACTAAAACCATCCAGACCATCTCCTGTAGAGAGAGTTTACTTGATTGCTGGGCTGTGGAAATATTGCAGGGGATTATTAGTCCCAAATTAGTGATAAGCAAGTGAAGGTCGGGGATGTGAAGGAACTTATCAAAAGTTGGGATAGGATGGCTCCTAATTCAGGTTTTCTCTGCTAAAAGACTGATTAACCTATGTGGGGTGGGAGATGGGCTGTGAATAAGGCTTGGGTCTGAACTCTAACCCTTACAACTACACTCGTCTTTTTCAGTTCTTCACTTACTCCCCAGCTCCTTTAAGCTTAATATTGCCTCAGAGCCTTTGCATATGCGGTTCTCTCTGCTTAGAACTTGGTTCCTCTGCGTCTCCCCATCTCCACTCTTCTAATTCCTCCCCTTTCAGATCTAGGCTTTCAGACCCAGGCTTCCTAGACCACCAGCTATAAGTTGATCCCTCTACTGTTCCCAATGTCAACATTTGTTTGTTTCCTTCTTAGCAGTTACCACAGTTATTATTTTTTTATTTTTCCTGTTTATCTGCTCCTTGCCTGTCTCCCCCACTAGACTGTACATTACTTGAGGGCCGGGACTCTCAAGTAATGTATAGTCTAGTGGGGGAGACAGGCTGACTCAGTGCACAGTGTTTGATAAATAAATGGACAAAACCCTGAGCCATCTAACCAGGAATAACTTTGGTCACTGTTTTAGTCTGGGCTGCTATAACAACATACCTTAGACTGAGGGGCTTATACACAACAGAAATTCTCTTCTCACAGTTCTGGAGGCTGGGAAGCCCTAGATCAAGGCACAAGCAAGTTGGGTGTTTGGTAAGAGCCTTCTTTCTGGACCTTATGTTTCTGGGCCTTTCTGGTTCATAGACAGCCCCTTCTCGCTGTGTCCTTCCATGGTGGAAGGGGCAAGGCAGCTAGCTCTCTGGGGCCTCTTGGGCACTAAGCTGGGCATGGTGGCTCACGCCTGTAATCCCAGCACTTTAGGAGGGTGAGGTGGGCAGATCACCTGAGGTCAGGAGTTCGAGACCAGCCTGGCCAACATGGCGAAATGCAGTCTCTACTAAAAATACAAAAATTGGCCAGGTGTGGTGGCGGGTGCCTAAAATCCCAGCTGCTCGGGAGGCTGAGGCAGGAAAATTGCTTGAACCTGGGAGGTAGAGGTTGCAGTGAGCTGAGATCATGCCACTGCACTCCAGCTTGGGTGGGCAACAGAGTGAGACTCCATCTCAAATATATATGTGTGTGCGTGTGTGTGTATATATATGTATATATGTGTGTATATATATGTGTGTGTATATATATGTGTGTGTATATATGCCTATACATATTAGTGCCTATATATGTATATATATAGGTGTATATATGTATATATATAGGTGTATATATGTATATATATAGGTATATATATGTAGGTGTATATATATATATAGAGAGAGGCACTAATCCCATTCGTGAGGGCTCTGTCCTCTCATGACCCAATCACTTTCCAAAGGCCCCACCTCCTAATGCCATCATACTGAGGATTAGGTCTGGACATACGAATTTGGGAGGGGACACACACATATAGACCCTAGCGGTCATCTAGTTTCTTAGTCTCACTCCAAAGCTGAGGCTCAGTAGGAAATACCGACTTGGCCAAGGTCATTATCTGAGAGTCAAGAACAGAACTCGCACACAGCCATCATCACCTCAAAGCCTTGAATTAGGCCGTCATGATGGGGCATAATGTGGGAGAATTCAAGGGCGCTGGGACAGATGCTTACTCCTCATCACCAAATCTAAGCAGCAGGCACTATCATCATCATCATCATCATCATCATCATCATCATCATCCTCCTCCCACCCCATTTTACAGATGAAGAAATCGAAGCTTAAGAGAGTCTGTGACTCCCTGGGAAGTGTAGGAGGAGGAGACTCGAACTTGGGCCTGCCAGCGAGGTCCGCGGGCGCTTAACCCGGCTGCTGCGGCTCGAGGCCTCGCTCTGCGGGTCTGTACAATGGGGCTGTCCGGGCCGGGTGCGCCGTGGGAAGAGCGAGGAGCGGGGAGGAAAACTTGGCGGGGCGGACTCGGGTTCCTCGGGTTCCAGCTGGCTGCTGAGGGGGTGGACGGAGGGAAGGGGGGGCGGTGGGGGCGGGGCGCGCGGGCTGGGCACAAAGGGCTCAGGCACAAAGGGGCCGCTGTCCCGCCGCGCCCCGCCCCGCCCCGCCTCTGCTGCCGCCCCCCGTCTGGTGGCCCGACCCGCGCCGCCCGCGGCTCCCTTATGTCTCTCGCCGTCTCCAGCCTCAGTCCCTCTCTGTCTCTCTCTCAGTCTCTCTCCCTGTCCTCCCCGGCCGCTCCTCCGAGATGACGCCGGGGTCGGTGCCCCGGGCCTGCCCTATCCCCTGGCTCCAGGGCTAGGCGGGACCGAGGGCTGCCCCAGACAGACGGACCCGCGGACCCACAGACCCCGCGCCCAGGAGAGGAGCCGCGCCGCCCGCCGCTGGCAGCCCGTCACCATGGTAACGCGCCAAGGCCTGGACCACCTCGCTCTGCCCCCTTTCAGTGGGCACAGCCCTCCCCATTCCCTGCAGAACAGCCCCGGGTGGCCCTGGCCTTTTACACTGAGACGACCCTCAGTGCCTTGGCAGGGTTGTGCTTACCTGCTTCCACCCCAGCAGGGGTTCAAGGGCAGGAGCCCATCTCTGGCCGCGTCCTCTCCTGGCTTCTCCATGTGTGTGTATGGATGGAGTAAGATTGTACTTGTAAACTTTAATATTCCCCAACCCCTAGACCTGAGCCTGAATCTCAGCCCTGAGGCTGAGGGCTGAAACGGGGTGGTTTTGCATGTTTGTTTTGGAACTGACTGTGATATGCACATTGTCCCGGCAGGGAGTTTGGATGGGGAAGAGTGGTGGTGGGGGTTAAAGTCCCCTCCCAGGCCAGCCAGGCAGTGCAGGGCGAGGAGGGTTAAGGGTCCAGGGTGAAAAGGAGAGAACTGCTTACCAAAACTTGGGATGCTTTTGCTGTTTTAGACTCAGCTATGGAAAGTCAGATATACACATTGAAACCCAGGGTGCTTCCATGGGAATTGGCTGGGGAGAGGGAAGAGGAAGGGACTTTTGGAGCTGGAACCTTGAAAAAAGTTGAGACATTCTGGGAGAATGTGTGTGTGTGTGTGTGTGTGTGTGTGTGTGTGGTGGTGGTGGTGGCAGGGATGCGTTTGTGCCAGTATCTGGCAACAGGGAATGAAAGAAAAGTCTGTTTTTGGAGGATTTCAGCCCAGCTCCAGACAGATACAAGAGCCCCAGGCAGATTCACAGGGGCTGTAAGGATTTTGAAAAAAGCTGTGAAGACAGGCCAAGGCTTTAACCCTGTGACTGTGACCAACCATGTTGAATTTGTGTGGGTTTTCACTCACAGCAAATGCATCTCCACAAGCAGAAGAATTCCATATAGAGGTGTTCATACTCTCTCTCTCTCTCTCTCACACACACACACACACACACGCAGGCACTCACACACACGTACACATGCACACACACGTACACATGCACACACACATACACATGCACGCACAGAGCACACCTGAATGCTCCCACTGACTCACACAGCTGAACACATGTTCACACCCTCTCATACACCCATGCCTTCTGCACCTGCTCCCCCATACTGCTAAACTATGGGCATACATTGGCATACACACCACAGACATATTGCAAAACCGGGCACCTACATCCATGCACTGCGGGGACAGGTGTACACACACATGGCTCTTGGAGCTGTTTGAAAATACTCTCATAAGCCAGTGGTTATTCACCTCTCCCTACAGGCAAGGCCCTGTGCTAGGTGATTTACATCCAGGAGTCAGTAACTCATACCAACTCTAAGATTAGACCTGCGGCTATCTCCAACAGATGGGGACCTCAGGCTCTGGGAACTTAAGTAGCTGCCCAAGGTCACCCCACCCAGAAAGTGCAAGTTAGGACAGTCTGAATTCTGAGCCTGCACTCGGCGGTCATGGTCACTCCAGGGCCACAGCGTGCACCTGGTGTTTGCCAAGCCTCTCCTGCTTTCACACCTAACCTAGTCATTAGAAACCCCTCATTGAACCCCAGATCCTCAGATCAAGGGTCAGGCACTGGTCTGCCCCCTGTCAAAGGGTGAGCAACTCTTTCCAGATTGGGAACAATGTGCAGATTTCCTTCCCTTGCCTGTTTTTTAAAGAATAAAGGTTGTTGCCAGCCTACCTCCCTGGCCTCACTTCTGTGCTCCAGCCACTCCAGCCTTGCTTGCGAGCCTCTTATGGTTCACGCTCCCTGCTGCCCCAGGGCCTTTGCACATGCTGTTCCTGCTTGGAGGAATACCTTCACCTAATGAATTCTTATTTACCCGGTAAATCTTCACCCAAATGTCACCTCTTCAGGAAAGCCTTCCCTGATTTCCCTGACTCTTACTCTAGCATGTCATGTATCTTTCCTTTATGATAACCCATCATAGCTGTAATTTTTGTGGGGCATTTGATTAACAGCTGTCTAGTGTTTGGGGGCACCCCCATGTCAGAGAATCTTATGGCAAAGGGGCTTAGGGTTGATCCTGTCCCATGGTTCCCAAATGTTAGTATCACTGAAACAACTTTTACACATCCACTTACTGGATAAAATATATAAGAAAATGATAAAATCTACTACTTATTATTTGCTCAATATTTTTCTTTAAATCAACTTACTTTGTACACTGAAAAATATATTTAAATAGAAAATTTTATATCACAACCATGAAAAAATCAGTATCCATTGTCATAAATAGAAAGTAACTAAGCCGGGCGCAGTGGCTCACGCCTGTAATCTCAGCACTTTGGGAGGCCGAGGCTGGCGGATCACCAGAGGTCAGGAGTTCAAGACCTGCCTGGCCAACATGGTGAAACCCCGTCTCTACTGAAAACAGAAAAAACTAGCCGGGCATGGTGGCAGGTGCCTGTAATCCCAGCTACTCGGGAGGCTGAGGCAGGAGAATCACTTGAACCCCGGAGGCGGAGGTTGCAGTGAGCCGAGATCGCACCATTGCACTCCAGCCTGGAGGACAAGAGCGAGACTTTGTCTCAAAAAAAAAAAAAAAAGTAACTATAAAAATATGTACTCAATGAAGGCAAATCTGTGTTAGTAAATTCTGGCTGGATGAGGTTGGTGGTGAACAATTTCAAGCCCGAGGACTGTTTTCTTTTGTTAAACAGAGTGATGAGTAAGTGCCTGAGAGGTCTTCGAGATAGACTGGCTCCAGACTGAGGTATTGTCCTTGGTGTCATCGTGAGGAATGGAAGAGAACTGGAGTAACTTTCTCGCTGTGATTTCACATCAATCTATGTTCTCCCAAAATTGTTTTGTGGGCCACCTGTGAGAAAAACTGGTCACGTTCAGGTTTTTTTTTTTTTTTTTTTTTTAGATGGAGTCTCGCTCTATTGCCCAGGCTGTAGTGCAGTGGGACTGTCTTGGCTCACTGCAATCTCTGCCTCCCAGGTTTAAGCAATTCTCATGCCTCAGCCTCCTGCGTAGCTGGGACTATAGGTGTGTGACACTAGGCCCAGCTAATTTTTGCATTTTTAGTAGAGATGGGGTTTTACCATGTTGGCCAGTCTGGTCTCAAACTCCTGACCTCAAGTGATCCTCCCACCTCAACCTCCCAAAGTGCTCGGTTTACAGGCATGAGCCACCACCCTAGCCAAGTTCAGTTTAATCCATTCAACATTGCCCACATACCTGCTGCATGGCAGTACCCCACCCCAGTTCCCTACTGTGTGCCAGGCCCTCTATAAGGACGTGGTTCCTGCTTTGGGGGCTGGCAGTCCATGGAGAAGGCAGGTTCATCCACAGATAATTCTAGGCTGTGTCTGATGGGTGGTGGGGGTCCATCCTTCTGCCTGGAAGCACATGTGTCCTGAAAAGCAAAGAGAAGAGAAGCAAGTCTGGAAGGGCTCTGAAGGGTGGGCAGGAGGTTGCTCAGTCCAGGGAGTGGGGCAGTGGAAGCAGAGACACAGATGTGTGTCCAGGCAGCACTTTCCAAGATGTGGCATCCACCAAAGGTTCCAGGAGGGGAGATTTTAGATGGCACTTAGATGAACAATTTTTAGTTTACAGCTTTTCATCTTAATGAGTATTAGGAAGGAATTTAAACAGCACAAACACATAATAATAAATATAAATAATTTTTTGTTTTGAGACAGGGTCTCGCTCCATCACCTGGGCTGGATGGAGTACAGTGGTATGATCATAGCTCACTGCAGCCTCTATCTCCCAGGCTCAAGCAATCCTCCCACCTCAGCCTCCCAAGCAGCTAGGACTACAGGTGCGTGCTACCATGCTCAGCTAACTTTTTATTTTTTGTAGAGATAGGGCCTCCCTCTGTTGCCTAGGCTGGTCTTGAACTCCTGGGCTCAAGCGATTCTCCTGCCTTGGCCTCCCAAAAGTGCTGGGATTATAGGCATGAGTCGCCACACCCAGCCAAAAAATAGATTTAAGTTGAAAAAGAATTGACAAAAAGTCAAACGTTAAGTAAATAATAATTAATAAAAAAGAGTAAGCCAATAACAAATTAGAATATGTGAACATGGCAGAAAGAACCTCATGAAAGGGGCCCATGATGATTGGAAAGCCTTGGGCTACAGCATAAAGTATGTTTAGAAGAAGTAGGGAAGGTAAGCTGGGAGCTGACTGACGGGCCACAGCACCAGACCAGTGAGTTGCTAAGGCAATAGGGAGCCACCCGAGGTTGTTGAGCAGTGGAGGGTCACAGTTGGATCTCTGTGTTAGGAAGCCCACTATGATGACTAAGAGGAGCCTGGCGTGGTAGCAGGGAGCCCGGGGAAAGAGACAGGACAGCTGGTGGTTATGTGCCCAGGGTCATACCCCAGTGCTACCATTTAGTAGCAGTAGAGCCTTGAGCTCAGTTTCTTAACTTGTAAAATGGGAATAAAAATACCCAGCCCATAGAATTATTGAGATAAAATAGTTAATGAAAAATGCTTAGCAGGGGCCTAACACACAAGACAGTAGGAAGCAGCTCTGGTTACAATTGTGATCATGATGTGGTTTGGGTGGGAGATGGTGAGCCCAAGGCAGAGGAAAAGGGGAGAGGGAGAGAAAGGAACAAATACAAAACTAAGGCTCAGTGAGGGGCAGGGGGTCGAGGTCATGCAGATGATACAGACAGAGCTGGACTATAACGTGGGTCTTCTGACAGCCACTTGCTTCTCGGCTCACTGCATCAGGGCTGTTTTCCCAGTTTCTGAAAGTTTTTTTATACGAGCCAATACTCACTCATACCTCCACCCACACAAAAATAAAAAGGACTTAAAGCAGAAGTTTTAGTTGGAAGTGAGCAAGAACTTCCTGGCAGCCAGAGCCACAGAATGCTGGTTCTAGAATCTCCAGCCTGGAGAAGTTCAGGACGAGTGTCCCAGGTCATTGAGACTGGAAATTACAACCTGACACCCGCTGGGCCGTATCTGGCTCACAGATGTGTTTGGCTTGGCCAACTTTTTCAAAATTGGGAGGTTTTACTGAAAAATCAGTAGATCAGGTGGTGCTGGGCCAAAGCAACACTCAGCTGATGCTGATGAGAGGGGGTGTGTGCCCCAAGCCCCTCTATTCCCCATTGCTTCCCTGGTGCTGAGGCTGACTATCTCCAAAGGGTGGAAGTGAGTGCTTTCTCACACTCAGCCAGTGTCTGTCTTCATGTTACCTGTCAGGCCCCTGGAAGCACTTATTTATACCTGTGGCTGTTGGTTTAGACTGACTCTCCCTAGGCCTGAGGCAGGAAGATGGAAGAGACAGATTTTTTTTTTTTTTGAGACAGATCTCACTCTGTCACCCAGGCTGGGGTGCAGTGGCCCAATCTCTGCTCACTGCAGCTTCTGCCTCCCAGTTTCAAGCAATTCTCCTGCCTCGGCCTTCTGAGTAGCTGTGATTTTCAGCACCCGCCACCACACCCGGCTAGTTTTTGTATTTTTAGTAGAGACAGGGTTGCACTATGTTGGCCAGGCTGGTCTCGAACTCCTGACATCAGGTGATCTGCCTGCCTCAGCCTCCCAAAGTACTGGGATTACAGGCATGAGCCACCGTGCCCAGCCAAGACAGATCTTTTTAAACCTTCTCACCAACTGAGGATTAACTGATCCCATTCAGAAACCACATCCCAGCTCCAAACCTTCCTGAAATAGATTATACTTTTTTTTTTTTTTGGAGTTGGGGACTCGCTCTGCCCAGGCTGGAGTACAGTGGTGTGATCATAGTTTACTGCAGTCTCCACCTCCTGGGCTTAAGCGATCCTTCTGTCTCAGTGCCTAAAGTAACTGGGACTACCATGAGCTACCATGCCTGGCTAAGTTTTCCTATTTTTTATAGAGACAGGCTGTCACTATGTTGGCCAGGCTAGTCTCGAACTTCTGGCCCCAAGAGATCCTCCTGTCTCAGCCTCCCAAAGTGCTGGGATTATAGGCATGAGCCACTGCACCCGGCCCCTGATTATACTTTGAATTCTAGAATGCCCCTACTGGAAGGGCCCTTGGAGATAGATATGCTTAGTGCCTCCCTTTTATAGGTGGGGAAACTGAGGCCAGGATCACCCAGAGAGTCAGGGGCATAATCTCACCCTCCCTAGGCATTTTTTTTTTCCCCAAGGAACAGGGCAGAGCTTGAAGGTAGCCCTAGGACTCTGTCCATTTTGGCTTTTCTCAGTCCTCTCTTCCCAAGTAAGGAGGCGGCAGATGCTAAGTGATACTAAAATCTTTGCCCGTTGCAGTAAATGGATAAATCTGGACCTTTAAGAAAAGCTCAGTCCAGCTGGGTGCAGTGGCTCATGACTGTAATCCCAGCACTTTGGGAGGCCAAGGTGGGTGGATCACCTGAGGTCAGGAGTTTTAGACCAGCCTGGCCAACATGATGAAACCCTGTCTCTACTAAAAATACAAAAAATTAGCTGGGCGTGTTGGCAGGTGCCCGTAATCCCAGCTACCTGGGAGGCTGAGGCAGGAGAATCGCTTGAACCCAGGAGGCAGAGGTTGCAGTGAGTCGAGATGGCACCATTGCACTCCAGCCTGGGCAACAAGAGCAAAACTCTTTCTTGAAAAGAAAAGAAAAGAAAAGCTTAATCCACATCTCAGAAAGTCCAGCTAACAACATCTGGTGAGACCATTTACAAAGGGAACCAGCCTTAAAAACACATACTCTCACACTTTTATTTTTTCCCCTCCTAATTATAAAAGCTATACAAGCTGGTTACGGAATGTTTGGAAAATCCGGGAAACTATGAAGAAAATTAAAAGGCTGCCTTACGAGGCCCCTGCCCCGCACAGCCCTCAGGGGTAACTGCAGTTAACACTTTACTTAATGTCCACTTGGAGTTTTTTCTAGGCTTACATGGTTTTATTCATACTATAGATCATACGGTATGACACTGTTTTCTTTAAAAAAAATTCCAATAGTCAGGGGTGGGAGAGTTGGCTGGCAAGGGGCCTCTTTCTGGAGTGGTGGAGGTCTTTTGTCTCTTGATCTGGGTAAGTGGTTACAGGGTTCATACATAGGTAAAAAGGCATCATCCTATGCCTTTTATATTTGTTTATTTTACTTGATAAAAATGGTATTTAAGATTATAATAATAGCAGCTCATTGCAAAGACATTGAAATGGAAGTATACGCACGCCCCTACTCCCCTGCCCAGGTTATAACCGCTGTGAGCAAGTAGTCCCTCCTAACCTGCAAGCTTCCCTGGGTCAGTCCAGAAGGTCGTGAGCATGGTATAGGAGCCAGCAGTGCGGGCCTGGTTCTGCCTGTCCCCTTGATGAGCTCCTTCTCTGACCTTGGGCTGCAGGGGAGGGGGCTGTGGCTCGTCTCACCTTCTTCCTTTTCAGCCTCACACCCGCTGGCTCCTGCCTGGGAACAGCCTGGCTCCTGCCGGGCTGCGGGCTGTGTTCACTGGGAAGGAATGGAAACACATCTATTAAGTTTCATGGAAATCATGCTGAGGGGCCCACGTCTGGTGTTTGGGTTCCTGTGGTCCCAGGCTGGGCTGCCGGGTGGATTGGGAATGAGAGTGGCTAGCGTTCCTTCCTGCAGCCGCCTGGGCACCCCCACACCCACCACAGTGTGCTTCCTCCAATACTTGGATGGCTTATGAGCCCCTGGGGTTCAGGCCTGTAGTGGGTAATGTGCTGGCCAAGAGCTCGGAGCTCTGTTAACTCGGAACATACTTCCTTTTTACTGGCTGCCCCTTAAATGGTAACAGTGTGTGGCAAACCAAGCCAATTTGTGAAAGCTAAGGGTGTCCCGGTCTCTGAGCCTTGCTCTGTGAGAGGTAAACAGTTTCTTCAGGCTCTACTAGAAACTGGGAAGGACAGGCAGCTGGGATCGTCAGTCCCCACAGCTGGTGGTCCCCAGGCAGAGGGGGCGGCAGGAAACAGGGGAAGATCTGGGCAGACTTGGCAGGCCCCAATCTGGATTGGATCCTGGCTCTGTCTTTCTCTTCTGTGCGGTCTTGGGCAAGATCAGCCTCGGTTTCTTGACTTGCAAAACGGGTCATTCCTACTTGGCTCCTGGCATCGTTGTGTGGGCTAAGCAAGAGAATGCAAGTAGGGGACCTGGGCACAGTAGCCGCCTGGAGACTGTTGTTATCATTGGGGTGACAGTAGTGGACACAGGGAGGGACCAGGAGATGGGGGATGCTTCACACAGAGGCTGGGACTTAAGCTTGGGCTGACAGGATGAGTGAAAATAAGTAAGAATGAATAGCAATAACAGCAGCGGCCATGCCTTTGACTTTCCCCAAGACCCTGTACATCCATTAATTAGCTCCTTGTGTGTCTAGAACAATCATCTGAGTGAGGTAGGATAGGAATCAGAATCCCATCTATGTGCAGAAGGGGAAACTGAGGCACATCAGGGAAAGATAGTTTAACTCACTGTTTCCCTGAGGTTAGGATGCAGACCACAGTGATGACATAGACAACTGGCAAGGGGCCTCTCTCTGGAGTATGGAGCTCTTTTGTCTCTTGATCTGGGTAAGTGGTTACAGGGGCTCATACATAGGTTAAAAAGGCATCAACCTGTGCCCTTTAAATTTGTTTATTTTACTTGACGAAAATGATACTTAAGATTATAATGGGGCCAGGCACAGTGTCTCATGCCTGTAATCTCAGCACTTCAGGAGGCCGAGGAGGGCGGATCACCTGAGGTCAGGAGTTCAAGACCAGCTTGGCCAACATGGTGAAACTGCATCTCTACTAAAACTACAAAAATTAGCTGGGCGCGGTGGTGGGTGCCTATAATCCCAGCTACATGGGAGGCTGAAGCAGAAGAATCACTTGAGCCCGGGAGGCGGAGGTTGCAGTGAGCCAAGATTGCATCACTGTACTCCAGCCTGGGTGACAAAGTGAGACTCTGTCTCAAAAAAAAAAAAAAAAGACTATAATAGCAGTGGCTCATTGCAAAGACATTGAAATAGAAGTATACACATCCCCCCACCCCCACTCCATTGCCCAGGTATAACCACTGTGAGCAGGTAGTTTTCTATGTCCCTCTGCACTACAAGGTTCCCTGGGTCAGTCCAGAAGGTCATGAGCATAGTATAGGGGCCAGGAATGCGGGCCTGGTTAGACACAAGGTATGTCACAGACTGGAACTAAATGACATGGAACCATGTGATGGACAATCAGTCCCTTTCAAATTCCCTGAGCTTCTCCAGACCTAAGGAGAAAGACTTCCTCTGGGGATAAGATGTCTTTAACATCTCTCTGATGCATTTGGGAGAAAGAGAGGGAGAAGACCCCCTTAGGCTCCAAGAGGTGACCAGATGTCCCTAGAATTTAATGGTACTATTCGTTTTCATTGTTTATTTTTATTTTTTAAAGTAGTTTATTTTCACAGAAATACAAACAGTAAACAAAAAATATACTTTATATAAGTAATATATTTAAATATATTTTAATAAATGAAATAATACAAAAACCATCCAATGCATCATCAGTTTATTTTTGGAGTTACATTCGATTTATGCCAGTTTACAGTTATTTCTCCATTTATAGTGATGATGTAATAACAGTTATAATATTGCCACAGATCCACCCAAACATGGTGATTCCTACCTTCTTCTTCTTGCCCTTGCCCCCACATGTGCCTGGTAACATGGCCGCCCCCACATATCCCCACCTGTGTAGAACATCATGGCGCCCTGCATTTGCATATTAAAAAGCTAGGGTAGTAGGGCCAGTTTTTTCGTGGGCTACATGAGTGACATGCCTGGTCAAACCAATCCCTTGAGCCCTATGCAAATCAGACACCATCTCCTCCAACCTCCTCGTAGAAGCAGCCACTTTTCTGCAGCACACGGGGTTTTCTCTTTGTTAGAATCCTCCTCCCTCTGTCTCCATACAGGGGAACTGTTTTCTTCTTCCTTCTTTCTTTCTTGCCTATTAAACTTTCTGCTCCTTAAAACCACACACACACACACACACACACAGACACACACACACACACACACACACCATAATAATAATAATAATAATAATATGACCACAGAAATTGTAGTGATGGCTCTTACTTAATGAGCACCTACTAAATTCTAGTCCTGTGCAGAGAATTCGCATGTATTACCTCAATACACCCAATCTTGATCAACTCCTTAAGGTGGGTGTAATTACAGTCTCCATTTTACAGATGAGGAAACTGAGGCACAACGAGTTAAATCTGACTTGCCAGGTACACACAACCAGTAAGTGACAGAACCAGAGTTTGAACCCGGGCAGTCTGGCTGCACTTGCATAACCACTGTGATGATACAGAGTCTCATTGAAAAACACAATTATGTAAGTTTTGAAAAAGTGAGTGGATTTGAAGAAAAATAGTAAGTGCTAATAGTATGCATGGTATGAGGAGATGCTAAACATCATAAAAGTCATCATGAATGATTAAATTTCCAAAACCAAAACAAATCAAGCTTAGCCCAGCTCAATATGCTTTCTTTACACAAGGAAAGAGGCCCAGAGAGGGAAAGGACCTACTCAAGGCTGCACAGAGAGGCTGGAGCCAACGTCTCAACAGAGAGGCCAGAGCCCAAGTCTCAGGAGAGAGGAGGGAGGGAGTGGGGAGGGCACCTGGCAGGGGAAGGGACTGCTCCCAGGATTGCATGGGGTGGGAAATGTCAGAGTTTGACCATGATTGGTGGGGGTTGGGGGGGGATTAGAAGAGGACACCGGGCCAGATGAGACCTTCCCTGTTCTGCCAAGTTGAAGGCCCCTCCCTCCACCTCAGTGTAAAACCTCCTGGGTACATGTGATTTCAGCACCAGATGCCTGTCGGTCCATCATCCTCTCTGAGCTCACTGCCACGGCAGTGCCCGGACCCTGTTTCCATCACAATGGGCTGTGGACACTCATTCATTCACTCATTCATTCTACAAATAGTGATGGCGGTCCCCTGCGCCCAGCACTGTGTGGGCTACGGGTGGGAGGGAGCCTCAGTCCTCTGTAAAAGCCTCCTGGCATTGGAATCTTGCTGGCATTGAGAAATGCCACCCTCCTCCTCCTCAGAGTTCCTATTGTATTTCTCTTTCTTCAGGGGCCTCATTTACTAAAATGATTTTTCCCTCCTTAAGTAAGCTCCCTTTGAGTGGGGTCCTTATTTATTCTCATCTCCCTTTGCCCCCCTGGGCAACAGGTGGACCTGGAGCTTGCAACCAGGCTGGGGCAACCAGAAGGGCCCCCGTGAGGCTCATGACCTATGGGTCCTAAGACCATACCTGGGTGGAAACCTCTGGCCTAGTCCAACTTGTCTATTTGACAGAAAAATGGTGGTTCTGACCAGGCGTGGTGGTTCATGCCTCTAATCCCAGCATTTTGGGAAGGCGAGACGGGTGGCTAGCTTGAGCTCAGGAGTTCAAGACCAGCCTGGGCAACATGGTGAAACCCCATCTCTACCAAAAATACAAAAATTAGCTAGGCATGGTGGTGGGTGCCTGTGGTCCACAGCTACTCGGGAGGCTGAGGTGGAAGGATTGCTGGAGCCCAGGAAGTCAAGACTGCAGTGAGCCGAGATAGCACCACTGCACTCCAGTCTGGGCAACAGAGCAAGATCTTGTCTTTAAAAACAAACAAACAAACAAACAAACAAAAAGGCCAAGCACGGTGGCTCATCCCTGTAATTCCAGCTACTCGGGCTGAGGCAGGAGAATCGCTTCAACCCAGAAGGCGGAGGCTGCAGCAAGCAGAGATCGGAACACTGCACTCCAGCCTGGGCAACAGAGCAAGACTCTGTCTCAAAAATAATAATAATAATAATAATAATAATAATAAAGAGAAGACAAGAAAAGGAAAAGAAAAATTGTGATTCAGAGAGGGACATTTTGTTTCTTCTGCCATAAAATTTATGAAGCACCTGTTTGTGCCTGGTCCTGTGCAGACACCGAGGCCCCAAAGAGGAAAAGAAGCCAGTGCTTACTGTACCTGCCTCCTGTTGCCACCGTAGCAAATGATCATGCACTTTAGTTTCAAGCTACACAAGTATAGTACCTTGCAGGTAATAAAAGATCAGAGGCCTGACATGCATTTCACTGGGCCAAAAACAAAGTCTTGGCAGGGCTATTTCTCTTCTGGAGGCTCTAGGGGAGAATCCATTTGCTTGCCTTCTCCAGCTTCTAGGAGACGCCCGCATTCCTTGGCTCCCGCTCTATGTTCCAAGCCAGCAACATCACATCTCTCTGATCCTGCTTCCGTTGTCATATTTCCGCTATTTATTTATTATTTTATTTTATTTATTATTGCTCTGTCGCCTAGGCTGGAGTGCAGTGGCGCCATCTTGGCTCACTGAAACCTCCATCTCCCAGGTTCAAGCAATTCTCATGCCTTGGCCTCCCGAGTAGCTGGGATTACAGGCATGCATCACCACACCGGGCTACTTTTTTGTATTTTTAGTAAAGATGGGGTTTTGCTATGTTGGCCAGGCTGGCCTTGAACTCCTGACCTCAAGGGATCCACCCACCTCAGCCTCCCAAAGTGCTGGGATACAGGCATGAGCCACCACACCCAGCCTATTTACGATTTTTAATGTAATAAGAGATGGGATCTCACTATGTTGCCCAGGCTGGTCTCAAATTCCTAGCCTCAGGCGATCCTCCCACCTCAGCTTCCCAGAGTGCTGGGATTACAGGTGTGAGCCACCACCCCTGGCCCATAGTCACATTTCCTCTTACCCTTCCCTCTTCTGCATCCTCTTCCACCTGGTGATTACACTGGGCCCATTTGTCTAATCCAGGATGGTCTCCTTGTTTTAAAGTCAGCTGATTAGCAAACTTAATTCCATTGGTAGCCTTAACTCCCCTTTGTCTTGTAACAGCACGTTCACAGGTTCCAGAGATTAGGATGAGGGCGTCATTGGAGGTCATTCTACCCATTACACCTGCCTTTAGATGGGAACCGCTGTAATAGGGGTACTATAGGATCCCAGAAAAGGGGACACCTGATCTCCCTGGGGTAGTTGGGGGCACCCAAGAAAATCTCCTGGAGGAGTTGACAGCTGACCTGAGTCTTGAATGAGGAGTTGGCCAGGTGAGGAGGGGTGGAAGTGAAGGGCATTCCAGCAGGAAGCCACTGCATGTGCGGTGGCCTCGAGGTGAGCAAGGGAAGGCATGTGCCACTGTGGCCGAAGCATGGAGAGGGGTGGCGAGGCTGGAGGGGAGGCGGGGGCGGAGGGCAGCTGCCAGATCTCAGGGGAGCTGGATGCCTGGAGGCTGATGCTTCCTGAAGACGGTGGGAACCTTTGAGGAGTTTGGAGCAGAGACTGATGAGGTCTGGTTTGCATTTGAGAAAGGTCGCTCTGGGGTCCTGGTGGAAAATGGCTGGGGTGAGGCAGACGAGAATTTGGCAGCCAAAGAGAGGAGTCAGGTGATCCTGGGTCCTGGGCCCAGTTTTCCCTCTTCTGGACTCTGACTGCCAGGGGGACGGGCTGACTGCCTTCTGGATCCCTTCCTGGAAGAGGCGGTGAAGCCTGGATCAGGGCGGGGGCAGGGGACAGCGCGGAGCACCTGGCTGGAGAGCTGTTGGTGGAGGGGAAGTGGTGTGGGACACACTGAGGGCTGATTGTGGGTTGGGAGGCAGGAGGAGAAGCAGTGCTGTGAGCAGATTTCTGGCCTAGGAGCCTGACTGGGCGGTGGGGTCATCACCGAGGTAGGACTGGGGGAGGAGCAGGTTTGGGAAGTTGCCAGGTTGGGTCTGATATGTTGGCGGTTGGTGGCTGAGAGGCATCTAGGAGGTCCATGGGAGGCAGCTGGCTGTACAGTCTGCAGCCGTGGACTTGTATCAGTTATTGCTGTGTGAAAAATGACCCCAAAGCTCAGTGGCAAAACAGCAATCACTTATTCTCACTCTCCCATCTGCATGTGGAGTGGGGCTGTCTGGTCTGGGCTGGGCTTCCCTCGTGGCTCAGCTTCAGGCTGCAGGCCTGCAGGCCAGCCAGGCGGTCAGACTGGGGCAATGCCAAAATCCTCTTTCCCTTTGACCCTGACCTGAATGCCCACCCCCCACCCCTATTCCTCCACGTCTCCGTGGATCAGCAGATGACATTTGAGCAAAGACCTGCAAGAGGTGTGGGAATGAGGCTGTCTTGAGGAAGAGCATTCTAGGCAGAGGGAACAGCCAGTGCAAAGGCCCCGAGGTGAGATTGTGCCTAGTGTGTTTGAGGGACAGGAAAGAAGGCCAGTGTGGCTGGCAGTGATGAGTGAGGGGGGTGGGGTAGGAGAGGAGGTCAGAGAATTAGCAGGGGCCTTAGGCATATGGGGCCTGGAAGGTCACGGGAAGTGGTCTCTGCCCTTATTATCATTGCTATTATCACCCCCTCCTCCTGTCCCCCACAGGACCCTCCATCCCTCGACACAGCCATCCAGCATGCCCTGGCGGGCCTCTATCCTCCTTTCGAGGCCACAGCACCCACCGTCCTGGGTCAGGTGTTCCGTCTCCTGGACTCTGGCTTCCAGGGGGATGGGCTGAGCTTCCTTCTGGATTTCCTGATCCCTGCCAAGCGCCTGTGTGAGCAAGTGCGAGAAGCAGCCTGTGTAAGTCAAGAGGGAAACAGGGACAGGGAACAAGCTGTTCCAGAAAGTCATGGGGCTAGAGGCGGGCAGAGAAGGAGGTGGGCTGGCCTGTGTCTTGTTTCACGGGGAGCTGAGGGTGTGGGGGGACTTTCCAAGTATCATTGCTTGCCCAGGGGGAGACATCAGCCCCCCAGATCGAAGGGGATTTACCTTGTGACATCTATGAGTTCATTACATTGTACTGTCACCAGCAGAGAAGAAGGCCTGAGTAAAGGCATCCTTGGGGGCTCCCTGGTCTTGGGGAGCCTGCCCTGCGCCTGACATTGTGGGCACTGCCAAGTGCCTTTGGTGAAGTGAGGCAGCTTCAGTGGAAATAGCAGAGAAGGTCCTAGAGCTTCCCTGGAGCCCCTGAGGCATCAGGACTCTTGCTTTCTTCCCCTGTGACCTCTTCAAACTCAGATCTCAGGGAGGCCTCTGCCAAGGCAAAGTGGAGAGAAAAGTGTTTTAGCCAGACTCATTGGCTGCAAATGACAGAATCCTCACTCAAACCAGGGAAGGGTGGATCAGGCCTCAGGCCCAAGTTGATCCACTGATCAAATCCCTTGAAGATCCTTTCTGTCCCTAGTCTCTGCTTTGCGCTGCTTGTTGGCATTATTCTTCCAGGCTAAGTGTTCCCACAAGGCTGGAACCCAGGGAAGCTCAAGGATTTATATTCTATCCTAGAGAGGAAAATAAACTCTTTCCCATCCACTGCACATAGAAAAATCTCAAGGAAGGATCCTGATTGGCCAGGCTTGGGTCATATGCCCATTCCTGGACCAATCACTGTGGCCAGAGGAGTGGGGTACCAGGATTGGCCAAGCTTGAGTCACGTGTCTACCTCTATGGTCAGAGGGTGGAGCTGTTTTAAGAAAAGGATGAGAAGGCCGGCAGTGGTGGCTCATGCCTGTAATCCCAGTACTTTGGGAGGCCAAGGCAGGTGGATCATGACGTCAGGGGTTTGAGACCAGCCTGGCCAACATGGTGAAACCCCGTCTCTACTAAAAATACAAAAATTAGCCGGGCGTGGTGGCACATGCCTGTAGTCCCAGCTACTCAGGAGGCTGAGGCAAGAGAATCGCTTGGAGGCAGGAGAATCGCTTGAACCCAGGAGGCAGAGGTTGCAGTGAGCCAAGATCACGCCATTGCACTCCAGCCTGGGTGGCACAGTGAGACCCTGTCTCAAAAACAAAAAACAAAAAACAAAAAACAGAAAAGGATGAGAGAAGCCTGAGGAGACCAAGCCGTCAAATGCCCACCACAGGAACTTGCCATTCCCTTCATGGGTTTCCCTACTGTTCCCTGCTCTGTTGTTATTAACATCCACCCTCCTGCTACCTCAGCCTCAAGAATCACAAAGAGGTTCTAAGGTCCCATCAGCCTGTCCTGAGTTGCCCACTGCCTGTCAGGGACACAGCTCATCAGAAGCAACAAGGAAGGGTGGGGACTGTGTGCGTCATTCCAGTGGTAGAAATAAATTGAACGTGGCAGCTAAAAGTCCAGGGTTAGGAACCAGAAGGAAAGTGAGATAATCTATTTTACATGCTTAGCACAGAGCCTGGCTCATAGATCATAGCTCAATACATGGGAACTAGTATTGGAGAAGAAGGGAGCTTCTCATGGAAGCATTTGCAGCCACTTCCACATGACACTATTTCATGCAGATGCTCCCCCATCCTTATTTCTTCTCCCTGACAAGCTACACAATTGCCCACTTCCCTTATTTGGCCATTTAAACTTCATTTGCACTGGCCGCTTCCTCAAGGTAACAACATTTCCGCGTCTTTATTTTTCCTTGTAGGTGAGTTTAATCTAATTGTAATGATAGGCAAATATCTGTCAATCTCAGAGCAATGGGAAGTCATGTGTGATTAACAGGATGGCTTCTGGGTTCAGATGCCCCAGGTTCAAATCCAAGCTCATCACTGTGAACTTTGGAGATCCATGCCACCTCTCTGAGTTTCAGTTTCCTTATGTGTCAAGCAGAAACGTTAATAACACAGCACCTAACACATGGAGATGACAACACATGGAGATGACAACACATGGCTTAGCAAAGACTCTGGCATGCAGCAAGTGCCCAGTAGCTATTGGCTATCGCTATCCCACTTCCTTGTTTCTCCATCTGAAATAAGAGCATGGCAGCCTCAAAGTCTGCCTCTCCAGCCACCATCACCCAGAAGCAGCCACCTTCACATGAAGTCTGGTGGGGCTTGGGGACAGATACAGCTGACTTGAAATGTGAAGGCCTAGGTCCAAGTCCCTGATGCTTATCAGCTGTGTGGCTATGAGCCAAATGTTTCACCACACTGAGCCTCAGTTGCATCATCTGTAAAATGAAAATAATAATGCCTGGACTGCCTACATCAAACTGAGTTACTGTGAAAGTCAAGTGAGATGAGCAAAGCCATCATCACTCTGGTGCTTTGCTGTTTGCAAAAAATGGCTGGGCTGTTTTTTCTCATTCAATGAGAAGGTGAGAGAGAAAGCATGTTGCAAACCCAAGAGGGCTAAGTGAAAAGGGTCGAGAAAACCTACAGACTCATGAAGGTTTATGGATATTAAGCTTCTCTGAGGCAGCCCAATCTACAATATGACTGATATAAATGGGTTTATCAACATAAGGTATAACTATGGTCAGATCTCACTATTTCCGCAATCAATAATTCCAGGAAACACCTGTTTAATTAGCAGGAAATTCAGTCTCACTCTCTGTACATCTCCCCTACACACATCCAAATTATATAAGATTGTCTGGGACTTACTCAATCCACAGAACTCAGACTCTTTTTCCAAAAGCCAGTTAAAGACCTGTTGTCAGCCCAGTGGAGCTGTTGTTTCCGTTGTTGCCACATGGTGTCACTGTTGAACACTGGTCCCGCACAGCCCAGTGGACAGGCTCAACTGAGAGGGATCACTTGGGTCACAGCCTGTTCCAGAATGACCCTCTGTACCCACCTATACAGGGAATTTCTGGCAACTCCTGTTAAAAAAAAATTTCTTTTTAAAGTTTTGCTTCACCTTCGTGTTATTATCCATTAATGGGAAATAAATAAAAAATAAACAAATAAGCCTTCATTTATTTAATGAGAAATAAATAAACAAACAAATAAAAAATAAACATTCAGGCCCAGAATAACCTTTGGGTCAGGAAAAACTGGACAGCCATCTAGTAAGTTAGTGGCAGGGTCAGATTTCCTGACTTCTCATTCAATACTGTTTCTACTTCACCCTCATACACTATCCAAATTCAATAAGATGTTCAACACTTTATTATAAAATAGGCATTGTGTTAGATGATTTTGGCCAACTGTAGGCTGATGTAAGTGCTCTGTGCACTTTTAAGATAGGCTAGTCTAAATAAGCTATGATGTTCTGTAGATTAGGTACATTAAATGCATTTTTGACTTATGATAGTTTCAATTTATGATGGATTTACCAGGATATAACCCCACCATAAATTGAGGCCATCTGTATAATCTCACTTAATCCTCATACCAACCCAGTAATACTGACATGTATTATTATCCTATTTGCAGATAGGGAAATTGGGGCTCAAAGAAGTTAAGCAATTTGCACAAATTAGCAACATAGACGTTTGTCTAAACCACGTCTCCCTGGCTTTAAAATGGAGGGCTAAGACTTGAATTGGGTTGGGAAATGTTCTGGATAGATGCAGAGAGGAAGGGAGCATGAGCCAAGCAAGGGGACCACTTGGGAAAGCCGATTGCTAACTAGTGCATGGTGCTCTGAGCTTTCTCACTTGGGTCAGTAGGCTAGGATTTCCAAGGTCAGGGCCAGGACGAGGGTGGGGCAGGAGAGTCAACCTTTGCACAACCTTGACAGTGAGTGCCTCCTAAATGCTGCCTCATCCTAGTCCCTGACCTGTTCCAGATTCCACGTGGGAGAGGGAAAGGAGCAAATCCAAGGGTGGAGCCTTTCAGGGCCAGGTTCTCTGATGCCATCCCCTTCTCTCCACAGGCTCCCTACTCACACTGCCTCTTCTTACACGAGGGCTGGCCACTCTGTCTGAGGGATGAAGTTGTGGTCCACTTGGCACCCCTCAACCCTCTCTTATTGCGCCAGGGTGACTTCTACCTCCAAGTGGAGCCCCAGGAGGAGCAGTCTGTCTGCATCATGATCAAATGCCTCTCCCTGGACCTCTGCACAGTGGACAAGAAGCCTGTTCCAGAGCCAGCCTACCCTATACTTTTCACCCAAGAATGGCTGGAGGCCATCAACAGTGACTTTGAGGGAAATCCCCTACACAACTGCTTGGTAGCATCAGAAAATGGGATTGCCCCTGTGCCTTGGACCAAGATAACCAGCCCAGAGTTTGTGGATGACAGACCCCAAGTAGTGAATGCCCTCTGCCAAGCCTGGGGGCCCCTTCCATTAGAGGCACTGGATTTGAGCAGCCCTCAAGAGTTGCACCAGGCCAGCTCCCCAGACAACCAGGTGCTTCCTGCCCAGAGTTTGGCCAAGGGTAAGGGCAGGACATATGGGAGCAAGTATCCAGGACTCATCAAGGTGGAGCAAGCCCGGTGTGGGGAGGTGGCTTTCAGGATGGACGAGGTGGTCAGCCAGGACTTCGAGGGAGACTATGTGGCTCTCCTAGGCTTTTCCCAAGAGAGCAGAGGAGAGTCTCCCAGTAGGGAGGCAGGCACATCCAGTGGGTGTACTTCTGGGGCACTAGAGGAGATAGCTGGAACTAAGGAAACTCCCTTATTTCAAAAGATACTGCCTCTCTCAGAGGCCAATGAAGGACCTTCCTTGGGAAATCGGGCTTGCACAAAGCCAGAAAGCTCTGAGGAGAGGCCCTATAATTTGGGCTTCAGGAGAAAGGTCAATCTTAAAGCACCCACCCACAACTCAGAAAGGCCGCCCCAAGGCTCCTACATGAATGTCCTTGAGGACGCACTGGACTGTGCCTCTGGTCTCAGGGCAGGTGTCTCACAAGAGCCAGCTGCCTCCAAGATGCAGGGACCTCTAGGAAACCCAGAGAATATGGTGCAGCTCAGGCCTGGACCAAGACAAGCCTCCTCTCCCCGCCTGTCCCCAGCTTCTCCTGCAGCTGCAGCCTCTGAAACAAAGATAGAGGTGAAGACCAAAGAGAGAAATGGGAGACTTCCCAAGCCCATGCCCTGCCCTAGCAGAAACACCTCCTCCCCTGAGCCCCCCACTCCTGGGCTCAAATTCTCATTCTTGAGAGGGCAGAGGCAACCCTCTGTGACCCCGGAGAAAGCCTCACTCCAGCACAATGGGCCCTGGAAAGTCCTGTGTTCCCTCTACTCTCCTAAACCCAACCGAGCCAAATCTTTGGGGAAAGGTAAGATGCCCACATGCTCAGCTGTACAAGGAGGTTATTGTCTGGTTGAGATCACATTTTAGGTGGTTTTGGTTGTAAGTGATAGAGACCACCTGGGCTGGCTCAGCTTCAGGGGTTTAGTATACAGTGTGGCATGTTAAGGGGCTTGAAGTCTCATGTGTCTGGAATTGAGCAAGGCACTGTGACTGTGTTACAACTGCCTGAGTTCACACTCCACCTTTGCCATACACTGGCTGTGTGACGTTGGCCAAGTACTGAGTTTCTCTGAGTCCACGTTCTCCCTATCTGTGCAATGGGAATGTCACCTATTTCACAGTGTTATTTTGAGGGTTCAAAGCGACACCAGAAGCTAGGTGTAGAGGCTTATCCTGTAATCCCAGTGCTTTGGTGGCTGAAGCGGGAGAATTTGGGTGGCTTGAGGCCAGGAATTTACAAGAAAGAAAGAAAAGAAGGAAAAAAGGAAGGAAGGAAGACGGAAGGAAGGAAGGAAGGAAGGAAAGAAGGAAGGAATAAATAAAAAAGCTGGGCTTCGTGGTGCATGCCTTTAGCCCCAGCTACTCGGGAGGCTGAGGTGGGAGGATCTTTCAAGCCCAGGAGTTCAAAGCTGCAGTGAGCTATGTTCATGCCACTGCATTCCAGCCTGGGCAACAGAGTGAGACTCTGTCACTAAAGAAAAAAAAGTGAGGTGTGGGGAGGGGTAACACTAGAAGTAAGGGGCTTAGCGCAATGCCTGGCACATGGGAGAGATCAATAGTTGTAAGCTATTATTAGTCAGAAAGAGAAAGAGGAGACGTTTTCCCCTTAGAAAGCCCATCTTCTGCTTAACGTCCTTTTCTTTGTTGTTGCTTTTTCCCAGCTGGAACAACTCAGACCAAAACATCTGGCCCAGCCACTGCCCCCAGCCCACTGACTGAGGAAAAGGCTGCCTTGCCAGAAGCTTCTGCAGGCTCCCCAGAAAGAGGCCCCACCCTGGAGGAGGAGCCCCCAGGGCCTGAGCCCAGGATTGGGGCTCTAGGTGTCAAGGTTTTCCGCTCCAGGATAGCATGCCTGCCAGGTTCCAGGGGATTCAAGCAGGAGGTGGTAGGGAGGGAGCTGGGGGCCCCAGAGCATCTTCAGCTGCTGTTGGGTGGAGGGGAGGCAGGGAATGCCCTGGAGGCCTAGGTTCTAGACCAAGCCTCCTTGGGCCTCAGTTTCCTCATCTTTCCCATGGGAGAATTGGAATAGATGAAAGCAATTTGTTGGTATCCATCCACCCATCTATCTGTCTGTCCATCTGTCTACTTGTCCATCCATCAGTGAAGCAGCCAAGGTGGATACTGGGTTCCCCAGAAGCAGAGCCTGAGACATAGATTTTTGGGAAAGTGACCTATTGGAGGAGGGCTCTGAGGAGAAGGACAGAGGGTCAAGGCAGGGGAAGGAGCCAAGCAAGGCTGTGGGCTGACCCCAAGGAGAGCACTGGGGCATGACCCGCCCCACAGAGCTGGCTCCAGCTGAAGGTGTAGGGGACTGGCCTTTTATAAGCCTTGTCTGTCAGTCATTAACTGTGGGCTGATCCCCAGTCTGTCCGTCATTAATGAACTGCAGGAACTTCGGGCTGATCCTGGAATGGGGTGGGGCAGGGGGAGCCAGTGATCCAGTTCAGCCCAGAGTGCTTCTTCAGAGAGGGGGCATCTGTGAGCCACTGACAACTGATACTTTCAGACTCTGGGGATGGGTTCTCTGCCTGCTGAGGGGATCTGGGTTTGGGGTACTAGCAGCATCCAATACAGAAGGTCTTATCACTCGTATTTAATATTTCCCCATTGTTGTAACAGACATTTACTGGTTCCTGGGCTTAGCACTGGCGATTCATAAGAGAACAAGTCTGATGTGTTCTCTGCTATCAGGAAACCTATATTCTAGTGGTGGGGAAAAGCCAACAGGTTATCACAACAGATTATTGAAACCCAGTGTAAACAAAGTGTGACAGTTGGGAAGGACAGGGGGCTGTGGGAGCACAGATGAGTCCCCTGGTTCAGGCTTAGGGTAGTAGAGGTCAAGGATGACTTCCCGGAGGAAGTAACGTAAAGCCCAGTCCTATGGTATGAGTAGGAATTATCCAGGTGAAGAGTTGGGAACGGCGTTCCAGACAAAGGGAACAGCATGTGCAAAGGTCCAGAGACAAGAGAACCACAGTGCTTTCTGGAGACTGATTGTCCTGAAATACTATTTTACTTCACAGACTTCCATATCTCTTCAGGACCTTGAGCACTGCCCTGTCTTTTTGCAGCTCCCAGGAGACCTTATCTGTCATTTTCCTGGTCATCTTTGCTGAAGCTCCTGCTGTTTGTTCCATATTAATTGTACACAAAGGATCTCATGATCCTCTTAGGGCCATCATGGGCCAAGGGCTCAGATTTTGTCCATGGAAGGCTCTGCTATGGGAGGAAGGTGACCTTTGTTTTAGTTCTAACTCTATCATTAGCTCCCTGTGTGTCCTTGGAGAAGTCACTGCCCTCTCTGGGCCTCCTTGAGAGGAGGAGAATAGACAGATAGGACCTGGCTCACTGTCACTCTTCCCTCAGTTACTTTTGTTGTAATTCTTGGGGGTTGCAACATGCACTGTTAGCTCGCACATGCCTGATGTGTAGCATGTGTGCAAAAAGCATTTGCTGTGTGAATGAGCAACGTCCACATGCGTGCTCCTTCTGTCCGTTTTTTGTCCTGCTCTTCTCTAGTGATCTTGTCCTCATTCCCCACATGACTCCCCCCATCGCATCCCCCGTAACCAACTTCTCCCCGCCGGGTTTTCATGTTAAGGCTCCCTCTCCTTTATTACCACTGCTTCTCTTTCCAGGTCACCCACTGCCCCAAGTTTCATCATCTTCAGGCCTCCCAAAACCTTGAACCTATTGGTTCAACCACCTTTTCACTCCCCTTTTCCAGCATGTCTCCCCACCCTCCACCACATCCCTTCCCCATCATCATATCTTCCTCACTCTCCACCACATCCCTTCCCCATCATTATGTCTCCCCCACCTTCTGTCACATCCTCACATCCCTTCTTCCTAGCTTAGATTCCAGGCTCACATTGTAATCACTTCCTTTCAAACACTCACTCGCTTGCTTTCCTCTTCCACCTTCACACTTACCCAGATAAATCCCAACCTCCGTGAGATCCAACTCTCCACCTGCACCCTCAAGCTGAACGAAGCTGGAAAAATCCACACAATTGTGCAGGCTAATTGTGTTGAATTCCTGACCACTGACCTCTGGGGGTCCCAATGGTGCTAGTGGATCCTACTTCACCTCCAGAGTCCTGAATGACTCCCCCACAGTCCTGTGTGATGACTTCACACCTTCTCTCTCCTTTGACCTTCAACACCACCTTCCCCAACTTAAATCTCAGCTGATGACCTTCCTTCTGGTCTGAGTGAGTAAGCAGAAGCAATTGGAAGGAAGTCTATGAATTGCTTCTGCTTACTCAGTCAGACCAGAAGGAAGGTCATTCACCTACCTGCTGGCATCTGTACCCACAGGCTCAGCATTCTAGTATGGATGAATTGTCCATGTGCCTGAGGCTGACCCTGAACCCGTGCTCTGTTCCTCTTTACCTCCTCAAAGACATCCCTCCAGCAAGATTCTCTTCTCCTTCCTACAGGATCATCTTTCCTCTTTGGCTCTGGGCCATTCCCATCAGGATGAGAACACGCTGCAATATTGCCCAGCTTGAAATGAGCTATTCTAGGCCCCCGTGTTCCCACCCTCACCCTTTTACATTAAAACTCCACAAAGCAGTTGTCTGTGTTCCCTGTTTCCACACCTTCTCTCTTCCACTCACTCTAATCAGAATCCCTTCCCCACTGTGCCACTGAGACACGTCTTGTCAAGGTCGTCATTGCGTTCCATGTTTCTAGATCCAGGGGTCGATTCTCAGTCCTCATCACCCTAGGCCCTTCCGCAGCATTTGGCATGGATGGCCACTTCCTCCTGTTGAAAGGCTTTCTTCACTTGCCATTAGATCTTCAGTCACCCAGTCCTCCTCTCACCTCACTGGCCACAATTTTGCAGCCTCCTTTCCTGTCTCCTCATCTCCACAACCTGTAAATCCTGGAGGGCCCCCAAAGCCCAGTCCTTGGTCCCTTTCTCCTCTCCATCCACACTCACTTCCTAGGCGATCTCATCCTGGAGGTGGAATATTTTCTGTAAATGCTCTCTCCAGGCTGACAACCCCGACACTGATTTTTCCAGCCTGGGCCCTGGCCATGAACTCCAGACTTATCCATCCAGCTGTTTACTACTTGATGTCTCTGCGTGGAGGTCTCACAGACATCTCTAACTTAGCATGCCCAAATATGGACTCCTGACTTCACATCCCCTCACCCCACACTTCCCAACCTTCCAGTCTTTCCTCATGGCAGTAAAAGATGACCACATCATCCTTGATTGCTCTTTCTCTTACATCCCACATTCAATTTGTTAACTGTCAACTCTCCCATTAAATTGTATTCAGAATCTGTTGACTTCACCCCACCCAAGTCCAAACCAGCGTGGTCTCTTGCCTGCTGCAGTGGTCTCCTCGCTGGTGTCTCTGCGTCCACACCGGCCTCTGTTGGAGTTTCCTTATAGGGCAAACAGTCCCCAGAGCCTGTGCTTCAAGATCTAGATCTGCTCCAAGCCAGCCCTGTGAAGCAGGTCTCCCCGTAAAGTTTTCATAAAGATCTGTTCTCAGGAAAGAAACTGATCAACATGCAGGTGTGAATGTCTGCTCCCATGCTGGGGATGGGGTTTTGTTTAATAGGCACTGTGTTTCCCATTGTGGCCATAACAAGTTATTACAAATTAGTGACGTAAAACAACACAAATGTATTATCTGATCGCTCTGTATGTTAGAAGCTCAACATGGATCTCGCTAGGCTACATCCAGCTGTCTGCAGAGCTGCATTCTTTCCTGGAGGCTCTAAGGGAGACTCCATTTCCTTGCCTTTTCCAGCTTCTAGAGACCACTACTTTCCTTGGCTTGTGGCCCCTTCCTCCATCCTCAAAGCCAGCAATGTTGCATCTCCCTCACCCCCCATCCATCTTGGCACCTTGCTCCTACCAAAGCCAGGAAAAGTTCTCTGCTTTTAAGGATTCCTATGATTAGAGTGGATGATCCAGGATAATCTCCCCACCTCAAGGTCCTGCCCTTCATCACATCTGCAGTGTCCCTTTTGCCATGTAAGGTAACATATTCAAGGTTCTGGGGATTAGGGCATGGACATCTTTGGGGCCACAGGCACGAAGCCTTAGGAGAGGGCTTCCCTGTCTTTCCACTGGAAAATCCCTAATGCAGAAGAGAATGAACAGAGCCCCTGAGATTGAGACCTCACCCTGAGCTCTCAGTTGCTCCATATAGATCTTTGAAATCCTTTTTGCCTTTAAAATTTCTATACATTTTAAATATCCATAAATAGAATACATTCACACTCGTTTTGATATGAAAAAATGCTTTTAATTGCTTGCAAATTCAATTACTTACCATTCCTCCCTCCCCAAACTTGGAGTGACTCTTCATGCTGCTGGCAGATGCAACACATTTTTCAGCAACTTTGGGCAACCCCGACTTACCCACCACCCTCATTTTGCCATCCTCATTTTCACCTGAGGCTCACAATATCTGTGAACAGCACAGCTTCAAGCCACGGTTCTGAGATGCTAATGATGGTATTTCTGGCGCCAGCTGGTAGGTGAGGATAACATTTGGGGCAAAAGGGTCTCCTTGGCCCAGCTGAAGACAAATCAGGTGGACAACTGCCCCTTGCTGTAATCAACTCAGCTGGCACTGGGTGTGTGCAGGGCCCTGTTCCAGGCAGTGTGGGGAACCAGACATGTGAACTAATCGTATGACTACTGTGTCCCAGTGTGGAATGTCCTGAGTGTGTGAACCCTTTGCTGCTCAAAGTGTGGTCTGGGGACTACCTACATCAGCGTGACCTTGGAGCTAGGGGGAGAGGCAGAATCTCAGGCCTGCTGAACTGGCATCTGCATTCTAACAAGATCCCCAGGCCCATCAAAGTTTGAGAGGTGTTGCTCTAACCCTCCATTCCTTCATGAATCAATCACAGACATTGATTATCCAGCCTTGTGCTGAGCACAGGGATGCAACAATGAGTTTGACCCAGTGCACACCCGTAAGGGCTCTCAGTCTTGCAGGATCTCACAGAGGCCTACATTTGCTTTGGGAACCTGGGACTGGGGAAGAGCTTCTAAAGAGGGAAGGCAGTAAGGAGGTCTTCCAGGAAGAGGTGGCATCTTGGCTAGTCTTTGAGCGATGAGGGGGATTTCACCAGATAGAGATAGGACAGAAGGGCATACCTGGCAGAAGGAATAGGGTGAACAAAGCTGGGTGGTATCATCTGTCATTGGTGGCAAGGGGAGACTTAGTATATTAGTGTCCCAGGACTGCCATAACGTGGGTGGCTTAAGCAACAGAGATTCATTTTCTCATAGGTCTGGAGGCTGGAAGTCCAAGATCAAGGTGTTGGCAGGGTTGTTTCCTTCTGTGGCCTCTCTCCTTGGCTTGCAAATGCCCATCTTCTCCCTGTATCTTCATGGGGTCTTCCCTCTGTGTCCAAATTTCTTCTTGTAAGGACACTGGCCATATTCTATTAGGGCCCACAGTAACCTCATTTTAACTGAATTACCTCTTTAAACACCCTATCTCCAAATACAGTCACATGCTGATGTACTGGGAGTTAAGACTTCCACATATAAATTTGGAGGGGCAGGGGACACAGCTTCGCCCCTAACACCTAGTGTATGAAATGAGGATGGAAGAGTGTGCAGAGCCTGAGACACTTCAATGCCAGGTCCAGAAGCTTGCAGTTTCTCTTCAAGGCCACAAGGAGCCATAGAAGGTTATAGAGCAGGGGAGTGCAGCACCATCAGAGCTGCAATTGAGCTCCAGGCCTCAGGTGTGTAGCAGACAAAGGCACCCCTAATTCAAGGGGTGAATCAGGCATGGTCTCTACCCTTGCAGAGAGTTTGGGTACCTGAGCCCATGGGGGACTGGGAAGCTGCTTCCCCACCCCAGTTTCCTCATCAGCAAAATGGACCCAGGTATGTGATGTAGCATTTCCTGACCCAAGGGACCCAACAAACAGCTGCGATAGGATTTTGGAGGGACCTGTACCCGCACCTCCACCTTCACAAGTTGTGCATTTATTTCATGGTTTAATGACTTCACCTTCTTTTGGACTTTTATATTATGAAAAATTTCAAACCTATAGAAAAGTAGACAGAATAGTATCATGAATACCCACATACCTATCACCCAGATTTAATAAATCTTAACATTTTGTCATGCTTCATCTATTTGTTTCTGAAGTATTTATAAAAATATTACAAATCTTCATATTCTATCACCTAAATACTTCAGTGTGTTCCCTAATAATCACAATACCATTTAGTACACTTAACAGATAAAAAAAAATTTCTTTTGAGACAAGGTCTCACTCTGTCACCCAGGCTGGAGTGCAGTGAAACAATTATGGTTCTTGCAGCCTCAACCTCCCCGGCTCAAGCGATTCTCCCACCTCAGCCTCCTGAGCAGCTGGGACTGCAGGCACACACCACCACTCCTGGCTAATTATTTTTTTAATTTTTAGTAAAGACAAGGTCTTGCTATGTTGCCCAGGCTGGTCTCGAACTCCCGAGCTCAAGCCATTCTCTTACCTTGGTCTCCCAAAATGCTGGGATTACAGGCATGAGCCACTGCACCCGGCCCCCTAACAAAATGAAAAAGAATGTCCTCATACTAATCAATTTCCAGTTTCTGTTCAAGTCTCCCCTCTTATCCCCAACAAAATGTCTTTACTTTCGAAATTTGTAAGTGAATAGTAGGAAAAAGATCAAATCCATAATATCAAGAGGATAACATTGATATATATGTATACACATTTATATACACACAAATTTTTTTTTTTTTTTTTCTGAGACAGAGTCTCACTCTGTCGCCCAGGCTGGAGTGCAGTGGCGAGATCTCGGCTCACTGCAAGCTCCACCTCCCAGGTTCACGCCATTCTCATGCCTCAGCCTCCCAAGTAGCTGGGACTACAGGCGCCCGCCACCATGCCTGGCTAATTTTTTTGTATTTTTTAGTAGAGACGGGGTTTCACCATGTTAGCCAGGATGGTGTCGATCTCCTGACCTCGTGATCCACCCGCCTCAGCCTCCCAAAGTGCTGGGATTACAGGCGTGAGCCACCGTGCCCAGCCACAAATTTTTTTTTTATTTTAAAAATTATATCAGATTTTAAGACATATGTGAAAGAATGTTCCAGGTGGTTGGACCCCTGTGAGGCGGCACTTGTGAAGGTGGTTAGGTTTGTCCAAGGCTTCGTGAGCTGTGAAGGGTTTTGCACGCTGCAGAGGGTGGTGCCCACGTGGAGTGGCTGGTGGTCATTGCAGGGCATCCTGGAGTGAGGTGACTGAAGTGCAGGGCTCTGAGTCCAGGCTGCGAGACAGGTGTGGTTTCCCAAGGCCCGAGCCTCTTTCCCTGCTGCTGTATTTGCCCTCCCCTTTCCTCCCCATGAGGATGGGCTGTACTGGCTCCCGGAGCCTCAGCCTCATGACTCCTGTGGGGAGAGTGAGGCACACCGCCCAGATTCCTGGAACAGGAAATAGCCTGTCGGAAACCCAGGGTTGAAAGTCTGCAAGAAGAAATAGTGCTGGTGGCCACAGGGCTGCACGCTCACCACCCCTTGGACTGGAGACGAGAACAGAGACAGTGATCATTGTAACGACCAACGATTGAGCAACTCAATCATTCACTGAGCTCTTGCTGTGTATTAAGTGCTTCTCAGGAGCTGTCTGATTTCATCCTTGAAATAACCTAATAAGCTCAGCATATTATTCTCCCTGTTTAACAGATGAGGAAACTGAAGCTCAGAGGTGCACTGACTTGCCCACAGACACACAGTGAGTCACTGCAGAGCAGAGACTTGACCCCTTTCTGTGTGACCCCAGAGCTCATGCCATGAGCTTTGCCTGCCCACGTATCTTATACAGAGGGAGTGCTCTGCACAGAGGAGATTCAGGGAAGACTTTTCTCACGAAGTGGTGTTTGAGCTGGGTCTTGAAGGATAAGTAGAAGTCAGAGTTCACAGAAGGAGAAGGAGAGAAAGGGTGTTCCAGGCAAAGGAACCGTTACGGCCAAAGGTCTGCAGGCCACAGGAGAGGTCCCTAGAGGGCCCCCCACAAGTTCTCACTGCTCACGTGTGCCCTCTGTCCTCCAGGTGGCCGGGACAGGGCCGGGCGGCCCCTGCTTCTGGTGTCAACTACAGAGGGGGCCTGGGAGGCACCATGGTGCACAGTTTCAGAGGTCACCAAGCTACTGTCCTACCTGTGTACCATCCCCAGGTAAGGATCTGGGCCACCCTGACTGCTCCATCCCCACCTCAACCCTCTGGGCCCAGAGCCCTGGACCAGACACTGAGTGGAGAGGCACCATATCCTTCCATCCAGTCGTCTGTTCACAGAGCCAGTCCCCAGACAGATGCCGGGGGAAAGCAAAACAGCCTCAGTCCCTGCCATCGGGGGGTTGTCAGGCTGGTGGGAGAGATGGACAGAGTGCAAGAAACAAACCATGGCCAAGAAACTTTCAGGAGTGTCAGTGTGATGAAGAAAACAGTGATGTTTGTAGATCAGTGGTTTTCATTTTTTTTTTTTTTTTGAAATGGAGTTTCACTCTTGTTGCCCAGACTGGAGTGCAACAATGCAATCTCAGCTCACTGCAATCTCCGCCTCCCGGGTTCAAGCGATTCTCCTGCCTCAGCCTCCCGAGTAGCTGGGATTACAGGCATGCACCACCACACCTGGCTAATTTTGTATTTTTAGTAGAGACCGCATTTTTCCATGTTGGTCAGGCTGGTCTTGAGCTCCCAACCTCAGGTGATCCACCCACCTCGGCCTCCCAAAGTGCTGAGATTACAGGCGTGAGCCACCGTGCCTGGCCGGTTTTCAAATTTGAAGGTGCATTCGAATCACCTGGTGGGCTGTTAAAACAGATTGCAGGGGCCCATCCCCCAGATTTTCTGATTCAGTTGATGAAGGTGGGTGGGACCTGAAAATCTGCATTTGTAACAAATTTCCCGGTGATAACAGGTGCTGGGCCTGGGACTACACTTTAAGAACCACTGTTGTAGAGTAAGAAGAATAGGGGATGTTAATTTCAATTGGGAAATCAGGGAAGGCTTCCCTGAGGAGGTGATAATTGAGCTGTCATCTGAATTATAAATATTTGAATAAACAAAGGAAAGGGGTGAATGAGTAAATGAATGAATGAGAGAGTGAAAGAATGAGTGGGTGAGTCAGTGAGTGAGTGAGTGAATGAATGATGAGTGGACTCAGGCTGATTTCTAATGCTCCTCCTAACACTCCTACCCCTGCCACCATTCAGACTTAATGGACTGGCTGGGGAAGAGGCGCCCTCTTTTCCTCGGGACCCAGCCCCTAGCCAGGGCAGTCTTAGAGGGGATGCTGCTCAGGACTGGCTAATAAGCCCCAACTCAACCTAGAGGTCTGCTGTTGGGGGTAAGGGGTGGAAGGTGATGGAACCCTCTGGAACTATCTTCATGCATCCCACCCCACTGGAGCCATCACTGCCACCTGCTGGTCACTAACATTTTTTTTCTTCTTGTCCAAGGTGGAGTGGCTTTTCTGGACTGAGTGGGAGATGGGACCCCCTTTTTCTGTGGTGGAAAGTGACTAGTGTGGTAGACAGAGCTCTGGGATCCCACCGACTGGCTATGCAACCATAGGGAAATAATCTCCCCTCCCCAAGGCTCGCCTGAATAAAGGGCATGACCAAGAGGGCTCTAAGGACCAAGCTGGGCACAAGTGGCAGGGATGAGGGGGTGTAGAGGATGTAAACTGTGGAGTGCAGTGCACACCAGGTGCTTGTGTGCTGGGCTGGTTTTCTCCACTTGTGCTCTGAATGAACATTGGCTGGGCCCCTGCTCTGGGCTTGGCTTCATGCTACATGGTGCTAGGGACAGAGGCACCTCACACCGGGCCCTGACTTTTAAGGGCCTCCAGGTTGGTAGCAGAGACAGGTCTGGAAACAAATCACTGTCCAGCATGGGCATCGCCAGAGGGAGGCAAGGACATAAAGTCAGAGACTTGAAATCACCTCCCAGAGCCTCCTGTCACTATCTGCCACTGGGCCTTTCTGTGCCTCAGTTTCCCCTTCTAGGATAATCATAGCAAATATTTACATCCCATTTACTCTGTGCAGTCACTGAGTGCTTTACAAGAATGAATTCATCAGTCCTCACTACAGCCCATAAGGCCGGTACTATCATTATTAAATTGACTCAGGGAGATGAAATAACTTGCCCAGACCACAAGGTACTAATGGCAGTGCCACAGCTCTACCCTCCCACTGGGCCACCTCAGGTTTTGTCTGTGCACTGAGTGGTTGTAAGGCTTGAGGGCAGTTGGGGGCTATTTTTCAATCCTGCCTGATCATTAGACTGGCCGAGGGTGCTTGGAACCACACAGATTCCCTGGCCACCCTGTACCCACTGGCCAGATGGCTAGAGGGGTGGGGATGGGAGAGGAGTAGGGTGAGGAATCTGTATTTTAACAAGTCTTGAAAATTGTGCCAGTTTGGAAAATCCTAAGATAGTCACTGAAAAGTGGCCCACTGTAAGCTCAGTGCAATGTGGCTGAACCAGGGAGGGTGTTTTGGCTGCAATCAACAGAAATTCCCATTTAAAATGTTTTATCTGTTAAGGAAATGTATCATTGTATGTCTCTGCCTCATATCTCTTTGTTAAGAACTTTTTAAAGGAGGGAATGTCTTTCCCAGAAGCCTCTTTCCCTGGAAAACTTTCCCTCACATATCATTGGCCAGAAATGTCACATGACCCTCCCCATCTAAACCAATCACTGGCCAGAGGAATTACGTCACTACTGTTGGCCTCAACCAATCAGAAGCCAGGCTCTGGGGGAACTTGGCTTTTTGGAGGGAGTTGGATTCTTGAGCAAAATAAGGATTCTGCCTACACAAAAAAGTGGATGAGTCCCAAGTGACTTGCCTACTGTACCTGGGTTAGTTGCTAGAGTTAGGAATAGTAGGGCTATAAACGAGGGCTGTATGAGGTCTTGCAGGAGCACCAAAGAGGAAGCAAAAGGCTCTGCCTGGAGAAGAACCACGGAGGGCTTCCTAGAAGGGGCATTGGAACTTGGTCTTAACAGGATGAAGAGTTCACCAGTAAATCAAGGTTTCTAGCAGCCAGGTTCCCTCACCTTCCACTAGGTCCTGCCCCCTGTCCGAGGCCATCCAGCAAGACTGTCAATTCTGTTTACCACCCACAGGCCTGAAGATAAAGCCAAGGGGCTGGCGGTCCTGATTGACGCCAGGAGACAGCCCCCACAGCCCGGTCTGGTCAGCGCCCTGCAGGCCACCCAGGTGAGTGGGAGGTGGAGAGCCTTAGCCTAGTAAGTCCTGGGAGCCACCAGGGGCCTCCTGACATTCATAGAGTCCGGGGGTGCTTAAGGCTGGGACCAGGACTCTCAGGCAGGGACTTTTACTGCAGCCAACAGAAAACTCAGCCCTAACAAGCTTGAAGCTCATTGGTTCATGTCAATGGACAGTCCAGGAGCCAAGTCCAGCTTCAAGTATGGCCTGATCCAAGGGCTCAGATATTATCATTAGAACCTGGTTCCTCTCTCTCCATTTCTGGCCCCGTTCTCTTTGGAGGATGCCAAGCCACCCCGCTTGGCACCCCGCGCCCCTTGGTGGCCGGATGGCTCCCAGCAGCTCTGACTTCACATGGTCTCTAATTTAAATCCATTAGGAAAGAGTAAGAGATTATTTTCCCAGAGGTCTCAGCAAAAATTTCTTTGTGTCTCAGTTACAGTGGATTCAGGAGTCCCTCCACACCCAACCCTGTGGCCTGGGGGTGAATGCAACACACTGATTGGCTCAGACTTAGATCACATAAAGCTCATGAGCTGAGAAGGGAGGAGAGAAGATTCCTATCCAGCAATTATGGGCAGCAGAGTCAATGGAGGTTCTGCATCTGCTTACCTTATGGTCTGACCTCCTTTGCTTTGTAGATGGGCAAACTGGGGCCCAGAGGGGCAGGTCATCTGGAAAGATTTGCAACACAACTTGAACCTGCTGCTCTCATGACTTCTAACCAATGATTCACGGTCCAAACGTATCACACAAAGATTCCAGTCATGGAGGGACCCCACTCTGTCCTTGTGACCCATTTGCCTGCATCTTACAGGGGATGAAGGAGGAAATCAAAGTGTGTGAGGCTTCATGAAGCCTTGGGCAGAGCAACTCTGCAGTGGTTGTCTTTGACAGGCTCAGGTCCCAGCCTCTATCCGGGCTATTCTCTTCCTGGGGGAGAAGGAGGCGGCTCTCCAGCTGCAGACATTACCTGACGTCCAGGTGAGGGGGACTCAGGGTCGGCGGTTGAGGAAGGGAGTTGTTGGGCTCGAGCTGAGCTGGGGTTAAGGAGAGGGAGAACTGCAGAATTCATGAGCTAGAAGAGGCCTGGAGGTAATCTAGTGTAAGGCAATAAATACGAGGCCTAAGCGCTACCAATCCCCAGTATAGATCCGTGGCAGGCATTGTCAAATCAGTCACAGAGTGATATCTCTCTGGCAATCCTAGCAGCTCCTGGTGGGTGCTGCCACATGATCGAGAATTGCACATGGCATAGAACCTATTTGAAAAGCTTCATCTGGTCCATCCCTCCTCCCTTTGTTTTCAGAGGGGGAAACTGAAGCCTAAGGCCACACAGCAAGCTAGACGCAGAGCTGGAGTCACCTGACTCCAGTGCCTTTTTCACACTGCGGTCACACCTGCTCTTCCTGTATTTCTCGCCCTAATTAATACAGATGTGGAGCTGAAGCGGGACTCTGCAGGAAAGAGCCCTGCAGCTCCCTTTAATTAGTGCCATACACCACAGTAATGAGTAAGGGCAGTCAGTCCTCTGTCCTGCTTCGGGATGTGATTTTAAAACTCTCCTTCCTCCTGGTTAGTGAAGAGGCAGATTGTGGGCTGGAGGTGTGCTGTTCCAACTTTAATGTGCTTACTGATCTCTTGGGGAAATACATTAATGTGCAGGTTCTGATTGAGTAGTTCTGGGTGGGTCCTGGGACTCTGAATTTCCAACATGTCCTAGGTGATGCCGGCGATGCTGGCCCATGGACCACACTTTGAGTAGCAGGAATATCAGGTGGGTCCAAAAAAACCACAGAATCCACCAAATCCCAAGCCTAGGTATCTGGAGCTATTCCCAGCATAAACCTCAAATTTCTCTGCCTGGCAGAAGCAGTCACCTAGTTCTTCCATGTCTTAGAGGACACTGTTGGGATTTAGTGACTTTTCTCACCAGCCCCAAGAAGGAAACAGCTCTTGGCTCCTCAGGGAACTGTGCAAAGATTACAAAGAAGTTTCATCACAAGGGCCAGCTTCCATCAGTTTGTATGATTGCCCGGAGAGCTGTACTGGGAAAGAGCCAAGCTCAGAGGGAACGAGTGCTATGATTGATTAATGATGTCTGCCTTGGGCACAAGCTAGGAGAGTGGCAGTATGAGTGCTGTTTATTTGCCATTCCCTAACCAGGGTCTGGTTCTGAATTTTGATTTGTCAGAGTTTCCAGAGAAGATTGGTTGCTGGCAAAGCAACTTTTAAAGCTGGAGTCAACCTTACTTGTGGGAAATGAACTGGTGCTGGGGCAGGGATCTGGGCAGGACCTTCTAAAATGACTGTCCTCACTTTGAGTCCCTGGTTCTCCTGATTCTTTGGTCTGCAGGTGGAGGTGCTGACCTCATTGAAGGCCCTCAGCCACCATGTGGACCCCAGCCAGCTGCCCGCAGTCCTGGAAGGCCCCTTCCCCTACTGCCACACCGAGTGGGTTCATTTCTTCCAGGTGTTTACCGTCACAGCCTTTAGCCCCTGACCCCCACTCCTTCTCTTCTTCTCTTCACTCTTCTGTCCCATGGATCCATCAACCCTGCTATGCTAAAAAATAAACGGTCACTCAACAAATGTTTACAGTGAAGGTACAGAGTCAAATGATTAAGAGCTCAGGCTCTGGGGCCAGGCTGCCTACATTGCAATCCCAGCTCTGCTGTGTGATTTTGGATAAGTTACTTACCTTCTCTGAGCCTTGGTTTCCTCATCAGCTAAACAGGGGATAATAATAGTACCTCCTCATGGGGTTTTTGTGAGGATTAATTTAGTTAATACGGGTAAAGAGCTAGGTCTATGTTAACTGAAAATAAATTTACAGGGCCGGGCGCTGTGATTCACACCTGTAATCCCAGCACTTTGGGAGGCCGAGATGGGTGGATCACATGAGGTGAGGAGTTTGAGACCAGCCTGGCCAACATGGTAAAACCTCATATCTACTAAAAATACAAGAAAGAAAAAGTTAGCCAGGCATGGTGGTATGCACCTGTAGTCCCAGCTACTCGGGAGGCTGAGGCATGAGAATTGCTTGAACCCAGGAGGCAGAGATTGCAGTGAGCCAAGATCACACCACTGCACTCCAGCCTAGGTGGCACAGTGAGACTCTGTCTCAAAAAGAATCTTAAAATAAAATAAAATAAATTTACAGGCACTTGCTCTATGGACCCACACAACTCAGGAAGCTCAGGGTCTGGTTCCCTCCTATAAGAGGGAGGAAATAAGGCAGCCGCCAGTGTTGGGCTCCTTTCCTGTGTAATCACAGTCCCTCCTCCCCACAACCCCAAGAGGGGGCATTTCATACCCAATTTAGTACACGAGGACACATAGGGCGAGGGTGCCTTTCGGTGGGCTTAAACCACACCGAAACCGATGCCCATCAATGCCCGCCCCGGGTCCTCTCTAGACCAGGGTTGCTCAACCTTAACCTATTCACATTTGGGGTTGAGCAATTCTGTTTTGTTGGGAGCTGTCTTGTGTATTGCGGCATGCTTGGTACCAGCCCTGGCTCTACCCACTGTTTGCACCCCACAAATTATGACAATTAAAAAAGTCTCCTGACATTGCTGAATGTCCCCGGGGGCAAAGTCACCCCTCATTGAGAACCGCCGGTCTATACTAACAGTGTAACATGGTGGCTTATTTACTTTTTGCCCAAGTGATCTTTTTAAAATTGTGTGTTTTTGAATAGGCAGTAAGTATATTCACATTTCAAATGGTCCAAAAAGATACCTACTGAACAATCTCCTTTTCCGCTTGTCCCCCAGGGTCCTAGCTTCCCTTTCCAGAGGCCTCCAATGAATCCACTGGTTTTTGAACTGTATTTTAGCTTTAAACCCTTTCCTTTACATGAAATCTTACCTGTAGACCCACTACATGGAAGTGAGAATGATGATAAACACAGTATGGGCTGGGCTCTGTTCTAAGTGCCTTGCATATATTAATGGGTTTAATCCTCACACAACCCTATAAGGCAGGAACTACTATGATCTCCATTTTAAAGAGGAGGAAGCAGAGACACAGAGAGGTTAAGTAACTTGCCCAAGGTCTCACAGCTTGTAAGTGATGGAGCTGGGCCGAAGTGGGACTCAGCTGAAAATGTTCCCCTAACTCTGCCCTCTTCCTTTCCTTACCAATCATGGTATCCCCACTGGCCTGGGAGTCGCTCAGGCCTGTCTCCTTTCTTCTCCCTCACTCATACTCAACACCAGTGGTTCTCAAAGTGTGGTTCCCCAGGCCAGCAGCATCAGCAACACCTGGGAACTTGTTAGAAATGCACTTTCTACCATGCCTCGCCCCAGAGGAACTGAAGCAGAACCTCAGGAGCAGAGCCCAGAGCCTGTGTTTTAACCAGCTCTCCAGATGCTTCTGATGCACCTGGAGTTGGAGAGCCACTGCCTCCCACCTCCCCTCTGTGCTCCTGAGATGCAAGAGGCATCCTCCTGGTTGGCCTGGGCTGACACCTGCCCTTTGGTCCTCTGTCCTGCAGAAGCTGGACCCTTTCCTTGCTGACCTCCACCAGGCCTCTTCCCTGCTACAAGCTTCCATCGAGGAATTCGAGAAGGCCGACCCCCCTGGGGGGATGCAGGTGAGCCTGGAGCATGGTGACTGGGGAAGCTACATCACACCCCAGACCCCATGGACCAAGGGCTTCGAGAAGGGGACGGCCTGGGGAAAAGGGGGAGGACATTATTCCTGTTTTTCATCATTCATTTGACTCATATTTGAGGGGCACCCACTTTGTACCCTGCACTGGAGACCAGCCTGGAGCAAACTGACTTATCCCTGCCCTCTTGGGGCTCGTGGTGCTGTGGCAGAGGTGGTAGTTTAAAAAGCAAACTATTATAAATGGGTATGTCATTCCAAATTGTGTCAAGTCCTGTGGAAGTAAGATTGGGAATAATGAGGGAGGGAGGAGGGCCTCTCTGAAGAGCTGGAGTTTAAGTTGAGGCTTGAAGTTTGAGAAGGAGCCTGCCTTTGTGGGGGGCTGTGCTCCAGGCAGGGGGCAAACACATGTGAAGGCCCTGAGGTGGGATTATACCTGGGGTGTTCAGGAGTAGCAAGGAGGCCAGTGTGGAGCAGAATGAGTGGGAAAGAAGCATGAGTGGAGCTTCTAGATGCAGCAGGAGCTGGACCAAGGAAGAGTTGGGCTGGGATTCAGTTCGAAGCCTGCAGGGAAAGCCACTGGAGAGTTTTAAACCAGGGGTTATCAGATTTGCACTTTGAGATCCGTTCAACTGCCATGTGGAGAACAGACTGTAGGGGGAGCCAGAGGGCAGCAGGGAGATCAGCGAAGAGGCTGGAATGGGTGTCCCAGCAAGAGATGCTGGAGGGTGGACCAATGAGGTTGCCGTGGTGACGAGAGGGGACATGGCTAGAGGGGATGTTTTAGAGACAGAAATGACAGACTTTCTGGAGGACCTTGAATGCCAAACTGGGAGTTGGACTTGATCTGGGTGTGGGGAGCCTTGGAAGGTTGCAGAGGGAGAGTGGGGATGGGGCCTCAGGGCACCTCCCTACGCTGGCAGGAGGCTACCAGGTGCCTGAGCAAGTCCAAGGAGCTGATGGAGGCTGTGCTGAGGGACCCCGGCCTACTGGGCCTCCAGCGGGAAGGTGGAGCCACCCTGGCCAGGCTGCAGCATGATGCCAGCAGGCTGGACTTCAGCCCTGATGTCAGGTACAGACGTCCAGGCCTTTCCTCTTCCACCCCATCCTGTTTCTGGCCCAGGAGCTTGGAGCTGGGACCACACCACCTAGGGCACACATAGCTGAGCCCCGAGGGCGCCCAGCTTTGCAGTAGTTGCAGGGCCTGTATCCCAGGCTGACGCCTGGTCACAGAAACCTGCCCTGAGCCCTGGCAATTTCCTCGCCCCTTCTCTGCTTTCCCTCCTTCAGCCCCAGCCATCTTGAGCCTGGGATGGGCATCAGAGGATGTCGCCTACCCATTTCTGGTCACCCTTTTGGAAAAGCACTTTCTCTGACCCACACACCACGCTGAACCCCTGCAAGAGCCTGCCTCATTTATTTCTGGCAAGAACCCTGTGAGGTCCACATTGTCCATTTGGCTGATGGGTAACTGAGGCTCAGCGAAGGGAAATAGCAGCTAGACAGCGGCTGGTAAGGGATTTGAAGCCAGGCCTTCTGGGCATTTAACCCCTACCCGGCCCTGCCTTTCCCGGTAGGCTGCTCAGACACACTTGTGAGAACCTCATGGTGTCTCAGGGGTCTCAGAGCCAGAATAAATTATAGACATTCCTGGAAAGTCCCAGCTTTCTTAAATTTAGGGGGTGGGGAAAAGTCAGTCATTAAATTGGTCAGTAATTGCAAGTATTTTCACCCTCTTAGAACACAGCTACTTATATTCAAAGTCAAGGGCTGGTATGCATGAGCTTTTAAGAACATTTTGTTTACAGAACCAAGACCTAAATAGCACTTTGTATGTGTCCAGCATTTTTCTCAGGGATTTACAAATACCAGCTCACTTAATTCACTCCGAGGTAGCTGCAGATATTATGCCTATTTTACAGTGGAGGAACCTGAGGCTCAGAGAAGGTAAGTGATTAGTCCAGGGTCACATAGCTGGGATGTGGTGGGGCCCGGACTTGAATCCAGGCAGTCTGGTCCCAGAATCTTGAACACACCACCCAGAGCTGCACTAGACTTGAGAGCAGGCTTACACAGATGGACGCACGGGCAGCACTGGTATGGGGTCATCTCCCTGCCCCTCAGTGCCTGGTGGGGGTTGGCACTGCCTTTCTCAGCCTCTTCCACCCTTACCTGCCCCACCAGCCCAGGCCCCTCCTGTCCATCCGAGGCCCCGCAGACCCGCAGCTACCAGCATCTCCAGCAGGGGTCACTGTGGTCCCACATGAGCTGCTGTGGGCGTTTGTTCTGCAGCGGGTCCCTGCAGCCCCTAGGCTGTCCCCGTCCCTCCGTCCCTCCCTCTCCAGGCAGGCAGAGATTTTCTATCCTATTCACGCACCCTGGGCCACACCTCTTCCCTGCAAGGGTGGCAACCCGTGGGGAGCTGCAGTCAGATGGGGAGGCTGAGGTAGAGCAAAGCACCCTCCAGGAAGTCAAAAGCTTTTCTTCCATCTTCTCTCTTCCATTTTCCCTCTGAAGGCAGAGGAGGGCAGAGCAGGGTTGGAGATTCCTCCCTTCACACAAATATCACCATGCCTGAAATCCCATCCACACTTCTTCCTTAGTGACTTGTGGCTTTGAGCATTTTTTAAAATTATGTGCAGAAACAGCCCTGGGTGGGGTTCCAACTCAGGTTGTCATCTGCAAGTCGATTCCCCTCCCTTGACCTCAGTTTTCCCATCTGTGAAATGGAGGCAGGGCCGGCAGGCATGTTGCAGCTACTTCCCACCATTGCAATAGAAATAGCACGGACCTGACAAACATCGTGCGCTGGGCACTGTGTTAAGTGTTTTGCACGCATGAGCGCTGGTTCTCTGCCCTGGCTGTCCCTGGAACCGCCTGAGGTGCTTTAGAAAGCATCAGTGTCTCAGCCGGGCGTGGTGGCTTATGCCTATAATGCCAGCACTTTTGGAGGCTGAGGCAGACAGATCACCTGAAGTCAGGAGTTCAAGACCAGCCTGGCCAATATGTGAAACCCTGTCTCTACTAAAAATACAAAAATTAGCCCGGCATGGTGGTGCGTGCCTGTAATCCCAGCTACCCAGGAGGCTGAGGCAGGAGAATCGTTGGAACCCAGGAGGCAGAGGTTGCAGTGAATGGAGATCGCGCCACTGCACTCTAGCCTGGGTGACCAGCCTGGGTGACAGAGTGAGACTCCGTCTCAAAAAAAAAAAAAAAAAAAAAAGGGAAACATCAGTGTGTTGGTTGCACTCAGAGTCTGACTTTGTTGGCCTGGGGCAGGGCACTAAGATTTGTTAAAGCTCCCAGGGCAGGTTATAATGTATAGCTAGAGTTGAGGGCCAGGGCGTTAGATCATTTAATCCTTACAACCATGCTATGAAGTGGGTTCTGTGATTATCTCCACCTCACAGAATAAAAAGCAGAGACATAGAAAGGTTGAGAAATTTGCACAGAGCCTCCTACTAGAAGGCAGCAGAGCTGGGCTTTGAACCCAGATCTGTCCGGCCAGCTTCATTCCCTTCTAGGGAAGGGGGAGGGTCAGTTCACTTCCTACTGTGTTCTCTTGTCCTCCCAGTCCCATGGAAGACCAAGGCTGAGGCCCTTGGTGAAGGGCCTGCCCACAGTCACACAGCAAGTTAGCTGGAAACCCAGGCTGGGGCCACAGAGATGGAGGGGCAGGCCTATGCGGGACAGAAGTACAGCAGGGTGAAGAGGGCAACAGAGGCCTTTTCTCACCTCCGCCCACCTCCCAGGAGCCATCTGGCTGCAGCCACTGCCTTGTACAGCCTTGTGGACGAGCAGCTTCATGTTCTGGTCACCGCTTCCAACAGCCTCCTGGGGAAGCTGGAGCTCCGTGTCCGCCTGGGCCGCCTGGAAGCTGCCATTCACCAGGTGAAAGGGGTGTCTGGCTTGGGGTGTGGGGGTTCTGCCTGGCCACATTCCACAGGAAAGCCCCGACTCTGGGCCCGTCCCTAGTCAGGTGCTTTGTTCTGGAGAAAGGACACCAAGCTGGCGATCCTTCAAAGGCCAGGCAGGCATCCTTGGGGCGTAGCACATGACCTGGTGCTCAATAAGTGCTCAGTGGGTGAAAACATAGCCCCAAGAGCTGCACTTATTGAGCGCCAACTCTGTGCCAAGCCCTGGGCCAGAGCCGTTGTGAACATCATTGCTTTCTGAACTCATGGGGAAGGTGCTAGGATTTCATCCACTGCACAGATGAGGAAACTGAGGCTGGGAGACATTATGTTACCTGCTTGTGGTTGCATATCTCGGGGTCTGATTCTGGAACCTGCACCTGGTGTGGCTTCATCTGACTGCCGGTGCCGAGAACCAACACATTCCTGTCAGCCTGGAGCTGTGGGGCACGGCACACTCCTGCATCAGACAGCCCTGGTTCATTCCTGGCTCCAGCACTTACTCGTGGTGTGGCCCTGGACAAGATGTTTAACTCTTCAGTGCTTCAGTATCTTCATTTGTTGAATGGGGGGTAATATCAGTACGTGCTACATTGGATCTGTGAAGATAAAGTGAGTGAATAGGCTCTTTAAGATGCCCCAGAATAAGAAAGGAACTTCCACTCGGGGTTGAGAGCCATTATATACCCTCTATCCCTCATTGAATCTTCATGTCTACCCCATTTTACCACTGAGTAAACTGAGGCCCAGAAAGGGGGAGTGGCTTACCATGTTCACATGGTGAGTTCCCAGCAGGCCCATGGACTTTCCTCTGCAGCCTGCAGCTTCTTCTCCAGCACTGTTTGCATGTGCACGCGCACACAAACACACACACACACCCGAACAGGGAGCTCATCACCCCTGAGGCCACCCCTTTTATGATCCGGCGTCTCTGAGTGGTTAGAGTAGCCTGAAGTTCACCACCCTGTGCCTTCATTCAGATAACTGTGCACTGAGGGCGTTGGCCAGGCCAGATGCCCTCCAGGGTCCCGCTTTGAAGAACATGACCACACACTCCCCCTCCCCAAGTCATTTCTTCCCACGCCCAGAATTGGGAGAATTTCAGTCCAAGCCAGTGGTCACAGGCCTAGCCACTGAATGAGTGAAGACAGAAGACCTCAGCCTGCAAGGAAGTGGGGGAGCTGGACAAGGGAGGTCTCCTAGCAGCCCCTCATGTCCAAATCTGCCTCTCCTGCCCCAGGTCAGCGACTGGATGGAGCAGGAAGGAAGGCGGTGCCTGCAATCACTGACCCCCAAGGATGGAAGTTTGGAGACAGTGGAGAAAGCCCACGCAGAATTTGAGAACTTCTTCCTCCAGGCTGCAGTGCGTTCCAGACAACAGAGGAGCAGGACTGGAGCAGATGGAGAGGGCGTTAGAGGGGGTGGCACTGCCAGGGCAAAGCTGTGGAGGTGGGAAAGAGCAAGAAAAGTTCCAGAGACAGTGAGGGAACCAGCTTGGATTGCAGAGTTCAGCTGAGATGTTATCTCCCCCAGAGATTCTTACCAGATGGCCAAGCCCAAAGAATATTCTGAATCCCCCAGAGGGTTTCTTAAAATGCAGTTTCCAGGGCCCCATCCTAGACCTAATAACTCAGCCTCACAGAGCCGGGGGTTGGAGGGCAGGGAAGCTGCATCAACGTGATGCGATGTGACAAGGCTCTGGACCACAGGGTGATTCAGCCCCGTATCAGCGCTCAGGAATTCTCAGGCCAGTGGGGAGCGGGGGCGGGGGCGGGGACAAACAGGGAAGCGCACAGTAAGGGAGAATGTGGGGACTCAGAGCAGGAGCCTTTGGAGTCAGAGAAGTTTTCCAGAAGGAACATCTAAGCAGAGCCCGGCTAGGCAAAGTGAACTGCCATGGCGAGGGCCTGGAGACTTCCAGAAGCGTGATAACTGCTCTTAATTGTTCAACCCTCACCAGGAGCTAAGCCCTGTGAGGTGGGTGCTATTAGGGTCCCCATTCTACAGATGAGGAAACTGAAGCTCAGGAAGTCTCCTGGCTCGCCAGCAAGGCAGCTGGAGGTTGCTGACCTCCGAGGGAGGCCCCAGCCAAGGTGGGTGCTGAGTGGGCGCCCCCTCCTCTCCCCTCTCAGGCCCAGTACCGCCGAGGCCTGGAGCTGTCCAAGCAGGCCGCTCAGCTGGGAGCTACAGCCAGAGGGGCTGGGGAGGCAGAACGTGCAGAGTTCCCAGAGCTGGCAGCCTTTGCCTCTACCCAGCGGGCCTTCCAGGCTGAGCTGACCCACTTTTACATGGCGGCCGAGCGGCAACGCACGGACCTCGAGACGCTGCTCCACCTGCACCGCTTCTGCAAGAGGGTGAGCCCCGCGGCCCACCTGCACAGATACCCCCCGATCCCCTGGCTGGGGCTATGGTGGGGACAGGGATACCTAGACACAGCCCCATGGCCTGACTGCATAGACACCGCCCCCATCCCTTGGATACCTAGACACAGCCCCCCCCCACCCACTTGCACAGACACCACCCCCATCCCCTGGCTGGGGGCACAGCAGGGACAGGGATACCCAGACACAGTCGGAGGCTCATCGTGATTCACTCCCCAAGTCTTGTAACAGGAAAAAAACAGAGGAAGGGGAAGAGCTGAGATTTGAACATAGATGTGTCTGTGGTACCCCGTGACATGCCTTATATGCTTCCCCAAAGAGAAGAGAAATGACGACAGATCCCTTCACCAAGCAGGCTTGACCATGGTGAGGATGAGGGGTTGTTGGGAGGGGAGTGCACATTTCTGAGTGTGTACACCATGCCAGACCTCCTGTGAGCACTTCACACACCTTACTTGACTTCATTCTTATCCATACCTCTTTGATGACAGGGAACCAATGTTGTTCCCATTTTACAGATGAGAAAACTGCCCAAAGAGGGCAGTGGTGAAGGATGATTTGATTTAGGAGCTGCCACCTGTCCTAAATTCATGTAGCCAAATCTCTCTTTAAAAAAAAATTATGGGAAAACTGAGGTCTGTGGGGACAAAGGAGCAGCCTGGGAGAGTGTGGTCCAGCTGGGACAGGGACCCCCATGGCTGGCCCAGACCCAGTGCCCTTGGCTGCCCCTTGCACTTGTCACCAAGGACAAAGCATGAGAAAGACCTGACCCCAGCCTCCCAGCTGTCAGGCCAGCCCCACGTGCAGGCCACAGCGATCACAGGCTGCTTCAGAGGGCAGCAGGAGGGACTCTGGTCAACTCACGCCTGGGGCCCTGGGAGGACAGGGCACTCTCTGTCTCCTTGGGACAGTGGGCAAGGGAGGCAGATGTTGGCAGTGGCAGCAAAGGGCTCCCCCAGTTCCAGCTGTGTACAGTTAAGAGCACGATACAGGCGGAATCCGAGCCTTGGAGTCTGGGGCTTCATGTCCTTGCGTGAGCTCTGTGACCTCAACCACAGTCTTCACTGCTCTAGGCCTCAGCTCTTTGCTAAGACCATAGTTAATGGCCGTGTAGTTCTTATGACAAGCCAGGCCCTGTTCTAGTCATTTCACGTATCATTTTATTGTCGCCCCGATCCTATGAGACAGGTACTACTATTATGCCCATTTCCACCTAAGGAAACAGAGAGGTCAGATAACTCACCCAGGGTCACACAGCTAACTGAGTGGGCAGAGATTCAAACCCAGACCATCTGGCTCTACTGCCAGCCTTACCAGCTAATGACAGATTTCAATGGAAGTAACCCCTGGCACAGGGCTTTGTTCAAATTCAGAATTGTTATTAACATCAATATTATTATTATCATTAAGAGGAGGAAGAAGAGGAGTAGTGCCTCCAGGGTTAAAGACATCTGGTAGCTTCTTTGCCTTGCCCACTGATTTCAGCCAATTTCAGCCCCACTGGCCTTCCCGGATCGATCAAACGTGCTCCAACTCTGAGGTCTTTGCACGTGCTGTTCCCTCAGCCTGGGAAGCTCTTCCCGTTGACCGGCTGGCTTCTTGTCTTTCTTCCGCTCTCAGCTCACACATCCCCTCTTTGCAGACACCCTTTCTGACTGCCCACTCTGGTTCTCTCTCGTCACCCTGTTTTGTCGCTTCTGGGTGCTCACTTTGACCTGAAGTTGTCCTGGTCCTTGTCACTCGCTTGTCTCTTGCATGGTGCCTGCGAGGCGAGCTCCCTGAGACAGGGACTGGGTTCGAGTTGGTCCTGGCTCTATCCATGGTGCCTGGCACGGGCTCGGCCCACAAGGTCTCAGGGAGGCTGTGCGGGGAGTCAGGATAGGCTGGAAGCCTGGGGATGGCCTGTGTGGAGGTGGCGTCTGTGCCAGGCCTAGAAGTCATACGGGGGAGGTAGCAACCCTGACTCTGAGTCCAACTCTCGCTGTTGGAACTGGGCTGGCCCTGTTTCCTCACTGGCCCTGAATTTCAATCCGTTCAATAAGGGGTTGGGCAAGATGATTTCTGAGGTGCTATCCATCTCTGTCCAGCTTAGCCTGGAAGGTCAAGTCCTGGACACACAGACAGATGATGGGACAGCCCAGCACCAGGCTCAGCCCCTGGTGGGGAGCGTGTGTGCAGCAGCTTTGGTCCTAAATAATAATAACACAATGGTGCCACTAACGGAGATTTATGGAGCTCTTTCCCGGCCATGAGCTCCGTGTGCTTGCACGAATATGAAGCCATTTATCTAAAGTCAAGTTCCCTTAATCCGTGGAAAGATGGTCTCTTCGGAGAAAATGGTTCTCCAATCCCTACAGCCTAACAGCTCGCTATCGGGTTCTAAATTAATGGAGAGAAAGATTATGTTTTTCACGAGCGGCTGGGAACGTGTTGGCTTCTTTGCAGTCTGCAGACGTTTTGTGGGGGAAGCGGGGACAGACAGAATCACAAAATGAGGCAGAGGCTCGGCTGGAGGGAGGGGGCCTGCGGGCCTGGTGTGGCTGACAGTCTCAAGGTGTGATGGTGAGGGCACACCCCTGCCTGGCCGGTTTCTCCTTCTGCCCATGAAGGTGCTTGGAGGACAGATCAGAGGTGGAATCCCAGCTCCTCCCTGACTTGCTATGTGACCTAGGGCAAGTGAGTTCACTTCTCTGAGCCTCAGTTTTCTTCTCTGTGAAATGGGCTGCTGGTGCAGTTCAGTGCAATCCTGCCTGAGACACACAGAACCTGGCAAACGGTCAGTGCTCAATAAGCATTAGGCAGACTCCTCCCTCACAGCACTCTCAAGGGTTAATACAACCATGGAGAGGAATTTCACCTCTCAAAAGGCTTTTCATGATCATCTAGTGCAACTTCCATTTTACAGAAGAAGAAACTGAGCCCCAGAGAGGGCTAAGTCCCTGCTGGCCCGTAGGTCTATTAGAAGGTGTCTGATGGGCTGGGCGCAGTGGGTCATGCCTATAATCCCAGCACTTTGGGAGGCTGCGGCGGGTGGATCACCTGAGGTCAGGAGTTCGAGACCAGCCTGACCAACAAGGTGAAACCCCGTCCTACTAAAAATACAAAAATTAGCTGGGCATGGCAGCAGGTGCCTATAGCCTCAGCTACTCGGGAGGCTGAGACAGGAGAATTGTTTGAACCTGGGAAGCAGAGCTTGCAGTGAGCCGAGATCACACCACTGCACTCTAGCCTGGGTGATGGAGCGAGACTCCATCTCAAAAAAAAAAAAAAGGTGTCTGATGATTCTAAGGGTGCTTGGGGGCTGTTTCCAGATGGCAGGTGTGTGCACCCCAGGGAAGAGAGGGAAACCAGGGTCATCATGGTCAGTGGAGAAGATCATGGCCAAGCTGAGCGGGGCCCTGGCATTGGGCACTTATTAATTCAGTCCTCCATGGTCCCACTTCCAGCCTGAGCCCCCACCTCCCTCTCTTCTTGTCCCCCAGATGACCTGGTTCCACATGGACTGTCAGGACCTGATGGCCCAGCTCAGGCTGGACAAGACCTCAAGGGTCAGTCCTGGGGACCAGCGCCGCCTCCACCGCTACCTGCAGCGACTGGCATCTGAGTTCCCTGCTGAGAAGCTCGCAGCCGTGGGGCTGCAGGTGGCCTCCCTGAGCCGGGCAGGCCTGGGCCAGGAGCTATGGGAGGAGGCCCGGATCAGGCATGAGGAGATCCGGATGCTCCTGGAGAAGGCACTGACCCACAGCTCTTGCCCAGAGGCTCCAGCTGCTCACTCAGCGCGCCCAGAACGAAGAGGGGTGGCAGCCAAGGGCCAGGGTGTGAGTGTAGAGGTCACTTCCAAGGGGAGGTGGGATCAGCCTCCACTAGACTCACTGGGCATGGACCATTTGCCAAAGTCCTATTGGCCTCCTGGGCCCCCCAGAGGGGAACAGAACAGAACTTTCCAGGCAGGCTCTCCACCCCAGGAAGCTGGCCAGGCTGCAGAGGCTGAAGACGGCAAAGGCTCCCACAAGCTGCCTGACCCTGCCCGCGAGCATTTGCTTGCCACCACCTTCTTCCGGCAGCAGCCCCCCAGGCAGAGCCAGGTCCCTCGCCTCACTGGGGGCAGCTTCTCCTCAGAGGGGACAGACTCACAGACATCCCTTGAGGACTCACCCCAGACAAGTCCCCTTGCCTCCCTCTAGCTGAGAGGCCCCTTCAGTCGCACCAGCCTCCAGGAGCACTGGGCCAGGGCCCAGCTGGAGGGGTAGCTGGGAGCTCTGGTCAGTCCCAGTGAGACGTCACCATGGAGCACTGGTTTTACATTCTGCCTCTGCTGGGAGGATGAGAACTGTCGACCTGCCCCTGGCTCCAGAAAACTCCTGGAAGACCCGATCTTCACCCATGCAGAATAGCAAGAGTGGGCGTCAGAACCAGGGCACAATAAATGGTGTGATTGGCTCCATCCCTCCAGGCTCTCATTGTGGAAAGACCTGTCGGCACAGACCCCTCCAGAGGTCTCGCTCGCAGGCAGGCAGACACCCACCTGCAGCTCAGGAACATACACAGCTCTCCCCTCGGGTACGAGGGCCAGTGTTGCCCTTAGGCAGAATCCTCGGGGAGATTCGGGAGTGCTTCCTTGTCTTGGATTCCAGGAAAATGGACCCTGAGATGAGGATTTAAGGATCAGTGTGTTTGGTGCTGATCCAGGAACCTCTGCTGGGGGAGTAGGAGGCGAATCTGCAAAGGGAATAAAGAGTATGTTGTCAAGCAAATTTTCTTTTTTTTAATTTTTAAAACTTCATTGTATTTTATGTTTAGAGATGGGGCCTCACTACATTGCCCAGGCTGGTCTCAAACTCCTGGGCTCAAGTGATCCTCTTGCCTTGGCCTGCCAAAGTGCTGGGATTGCCTTTTCCGCCCACCCCCCCCGACCCCACCAGAGACAGGGTCTCACTCTGGTGTCCAGGCTGGAGTGCAGTGGTGCAATCATAGCCTTAAATTCCTGGGTTCAACCAATCCTCCCACCTCAGCCTCCTAAGTAGCTGGGACTACAGTTATGCACCACCATGCTCAGCTTATTATTTATTTATTTTTTGTAGACATGGGGTCTTGCTATGTTGCCCAGGCAGGCTGATCTCAAGCTCAAGTGATCCTCTGGACTCAGCCTCCCAAAGTGCTGGGATTATACGTATGAGCCACTGTGCCCCACCCTCATACAAATTTCCATGTTGGCAACTGTAGCTGGATCTTTCTGGAGATCTCTGAAAGACAGCATGGAATCCTTGAACACCCCCTGAGGCGTGAGGCATCCAGAGCATTTATCTGCCAACCCTCAGGAGCTGGCACTCGTAGACAGCACGCACAGCCAGCTCCATTGGTCTTGGCAAAGAGAATTGCCTCCTGGAGCCAGAGGCCGGTTCCTGTGCTTAGAAAGGAAGGACATGTCTTCTGTGCTCCCTGTCTCACAAGGCCTCTTCAGCAGGCATGGGACCTTCATTCTCAAGTTCAAGGAACCCTGTGGAACCTTGTCCTTGTCCTCCAGAGAGAATCCTCTCCGCCTTAGAGGTCCCTCCTCTCTCTCACCTCCCCACCAAGCCTCCCTGAACTCAATGTCTTCTGTCCCCTTCCCTGCCCAACTTCCACTTCTCTATGCCCAGCCTCTGTGGCCCAGTACCATTGGGGTTCTGTGGGCAGCTGGGTCCTGGTGGTTGGGGACCGTGGGAAGGGGCCTATCTGTCGGATCTTAGATGGAGCATCCAGAAGCCCCACCCTTCATACTGGCCAGAGTGGCCCCTGCCAGCGCCTCTCTGGAGTGTCATTAAGCTGAAAGTGTTTGCCTTACCTCTGCAGTAGGATGCATTACTGAAGTGGCCTCTTGGTCACCTAGCTCTGAATTTTCCTGGCTCCAGAAAGAGGCTGTGGGGCACAGGTCCCCCACAATGAGGCTGTGAAGGGGAGAGAGGCAGGCCTGGGCCAGGCACAGGAGGACAACTAGGGCTTCTCAGGAGCTGTCTCAGCCAAGAGTCACACACTTGATACCTAAAATGGCTTCAGGAATCTTCCAAGACTGAAGACTTCCCCAGGTGTGGTCTAGGGCCTGCCTGCCTCAGAGCCATGAGCAGAGCCGGTCAAAAGGCTTCCTAGGGAATCCTACCCCAGACATTAAAATAGACTCTTGGTGCTGGCAGGTGGCTGGAATCTGCGTTTGTAGCCAAGTGCTCTTCCTGTGTGACTCAGCAAAGTGGGGGTGCATTTGGGGAACACCCGGGGCTGGGGCCTGAGTCCTCCACCCAAAGCCAGGTTTGATTCTTGCATTCCCCTCCCTGCCTTCCATCCAGACAGGCCCAAAGATGCAAGAGGCGTTGATCAGCCCATCTCCATCCATGCCTGTTGCCTCAGAGAGGGCCGACGGCTTTTAAAATGCTGTTGCCATAGCAACAGCATCCAGCCAGTGGGTACCACAGGCAGGGAGCCACAGAAACTGGGGTGCTGGGATGGAAACTGACTTGTGAGAGACCACAGCTACTGCTAGAAGGAAGGGGGGCAAAGCGGGCACAGGTAATCTAAGAATACTTGGGCGGGAGGAGTCCCCAAGGTTACCTTGTGCATCCCTCTGTCCCCAGAAAGAACTGTACCCCAACAATCTCTCCCCTCACTGCATCCCCTGGGGAAGAAGGGAATGCAGAAATGAAATGTCATAATGAGTAACAATGTATAAAAATATCGAATAATAACAGCTAACATTTCTTTTGCATTTTCTTTGTGCCTAGCTTTGAGCTAAATCCTCTAAAAGCTTTACAGGGCTTGTTGAATTTTTTTTACAACATTATGAGGACTGATTCCACCCTATTTTACTGAGGACAAAGCTGAAACTCAGAGAGATTTGGAGGTACCTTGCCCAGTGCCACAGTGAGGGGCAGAGCTGGACTTGATCTGGGCCTAGTTTATTGACTTTGCCCAAATATGCCCACAGTAGGGGCATGGCATGGCATGGCCTCCCCCAGAGATTCCCTGCGAGTGATGACATAGCTTTGAATCAGCAAAGCCTCAGCCCCTGAGAGACTGCTCTGAGGAGGCAGAGGCCACAGTGCCCCTCCATGGGATTTTTAAACAAAGTTTGAAGCCTGCTGTGGTGGAAGAAGATGGGCTTTCAAGGAACCCCAAGTCAGCCAGTGATGTGACTGTCAACATCCCACTGTGATGGGAACACTTTTTTCAAGCTCAAGGGGCTGGTAGGCAAGAGACAGAAAGAGAAGCACAGCCTGGAAGTCAGGCACTTCAGGTGCCACTCTGCCCTGTTGCTGATGGCCTGGTCACCCGAGGCAGGTTGCTTCCTCTCTCTGGTGCTCAGTTTACCCCATCTTTCCAATGGAGGCGTTGGATGGATGAGGATCTTTCTCATCTTGGAGAGCCCTGCTTTTGAATCCAGGCTTAACAGCCTAGTGCCTCTGAGTAGATAGGTGCTCCTCAGTTTTTCCATCTGTCCACTGGATTTGCCAAGCCTGCTGGGTCAGGAAAATAAGATCTCTGGATCCTTGTGTTCCACACCAAGACTTCTTCCTTTCCAGAGGAGTAGCCATCTTGTGAAGGAACAAAGCTTTGAAAAGACTTTTCACTGCTGGGCAGTGATGTGGGGCAGACATAGGACTGAGCCCCAATAGAAGTCTAGGCACTTTACAGTTCGCAAAGCACTTTTTGTCCATCTATTTCCCATCTGATATTTACTACAACCCTTTGGGTCACAGAAGTCATACTCTGAGATGGCCCCATTTTACAGATGGGAAGACTAAAGCCTGGAGAGGGGCAATGACTTGCCCAAGGTCACACAGCCAGGAAAGGGGCCAAGAAGGGGAAAGCACAGGGTCTGGGCCTGGTTCTGGATCAATGCCAAACCCAGGATTGTGGATGAGCGTGTGTTTTGTCAGCCACTTTGAGGTAGGCCCCTCACACCCTTGTGACACAGACAGGGTGGCTGTCACACCCACTTTAGACCCAGACAGGGTGGCTGGCTGGGGTCAGAATACAGTCTGACCTCATAAAGCAGAGATGTCCTGTTCTCCAGGGGCTGTGAATTGGCCTCCAGCCCAGGACAAATTTGCCTCGTCTCAAACCCCAGCTGAAAATAGCTCTCTGAGGCCAGAGCCAGAGAGTCCCCTGTAGGGTAAGTGCTCTGGATAGGCGGCAGGACTCTGGGGGTCCCATTGCCCTCTGCCTGGGGCATGCTGGGGAACTCTGGGTAGTCAGGTACTTCCTTAGGACCTCCTTTCCCCATCTGTGAAATGGAGGGATTAGGTCAGACCAGGAAGGAAAACTGGTGGTGTTTTGCATGTGGAATCTCTGACCTGCCCTTCCAGTCCTGCTTCCCTCTCTGTGCACTGACCATCCATCCAGGTACCCAGGCTGGAAACTTGCAAGTTGTCCTCAAACCTCCCCTTAACCCCTAAATCCACTCTCCTGATCTCTCTGTTATCTTCTACTTCTCTCTCCCTCCATCGTCCTCACCCTCATCCCAGCCTCCATCCTCTAGCCCCAGACAACTATAACAGGGTCCGCAGTGGTCTTCCTGCAGTCACTTGGATCCCCTTCATCTGTTCTCCACCCAGAAACTAGAGGGGTATTTCAAAATGTAATATAATGTCAGCCCCGCTTAACCCTGAACAGTAGCACCTCATAGCTCTCCAGATAGAAAATCCAACCTTTCTGTGATCTACAAAGCCTGTGTTGTCAGCCTCTGCCCTCCACTTCAGCCTCATCTCAATCTCCATGTCTTCTGAGTTCCAGAAGCACTAACTTGTTTTCATTTCCTCAGCCATTCCAAGCTTTTTCTGGGGTCAGGTTCCCCAGAAGTGGACCTAGGGGTGAGGATTCAGGTACAGGTGATTCATTGAAGAGGTGATCACAAGAGAAACCAGAAAGGCAAGCAGAACAGGGAAGGGAGGGAAGCCAAGGTGCAATTTCAGACCAAGTCCCTGCCTCTGCCTGACTGCGTGGGGGAACTCTGGAGGACATTTTACACCTCCAAGGCACTTCAGGCTTTCTGCAGAATCATGTGGCACAAAGCAGAGTCTGGTAGCTCCAGGGCAGACCTTGGAAGAGAGTTGCAAGTGTGGGCCCATAAAAGATAATATTCTGTATCAATAATATGTAAAAAGCTCTCACAGCTAAATACTACTATTAATAATAGTAAATTTTAAACTGGACAAAGGACCTGAATAGGCTTTTCTCCAAAGAAGATGTACAGATGGCCAATAAGCACATGACAAGATATTCAACATTACTGGCCATCAGGGAAATGCAAATCAAAACCACAAGGAGATATTGTTTCACATCCACAAAGATGGCTATAATAAAAAGACGTATAACAAGTGTTGGTGAAGATGTGGAGAAATCAGAACTCTCATACACTGCTGGTGGCAATGTAAAATGGTGCAACTACTTTGGCAAGCAGTTTGCCGGTTCCTCAAACTGTGAAACATCAAGTTATCATATGACCAAACAATTCCATTACTAGGTCAATACCCAAGAGAAATGAAAACATATCCACACAAAAATTTATACATGAATGCTTATTGAGAATTATTTCTGATAGTCAAAAAGTAGAAGCAACCCAAATGTTGATTAGCTGTTGAATGGATTTTTTAAAAACGGATTTTAAAAATATACACATAATGAAATATTATTTAGCCATTAAAAAGGAATGAAGTCACTTCCTAACATTTTACGAAGCCACTCTTATCCTGATATCAAAGCCAAATGTGGACATCACAAAGAAAATTACTAAACTTATGAATATACCTCATGAATATAAATGCAAAAATCCTCAACAAAATGCTAGCAAACCAAACATGACAGCATCTTAAAAGGATTATACAGCATGACCAAGTGGGATTTATTCTCGAAGTGCAAAGATAGCTAAACATAAGAAAATCAATCAGTGTAATATGCCAAATTAATGGAATAAAGGAAATTAAACCACACGACCATCTTAATCAATGCAGAAAAGGCATTTGACAAAACCCAATAGCTTTTCATGATAAAAACACTCAGAAAAATAGGAATAAAAGTGAACATACTCAACATGATAAAAGGCATTTATGAAAAACCCACAACCAACATCAAATTCAATGGTGAAAGACTAAAAGCTTTCTCTCTGAGGTCAGGAGAAAGACAAGAATGCCCACTTGCAGCACTGCTATTCAGTATTTTACTGTAAGTTCTAGCCAGCGCAGTTAGACAAGAAAAAGGGGAAAAAGGCATCCAACTGGAAAAGCAGAAGTAAAACTATTTATATATTTAAAAGATCAGATCTCATTATTTTATATCTCAAAAATCCCAAAGAATCCACACGAAAGCTACTACAGCTAATAAATTCAGCGAAATTTCAAGTTAGAAGATCAACACACAAAAATCAGCTGTGTTTTTATATACCAGCAACAAACAATTCAAAAAGGAAATTAAGAAAGCAATTTCATTTACAACAGCACTAGAAGAATAAAATACCCAGTACTAAATTTAACCAAGGAGATGAAAGATTTATACACGGAAACCTACAAAACATTACTGAAAGAAATTAAAGAAGACCTAAATAAATGGAAAGACACACTATATTCATGGATAGGATTGTTAAGACGTCAATACCACCCAAAGCAATATATAGGTTCAATGTAATCCTATCAAAATTCCAACTGCTTTTTTGTCCAGAAATAAAAAGCCACTTCTCAAATTTAAAACAGATTGCAATAGGCCCCAAATGGCCAAAACATCTTGGAAAGAAGGCCAAAGTTGGAGGACCCAGAGTTTTCAATTTCAAAACTTACTGCAAAGGTATAGTAATCAAAACAGTGTGGTACTTCCATAAAGATAAATGTATGGACAAAGGAATAGAATTTTGAATCCCAAAATAATCCCATGCATCTATGGCCAATGATTTTTGACAAGGGTCCCAAGTCCATTCAATGGAGAAAGAATAGTCTCTTCAACAAATTATGCTGAGACAATTGGATTTCCAAACATAAAAGAATAAAGTTGGACCCCTGCTTCACACCATATTAAAAAATTTACTAAAAATAGATCAACAACCTAAATATAAGAGCTAAAACTATAAAACTCACAGAAAAAGCCAGGTGCATTGGCTCACGCCTGTAATCCCAGCACTTTGGGAGGCCAAGGCAGGTGGATCACGAGGTCAGGAGATCGAGATCATCCTGGCTAACACGGCGAAACCCAATCTCTACTAAAAATACAAAACAAAACAAAACAAAAAAAATAGATGGCCGTGGTGGCGGGTGCCTGTAGTCCCAGCTACTCGGGAGGCTGAGGCAAGAGAATGGAATGAACCTGGGAGGCGGAGCTTGCAGTGAGCCGAGATCCCGCCACTGCACTCCAGCCTGGGCAACAGAGCGAGACTCCATCTCAAAACAACAACAACAACAACAAAAATCATAGAAAAAAAGTAGGGGTAAATCTTAATGAGCTTGGATTTGCCAATAGATACTTCTCAGATATGACACCAAAAATACAATCAACGTAAATAAAAATGGATAAATTAGACTTCATCAAAATTAAAATCTTTAGTGCATCAAAGGAAATTATCAAGAAAGTGAAAAGGCAACATATAGAATGGGAGAAAATATTTGCAAATTGTATATTTGATGAGTTTAATATACAGAATATGTAAAGAATTTATACTACAACAACAAAAAAATACAACCCAATTACCAACTAGGTAAAGAACTTGAATAGTTATTTCTCCAAAGAAGATGTACAGATGGCCAACAAGCACATGAAAAGATACATCACCAGTCAATAGGGAAATGCAAATCAAAATCACAATGAGATACCATCTCATAGCTACTAGGATGGCTATGATGTTTTAAATGCAGCAAATAACAAATGTTGGCAAGGACATGAAGAAATTAGAACCCTTATACATGGTTAGTGGGAATGTAAAACCGTGCAGCTGCTGTGTAAAACAGTTTGGAAGTTCCTCAAAAAGTTAAACATAGAATGACCTAGCAGTTCCATTCCTAGTTACAAACCCAAAAGATTTGAAAACAGAAACTCAAAGAGATTCTTGTATGCCAATGTTTATTGCGGCATTATTTACAATAGCTCAAAGATGGAAATAACCCAAGTGTCCATTAACAGATGAATGAATAAACAAAATATACACATATAATTCCATTTGTTTTATATAATCACATTTTGTTATATATATATATACACACACGCACACACATACAATGGAACATTATCTTGCCACATAAAAAGGAATGAGTTCTGATACACACGACATGGATGCACCTTGAAAAGATTATGCTAAGTGAAATATGCCAGACACAAAATGACCAATATGTATGAGTCCATTATATGAAATAACTAGAATAGGCAAATTCATAGAGACATTAAAGTAGTTAAGAGGTTGCCAGTGGCTGAGAGGAGGTGGGAATGGGGAGTTATTGCCTAATGGGTAGAGAGTTTCTGTTTGGAGTGATGAAAAAGTTTTGAAAAGAGACAGTGGTAATGGGTGTACATTGCAAATGTAATTAATGTCACTGAATTGCACACTTAAAAACAAAATGGTAAGTGTTATATATATTTTACCACAATAAAAACTGTTTAAAGGAAAGAAGTACTGACACCTGTAATAATATAGATGACTTTGTAAACATTATGCTAAATGAAAGAAGTTAGTCATAAGAGACTACATATTATATGTCTCCATTTATAGAAATGTCCAGAATAGGTAAATCTATATATGGAGAAAGTAGGTTAGTGGTTGCTTAGGACTGGGGATAGGGGAGGTGGGAGGATATGGCAGTGATCCCTCGAGGATACAGGATTTCTTTTTGAGATGACAAAAATGTTCCAAAATTGACTGTGGTGATGGTTATACATATCTGTGAATATACTAAAAACCATTGAATCGTACACTTTAAATGAGTGAATTGCATGGTGGATTGGCTATATCTCAAAATAAGTTGTTTAAAATACACAGACATACACACACAGAGAAGCCAGAGGAGGGAAGCACAGCAACAAGAAGTGATCATAGGGTATCTGGGTGTAGCACTGACAGTGTCTGCTACAAGCTCTTTCTCATCTTAAGGCTTCAGCCTTGTCAACTAGCTAAGCCCTCCTTATCCTTCAGATACCAGCAAGAGGTTCAGCCTTTCCTGACCACTCTGAAGTGGTCAAAATCCTCTTTTGTTAAAAACCAGGTACTTCTCCTTCATAGCATGTATCTCGATTGCCATTTTGCAATATTTTATTTAATGCTTATATCCCCTACTAAACTGTGAGTTTCATGAGAGCAGAAATTGAGTCTACCTGTTCAATGTATGTTTGGCACAGGGAAGAAACTTAACAAAGTTTGTCAGATGAATGAATGAAAGGATGAATGCCAAATCTTTTCGATTAGTAGGGGCTGCCTACAGCACCTGGTTGGCTCAGTAAGAAAGAATTCTATGTTTGATTAATGATGTCTGCCATGGGTGCTGGCAGGGATATAAGTAGTAGATGTGCCCTAAATTTGCTATCCTTGAACTAGTAGAGCCACCCCTCAGGGTCCCCTATCAGAGGGGGTTCAGGTCTGCCTAGAAACAGAGTCTCACCTCTCCCCCAGCTCCCAGGAGAGGAGTGCAGTTGTCATCCCAGCCGGCCTTGCTAATCAATCACACAGCCACGCAGAGCCCATTAGGATTTGTCACTGAGCCACATCCAGGTGCGCCAGGCAGGAGCAGGCAGGCTCATTTGCATCTCATCTACATGAAATTTGCATACACCTCCGCAGCCCCCATCTCCTTGCAATTTTTAAGTTAAAATGTCATTACCGCTCCTGTGAAGCCTGTTATTTCTTGATTTCATTCTCCCTGTTCCTCTCCCCCCACTCCCTCCTATGCCTTAGACACTCAAGCATGGACTGGGAAAAAGGAGGTAGGAGTTTGAGCTTGGGTTCTGCTGCTGATTCACCGGACTGCCCTCTCTGGGCCGTGTCTGTGGCTCCAGGCACAGGGGCAGGGTTGTGGCTAAGGGAGCTGCCCTTCTAGCAGCCACAGGAAGGCTAATAGGAACTTAGCCACTCGGTGTTCGCCACACTAAGCACCCGATTCTCTGCCGCCAAAGCCTTTGCCCATGCTGTACCCTCCTCCTGGAAAAGGCTTCTCCCTTTTCTACATGTCAAAGTATTACCTATCCATAGTAAATGTCCAACAACCTCCACCCATCAGTTCTGCTTCTACCGTGCCACCGGCCACTGGTTGTAGGCTGACTGGTTGAGGCGATAGACACGTGACTCAAGGTAACCAATAAGATTCTTTTTTCCCAGGATTTGGCTTTGGGAATCAGAGATGCTAGGTGGGTTCTGGAGGGAGCATGTGCGGAGGACCACTGTGTCCAGCTATGTCCGTAGAAAACAGAAAGGTGGTCCCCACTGAGGAAAAACCAAAGCTGACAGGCTCAGAGCCAGACTCAAGAGGCCCAGAGGCAGCAACGGCCCTGGCTCGGGCTCAGACCCTTCCCTCCACCCCCAGGTCAGGCTGCCCTGCTCGCTAGGGTTCCCCTGGTCACCCCCCTGCCCCTAAGCCTCCACTTCCATCCTCCATTCATGCTTGAGCAAGCTCTAGGGCTTCTGTTCCTGGCCTGGGTGGAGCAATAAGCAGATTTAATGTGAGCTCAATGAACTTTTTGGGGGAAAGAACTTGATATTTGACATCCCAAAGAGACCATTGAAGTCATGAAGATAAAAAGCTGAACTTCAGTGAGCTCTTATGTAGTTATACTGAGAAAAGGGAGCACGATAAGCTCTTTAGAAACAGGTGTTTCTTAGGACCTTAATCTTGACATGATTATGACCCTGCCCAGGGGCCACCTCCAGGAAGCCCACCCTGATGCCCCTACCCAAGCCTCTCCTACATCTCCGAACCCCACAACCCTCGGTGTGTCCTTCATGCCCAGCACTCAGTCCCTTAGCCTGGACTTCATTCCCCGCAACACTGTGAGTAACCCCAGGGCAAGGCCATATCTGAAAGTGTGAGGTCTGCCTTTTTCAGCATAGTTAATAATCACATTAATACAAAGTAATAACGACCTCTTATTTACTGAGCATATATGCTGTGCCAGCATTGTGGGTCATTTACCCTGAGTTATCTCTTTTTGTTCCCGCAACAGTTCTACGGGGGTCAATTGGTTCTATAGATCAGGAAACTCAGGGTCAGAGGGAATAGGTAACGGGTCTGAGCTCATACAGCCCTTACATGGTAGGACCAAGATGCAAACTCAGCAGTCTCATTTCAAAGTATGTCCTACACGTAGACTTGAATTCCCCTAGGAGTGCCCCCTGACTTGAGGAATTCTCAAAAATATACCTGCCCCGGAACACTTTGGCCCTAACCTGTGGCTGATGCCTGAGTGACTGACATTGGTGCGTCTAGTACTTGGAGTTAGGCAATGACTATTGCAGTTGTCAATAGAGAGACCAGACATCCCTACTTGTCTTGGCCAGTCCTGGTTAATGCTAACAATCACCACATCATTATTAATAGCTCTCCAAATTGTTCTGGTTTGGCCAATAAATGACATGGTCACCCCACCCATCTGGTGTGTTTCATTAAGAACAATGTCTCCCCAGGCATGGGTGGAGGGTAAGGGTAGATCTGGTGTCCTCCACACCCCTGAGCAACAAGACTGGAGCTAGGAAGTCCCAGGCCAGGGCAGCCTCAGGGCCGATGGGATGTGGGGATGAGTCATGGCGACTGTCTGATCTGCTGAGATCTGCAGGGAGGAAGCCGCTCACTCGTGCCTGCTCCTCCATGGTTCCCACGCATCCAGCTCACCCTGGGGAAGGAGCTAGGGTCTAACTGCAGCTTCTGCTCCTCGCCTCAACCCCTCTGGAAAGGGTGGCCTGGTTTCCTCTCTGGGCTTCGATTTGCCTATCTGTTAAAATGGGGACAATTGACCAGGCACAGTGGCTCATGCCTGTAATCTCAGCACTTTGGGAGGCCAAGGCGGGTGAATCACTTGAGGCCAGGAGTTCGAGACCAGCCTGGCCAACATGGTGAAACCTCGCCTCTACTAAAAATACAAAAAAGTAGCCAGGCGTGGTGGCGCACGCCTGTAATCCCAGCTACCCTGGAGGTTGATGCACAGGTGGAGGTTGCAGTGAGCCAAGATCACACCACTGCATTCCAGCCTGGGCAAACAGAGGGAGACTCTGTTTCCCCACCCCCCCCCCCCAAAAAAAATGGGGACAATTATCCTGGCTGCAGCTGCTAGGATAGCTGGGGTTGGGAAGTCTGTGGGGCCCACCTGCTTCCACACTTGCCAGGAACTCCTGACAACATAGCCGGATTCAGCCAGGGGCCCTGGGAGTTCTGGTTGCCAGTGGCCTGGGTCAGGAAGCTTCCAAGCACTTGAACAGGGCTGGGGGTATGCTAGCATGCCAGCACTTTCAGGGAGGGCCGCTTCCCACCCACAAAACGTGCCCCTGAGTGCAAGTGCCAGGCTTGGGGTCTTGTCCCAGCTCCACCATTCATTCTCTAAGTCACATATCCTCCTCTGGAAATGGGGGTGACAGAGGAGTCCTACCCTCTAGCACTGTTGGGGGGTTCTGTGAGGTGAAGCACTGGCATGTGAGTGCCATGAGTGGGAGGTGGCATGATTATTAATATTAGACCCTTTTTGTTTTGTTTTGTTTTGCTTTGTTTTGTTTTGTTTGAGACAGAGTCTCACTCTGTTGTCCAGGCTGGAGTGCAATGGCGCTATCTCGGCTCACTGCAACCTCCGCCTCCTGGGTTCAAGTAATTCTCCTGCCTCAGCCTCCCAAGTAGCTGGGATTATAGGAATGTGCCACCACACCTGGCTAATTTTCTTTTTTTTCAGTAGAGACTGTGTTTCACCATGTTGGCCAGGCTGGTCTCGAACTGCTGACCTCAGGTGATCCACCCGCCTTAGCCTCCCAAAGTGCTAGGATTACAGGCATGAGCCACTGTGTCCGGCCTAGACCCATGTACATACAAGGGATTCTGAAGCCCCAGAGGCCTCTGCTGGACTGCCTCAGTGGAAGAGGCAGGGCCCTGGGTTCTAGTCTCAGCTCAGCCTCTGGCTTATTGTGAGACCCCAGCGAGTCCCTCCCTGTCTGGAGTCCAGGGCTCCTCCTCCAACTCACTCTCATTGCTGGGGAGAGGATCAGATGGTGGAGGAGGTGGAATTCAGGAATGAGCCAGGTCAGGGAGCCATTGTTAATTTGATTGGGGGCTGCTCAGGCTTTCAGATCTCCCCGCAGAGCCTCGGCAACTCTGACCTCAGTGATTCCTTCCACTCTGCAATCATCTGCGGCAGCCGCGTGACCCTGGTGCACCCCAGCCTCTGGCGGGGACCCCATTCCACCCAGCTGCTCTGTGAAGGCCTCTGCTCTGGGGGTCCATGCCAGGACCCCAGCTCCACCCTCCAGCCCACCACACATAATCACATCCTGTGGCTTGGGAGGCATTTCCCAGCTAGTTTTGTCTCAACATTTCTCCATCTGCTTGGCCAACTCTACTGTAAATGCTGGGGTCACCAGGGCTGACGTGTGGGTGGGAGCTGTTTGCTTATGTTTCCTTCATTTTTTTTTTTTTTGAGACAAAGTCTCACTGTGTTGCTCAGGCTGGAGTGTAGTGGCACAGTCTTGGCTTACTGCAACCTCCGCCTCCCAAGTTCAAGCAATTCTCCTGCCTCAGCCTCCCGAATAGCTGGGATTACGGGCACCTGCCACCATGCCTGGCTAATCTTTTTATTTTTAGTAGAGAGGGGGTTTCACCATGTTGGCCAGGCTGGTCTCGAACTCCTGACCTCGTGATCCGCCCACCTTGGCCTCCCAAAGTGCTGGGATTACAGGCATGAACCACCGTGCACCCGGCCCTCCTTCATTGTTTGTAAGAAAAAAGGCTTAACTCTGACTGAGAATACAGTCCTACTGCAGCAATGGCTCAGGGTTACTTTGGAAGGAGACCCAGGATTAAGCATGGGCTGGTTTTGACCAGAAAAGGCTTGGATGGGTCTGGAGGGAGGGGTCTGAACAGCTTGGGCTCCCAGTAACAGGGCTGATGCTGCCTTGAATCAGTGAAGCAAGGTTCTAGGCCCAGACTCCACATGGGGGCCTCTCACCATGAGCATGGGGTAGATTGTATTGGCCATAGTTGGCCACAACATCACCCATCCCATATGGTTTTCTTACGCTGTGACCTTGACTCTCCTTCTATTGAGCAGTGGGGGTCTATGTTCCTTCCCCTTTGTGACTGTCTTGACAATAGAGTGTGATGGAAGTGACAACATGTGGCTTCCATAGCTAGGTCATAAAAATGCATTTCCACCTAACTCTCTTGGAGCCCAGCCACCATGCTGTGGGGAAGCCCAAACAGTCTATGCAGAGAGACCCCTCAGAGGGGCCACGTAGAGGTGCTCTGGCAACAGCCCAGCTGAACTCCCAGCTGACAGCCAGTGTCAATCCTCAGACCTGCAAGTGCAGATGCTTCCAGATGATTCCACCCTCCAGCCATTGAGTCACCCTTCAAGTGTTCCCAGCTGACATCACGTATCAGGACAAACTGTCTCTCCTTATGCTATGCCTGCTATCCTGACCCACAGGACCCTGCGAGTTTTACACCACGAAGTTGTGATGCAGTGATAGTAGCCAAACAGTGTCTTGCCAGGGTCTGCCCCACCCAAAGTTCAGGGCAGCTTCTGTCTTCCTATGGGCGGCTTCACCCCCCTCTCATCACTGGACCTCACCCAGAACATTCCTTCATTGTCCAGGTGAAGAAACAGGATCAGAGGGATGAGGGACTTGCCTAGAGTCCCACGGCCTTCCGTGGTTAACTGCTTTGCACAGGGGAAGCTCTGATTCAGTCAGATCCCTTAGAGCAATCAGCAAACTGCAGCCTGTAGATTGGCCTCGGGACCTGTTTTTGTAAATAAAGTTTTACTGCAACACAGCCATGCCTATTCATTGATAGATTATCTGTGGCTGCTTTTGAACTACAAAGACACAGTTGGTTCTGGCCCACAAAGCCTATTATCTGTCCCTTTACAGAAAAGGTTTGCAGATAATTCCTGCCTTAAAGATGTAAGGAAGCGGCAGTCCTTTCTAAAGGCTCAAACCTCTCCAAGAGACAAGTTGAAAATTTTTTTAGCAAAGAGCTCTAAGGAGGTCTGGGTTCTAATCTCTGCGCCCTCTCCAAGCCTCAGTTTTCTCCTCTATGAAACAGGGCAGTAACTGTTGCTGCTAATTGAGAGTAAATTAGGGTAAAGCCTCCCCTGTGTGCCAAGTGCCAGCATGCAGCAGGCCCTCTTGTGAGCCCCTGCCCACCCCCTTTCCTTCCACCCAGAGAAGTTTCTGGCATTCAGGGAGGGCAAGAATGGAGCTGGAGCCCCCAGGGAAATTAGCTCATCCGCCTTGGTGGCTTCACCTCATTTAGGATGTTAATTAAATAGATTTGCATAATGTGCTCACTGAGGTGTTATTTTACTTGCACATTTAAATCATTTAATCATCTGTGTTTTCCCCTCTCTTAATCATGATGATGCCAAGATGGGGAGGGGGTGGTGGAAGAAAGAAAGGAAGCTATGTGTCTCCAGGTCTCTCTGTGTCTCCTTTCTCTCTGTCTCTGTCTCTCTGTCCGTCTCTCTTCCTCTCTCTCTCTCACACACACACGCACATATGCAAACACATTGACAAAATGCACTCAGGTTTGTAACCCCAGTGTCCAATGCATCCTCCATCTCCATCACTGGACTCCAGCCACACCGGCCTTCTTGCCATTCCTTACACATCAAGTGCATTCCTGCCCCAGGATCTTTGCACTTACTCTTCCCTTGGCTTTGTATACCCTTGGTGTACTCATTCCCCAGATATCCACATAGTTTCCTCTCTCACTTCCTTTAGGTCTTTACTCAAACGTTACCTCTTGAAAGAGGACTTCCTTGACCTCACTGTCTTATTTAGCAGTTCTGTCCCTCTGTATTTTCCTGCAAAGTACTTATCACCGGCCAATATTATGTATACACATGTTTGTTTATTTGTCTGTTGTTGGACTCCCTCAGCAGAATGTAAGCTCCACAAGGGCAGGCCTTTAATTTTTGGGTTTTGTTCTTTTGCTTGTTTTTTGTTTACTGCTGTCTCCCCTAGTGTTTAGAACATTGCCTGGCACATAGCAGGTACTCAGTAAATATTTGTTGAATGAATGAACACGCATGGAAGGTTTGCAGGCCCCCAAAGGATAAGCTGTGATACTGTGAGGTTACAGGCTGCCCAGGGATGCACACCAAGCCGCTGCCAGCTCTGAGTCTAGCAGCCAGTCTTGCTATCACGCAGGCTGGGCTTTCTCCAGAAATGGAGCCATTTCTGCAATAGCTCTGAAAGCACTGACGCCACGTCAGCTTCCCCTGAGGGCTGACATTTCTCAAGCAGCCTTCTGGGGAACTGGGCAGTTGTTTTGCAACTCAGGCATCATACGTGGGGTACCCTAGGGGCCAGGCTGATAAGCCCCAGAGGTCACAGTCTGACCACAGAGGGCACAGGGAGGAAGGCTCTGGGGTCACAGGGCCAGAGGTCACTGAGAGTCCAACAGCTGCTGTGCCCACTTCTCAGTGGATATTTTGAGCCAAGGTCAGAGCTGGAAGCCCAAGCTGCTTCTGCGTGCTTGCATAGATGAGGAAACTGAGGCTCGGTGAAGGGATTCAGCTTGTCCAAGTCTCCTGAACAGGACTGGCCTCCCCCAGGAGCTCCTGGGGCTGAGAGACCCTCATCAGGGAAGCTCTGGGTGGCTGGCTGTTCCCACTGTCTGTGTTGTGTCTCTTCCCCCACTAGATCTCAGCTGAGACGTCACTTCCTCAGGGAAGCTCTCCTTGATGCCCTCAGTTTACATCAAGTTTTTCTGTTCTCAGAGAACCTCCCTCTTTCCTTTCAGAGCTCACATCTCTTTGCAGTGATGACCTGGTGTCTGTCTCCCAGCCAGCCTCTAAGCTCCATAAGGGGAAAGACCAAGCCAGGCTGTTCTGTTCACCGCCCTGCTCCTGAGCCTAGCTCATAGTGGGTGCATAGTAGGGTCTTGAGGACTATTTGTTGAATGAGTGAGCACAGCATGTGCAAAAGTGTGGAGGCGGAACAGTACGGAAGCATTTTGCAGACAGCGAGGTGACCACAGAAACTGGCCAGGTCCTGGGATGGTTGCTCAGCTCCTCTGTGCACCTGTAGATCCTAGGAATCCCTTTCTGATCTCCAGCACAGCAGCTCCTGATATGCACTTATCCCCAGCAGCCTGCACCTGTGTCTCTGTCGTGGGCTGCCCCAGCTGCCAGAAGTCCTTTTGCCTGGACATAGAGGGAGCTGGAAGTGCCCGAAAACTGATGCCTCCTCTCATTCCCTTGGGGGTACAGCCACTACCCAACGACTGCCAGGGCAGGGGCAATAGAGACTCCAGCTCTCTTCCGCCTCTGCCCTGCCTGAGGACTCACCTTGCTGGCATTCCTGTACTTGGCCTCCTTCCCTTCCCTATCTAGCATCCCGCCTGGCTCTGGTGTTTCCTGTACTTGGCCTCCTTCCCTTCGCTACCCAGCATCCCGCTTGGCTCTGGTGTTTCCTGGGGTCACTCCCTAATAAGCCACTTTCACACAAATCCTGTCTCAGAGCCTGCTTTGGGGTCCCACCTGCAACAGCCCGTCCCACTGAGGACCCCTTTCACACCTGGCTGAAGCTCGGATCAGATACCCCTGGATCCAATCCCAACTCTACTTCTGAGCAGCTGTAGGATCCTGGGTGAAACTTCATTGACCTCCCTGACCTCCACAGCAAACAGTGTGGCAAGAATTAGAACCAGTATTTGTGGGAAACCTGATCCAGGCCAGGCCCTTATCCAGGGATAAGTGGTCATCGTCATCATCATCATTTTCTAACTCTAAGCACCTAGAATTCCACCACCTGTTCAGCCTCAAATGGGAAACGTGGGTTCAGAAAAGCAAGCACCCTGGCCCTGAGCCGTGGACATGCCATGAACTTGGAGGTCTTATTCCAGGAAGTTCCAAAGAATCTGCCTGGTCTCCAGCTTCCCCGCCTCTGCTCCCTGTTCTTGGCCCAGCCCCCAGCATCTCCATAACCTCCTCCTGACCTTTGTCAGAGCAGAAACCTAAACATCAGGGCTTGGGGAAGCCCCAGAAGATCCACATGGGTTGGACTCACTTCGTCTTTCCCCAAGCCTCCTTCAGGGTGACTGGCTTCCCAGCAGTTCCTTAAAGAGGCTGCACTGTCTTGCCCCACCAGGCCTTGGCACCTGCTGTTCCCACTTGCCTACCTGGCTAACTCCTACATATCGTTTAAAAGATAGCTCCAACATCACCTCCTCCTAGATGCCTTCCCTGACCATGCTCTTTCCTAGGTTAGGTTTGGTGCCCTCTTTCGGGATCTATGTCTCCTGTTCTTGACCCAACAACATGGAGCTGGCTACATTTGTGCATATTGATAATTGCCTCTTGTCTTGTCTGTTTCCAGGAGAATTGAGACTGGTTTGTGAAAAGCTAAATCCCAATCACCCAGCATAGCACCTGGAATACATTATGTGGGCAAACAAATGTTTGATGAATGGATGGATTGATGGATGGATGGATGGAAGGATGGATGGATGGATGGATGGAAAGATGGATGGATGGCAACACCAAGCCACCTCCACATCTTCCATCTAAGTTTGTTCCTCCATGTGAGGGAGTGGTGAGTATGACTGCTCATTGTGGGTTTGACTGTTTGTGTTTTTATTTTTTGCTTTGTTTTGGTTTTCCCTTTTTCTAAGGAAATGGTTTTAGTCCTGAGGGCTCTGTCCTAACTCTCTTGTTACCAGGAAAGTGTGGACCCTGGCATCACAGGAGCATCTGTTTGACACACTCCTCTTTGGGGGTGTTCCAAGCATACCCTGCATTCTCCCAAGCCTCTCCTCTCCTCTTAGAGGCCCTGCAATGCGGTGGATGGCTAGACTTGAGAGTGACTCAGATCTGAGTTCTAGTCCCAGGCCCACCACTTTACCAGCAGACTAATCTTAGTAAGCCACTTCTCTGCTGTGTGCCTCAGTTTCCCCAGTTGTTAAATGGACAGCTTAGATGTCCTTACAGGCATTCTGGGGCTCCTCTCCCTGCTTCTTGCCTAGGCAGAAAATAAAGGGTCAAAATATGTGCTCAGGGAGAGAACAGGGGTCTCTTTTCAGAAGAAAAGGCTAGAGCTCAGGGCAGGGCTGGGGGCCTCAGGCTCTGGGGCCTGAATGTCCTGAAAGCCCAGCCTTGGCCCTGGAGGATGGCGGCTTTGCCACTGAGGCCTCCAGCGGGGCTGGGCAGGCTGAGCTGGCAGAGGGAGGAAGCTTGTTTTTCAGGGCCTGGCCTTCCCTGGGGGGTGTCTCCTGCTTGGCCTGCAGGGCTTGGCCCAGCCCCTGGCAGAGCCAAACTCAGCTATGGGTGGACGGTACTGAGAGTGAGCCTGTCCTAGCCCATGTCCCTCTCTGATACTGACCCAGACCCACTGTAGCCTTCCCTGCTTTTTAGCCTGGACATATCTTCCCTGGAGGCTACCCCCCGATGCCTGGCTCTCTTGGACCAGGGACAGGCAGGGGTGAGAGCTGAGGGGGCTGCCTGAAGCAGTGACCATAGAAATTGATCAGGGCAAGATTTCTGGCCACCAGAGCATGGGGGTTAAGAGCCTGATGGCCACTTTTTAAAATCCCAGCTCTGCCTTTTGACCTTTCTGGGACTTAGTTTACTTAGTAAAATGGACTAATGATAGTATCAGTGTTTTTTGTTTTTGCTTTTGTTTTGAGATGGCATCTCACTCTGTCACCCAGGCTGGAGCACAGTGGTGCGATCTCAGCTCACTGCAACCTCTGCCTACTGGGTTCAAGCTATTCTCCTGCCTCAGCCTCCCGAGTAGCTGGGACTACAGGTGTGCACCACCACGCCTGGCTAATTTTGGTATTTTTAGTAGAGACAGAGTTTCACCATGTTGGTCAGGATGGTCTCGAACACCTGACCTCGTGATTCACCCGTCTTGGCCTCCCAAAGTGTTAGGATTACAGGCGTGAGCCACTGCGCCCCACCTGTTTCAATGTCTTAAGGTTGCTAAGAGGGTTGGTAAGTGATTGATCACTCATAACAGTATTTGGCACAAAGTAAATGCTCTATAAACTTTATACTTGGGTCCATGGACCCACAGAGGCCAGAAATCTAGACTTTTCTCTGAAGGTTGAATTCATGGGGGGCTGCGTAAAACCAAGCAGCTGAGCAGGTGGCAGCAGTACAGAGAGAATGTCCAGGCAGGGAGGAGAGAGAAGGGAGGGAGGGTCCCTGGCAAAGTGGAACACGAGGTGGGGTCGAGGGAATGTTTCTTTGGCTAGGAAGTGGGCTGCTTTAAGTTCAGAGACCCTGGGAGTGTGTGTATGCAGTGAGGAGGCAGGGTGAGGGTGATCCCCTGAACTGACCTCAGGAGAGCCTGGTCCCAGCCCCAGTTCAGACCTGCGTTGCTGTGTGACATAGGAAAGCCACCACCCATTTCTAAGATTTGAGTTTCCTCTCCTTCTTGGAACAATCTGGTCTCCAGGAGTTGCTTCCTGAACAATCAGTGATTCTGGCCGAACCCAGAAGACCAGCTCAGGAGCCCGGCTGAGTCAGTGTCCAGAAGATGTGGTCCTGAACTCCGCTCTGATTGTCACTTCCCTTGTGCCCATTTTACAGATGAGCACGCAGGCTCAAAGACTGACTCACTAATAGTTCCCCACCTGTTCATGGCAGGGATGGGTTCAGAGCTCTCCTGCGTGCATAATAATCCACTTATAGGAAATAAACATATCTGTCTCTACAGTGCACAAAAACACCTGGGTAGATTTTTACACACCGGGGGGCATTTGTTTGGGATGATCTGATTTTTTCTTTTTTTTTTTTTTTAAGAGATGAGATCTTGTTCTGTTGCCCATGCTGGAGTGCAGTGGTGCAATCATAACTCACTGCAGCCTCAAACTCCTGGGCTAAAGAGACAGGATGATCTGATTTTAAATACAAGCTGCCTCAAGTATTCAGAATTTGCTTTTGGGGTTTCCAGGTCGACCCAGAGTGTCTTAGAGAAAAAGCAGCTACCCATTGAGTAGGGCTGGAACTGAGGCACCAGGGGAGACATGGGAGATGAGGCGAGTATATTAAGAAGCTGAGCAGACAGAGAAAACAGTGGCCAGGAGGTGGGTGCTCGAATGCTGACACTCATGTCTGACCAAGCTGCCATTTCTTAGAAAGCTGAGTCCATGCTGTTGAAGTCATGTGCTCCTCAGGAGGCAGCAGGGCTTATTTATTTAATGATGACATACCTGACATTTCCATTTGGATGTCTGAGGCAACTCAAACTTCACATGTCTCAAACTCAAACTTCTGCTTTCGCCCCACTAAACCAGCAACTCCTGCAACCTTCCCTTCCCGGGCAATGACAACTCCCTCCTACTGAGGTCAAAACCCTTGGAATCACCTTTGACACGCCTCTCACACGCACACTCAGTCTGTTAGTAAATTCTGTTGGCTCTACTTTCAAGATGTATCCAGAACGTGACCCTTTCTCACCAGCTCCCCTACCTCCACCATTGTCTCTGGCCTGGATTATTTCAATAGTCTCCTTACTGGTTCAGCAGCTCCAAGCTTCCCCGTAATGTGATCTGTTCCTCACACAGTATCCGGAACATCCTTTTAAAAATCTAAGGCACATTGCTTCTCTCCTCTGTTCAAACTCCTTCAGTGGCTCCCATTTCTCTCAGAGCAAAGGACAATGTGTTTGGAATGTTCTAGAAGGCCTAAACAGTCTAGTCCTCTTTGCTGGTTCCTTACAATACCTCTGGGAAGTAAGCAAGGGAGGAGGAATTGCTCCCACTTTACAGGTAGCAGAACTGAGGCCCAGAGGGTAGAGATTATGTTCTTAGGTCTGAAGCACAGAGCATGTGGGGGCTCTGTCCGTCACTCTGTCCCAGAAGCCTGAGTAGGCAGCTGCTGGTGCCTCTAATCAGATGGGTCTGCTCAACCCACCCTCTCTGCAGAGCACTGGCCCCCTGCCCATTCTCCAGAGTCAGACCAGATGCCAAAATAGGCTAATGGACACCGTGTGCTTGGCTGGGGCAGGCCCTCGGATTCCACCCCTTTTTAGGCTAGATCAGAGCAGTGCATGGTCCACTCTGAGCTGCTGAGTAGCCATCAGAGGAATTTAAATCCCCTAAGCCCTGGAGTGGGTCAGCCTCAGGCAGCTTACTTTGCCCCTGCTCTGACTCTGACTTGCTGAGTGAGCCTGGGCAAGTCACTTCTGTCTTCTGAGATACACTCTTTCCACCTGCATGGAGTTCTAACATTTAGGCACTGGAAGAACAAATTGATGGAAGCTGGGCTGTATCCCTATGATAACCAGAAGCCAGAAGATATCAACGATCAGCTTGCTATTGCCGTTGACAAAGGTCCACAGTGGAATGTCACGGGGCTCTGTCCCCAGCCCCATCCTGTTCAACATGTCTATAAATCATTTTAAGGTGGGAAGATGGCCCAGTACAGCACAGCTAGGAGGGGCAATAAGGCATTGGATATCAGAACCAGGATGTCCAAAGACCCTGACCAGCAGGACCGATGGGCTGAATATAAGAAAATAAAATATAATAAGAATGGCTGGGCACAGTGGCTTGTGCCTGTAATCCCAGCAATTTGGGAGGCTGAGGAGGGAGGATCACCACTTCTGGCCTTGTCTTAAGGCCAGAAGCTTAAGACAACCCTGGGCAACATAGAGACACCCTGTCTCTACAAAAAACACACCAAAAAATTTAGCTGGGCGTGTTGGCACGCACCCGTAGACCTAGCTACTCAGGAGGCTGAGGTGGGAGGATCGCTTGAGCCCCAGTGATCGAGGCTGCAGTGAGCTCTGAATGTGCCACTGCACTCCAACCCAGGTGACAAAGCAAGATCCTGTCTCTAAAAAGAAATGAAAAACAATATAATAAGAGTCACTACCAACCCCCGACCTTGGACTCAAATGCCAACAACTTAGTGTGGGGTGAAAAGGTTAAGATTGAGATGGAGTGGGTTTAAATCAGTAGTTCTCTAGGGGACATTTTACATAATTCATGGGGGGTCGTTTTTGCACTGGGGGCTCTAGTGACATTTACAGGGCAAGAATCGGGAATGCTGGGCACCCCACAATGGATGGGACAGCCCCACACAACAGAAATTTGCCCAACATCCTTCATAGCTTTCGAACGTCTGCCAGATGCAAACCTATGACAACTACATATAGGTCAGCGTTTAGTACATTGCAGTACTGAAAGGTTTCTACAAGAAGTTACGTGAAAAACTCAATAACTTAGAAAAAGGTTGTTATTGACAAGGACACATAAATGCAATGACAGTGAGTCAATTATTGAATAACATTCTCATTCCTCACAGCCTGTCTAGTCAATGTGTTAAACCATTGCCAGCTACATATCTAGAGGAAAAGGGTTCCAGGGCATGAATGCAGTTACAGCAAAAACAGTGAAACCAACTGCAGATACTTATAATAGAGGAGATGTGTGACTCTTTTTTACAATCTTAGAGACAAGTATTAGTAAATTAGTAGAGATGCAAGAAATCTCACTGAATCTCACAAAATGACCATAAGGATGATCGTTTTGAATCTATGTTGTGAAAAGGATACATTGAGATGATGGGGTCACCATTTGTTTTCCAATCTTGCTCAGAAATTGTTTCCATAGGTGCCCCACATGGCTCCTTCACAGCATTTTGGATTAAAGCTGCTTTCATGATCTATCTGCATGTCGCCTCTGCCTCATGAGGGATCTGAAGGCAGAATGCACCCCTCCATTGCAGATGGGATTTTCAAGGAAGATGCATTTTCTGGGTGACCACACAGCTACCGTGGCCTGTGTCATAAAATGGGAATTCTTTGTCACTGCACACTGAGGCTCACCTTCCTTATTTCCCCCACTGACAGGCGGCAGCGTGTCTTGGGGTACTCTCCTTACTCCAATTAAAGTCTTTCTTTCTGTTATCACATACAAATAAGTCAAGTCTGTTATGTCTTGCCCAAACAGCAGATTTTAATCTTCACCCTCACCTCCTGCCATTTCATTTTTCTGACTTCTTTTGTGCCATGGCGTCTGGTCTACTTACATCTCTGGAATCCAGACTTACTAATTATGGGCATACAGGGTTCTGGCATCTTCATTATGCCTTCTGGGGTCGTTGTGCCCAAGAATATATTGAAATACACATTATTTTATCATAAGTCACTTCCATTTTATGTCTCCTTTATATTAGAGACATTGCATTGATGTGTGTGTGCATTATCATCCATAAGTTTCATTTCGAACATTTAAATGAAAGAAAGCTTAAAATGTTTGATAGAGAAAGGGGGCTTGGGTAATCACACTTGTGGGTTTAAACCCAGCTACAATGTGTTCACGTGTTCATCAAAAGATATGTGGCCAGGTGCAGGGGCTCATGGCTGTAACCCCAACACTTTTGGAGGCCGAGGTGGTAGATTGCTTGAGCCCAGGAGTTTGAGACCAGCCTGGGCAACGTGAAAAAACCTCGTCTCTACCAAAAAATACAAAAATTAGCCAGGTATAGTGGCACGCACCTGTAGTCCCAGCTACCTGGGAGGCTGAGGTGGGAGGATCGCTGGAGCCTAGGGAGGTAGAGGCTGCAGTGAGCCCTGATGGTGGCACACCACTCCAGCCTGGGTGACAGAGTGAGACCCTGTCTGAAAAAAAAAAAAAAAAAAAGATATGTGCAAGAATGTTTACAGCAGCACCATTTGTAATAGTTCCAAACTGGAAACAACATGAATATCTTGAATATCTCGAAGCTGAATGGATGCATAAACTGAGGTGAGCCACACAATGGAGCACCCACAGAAGGAAGAATCAGTCACTCACAACTACACTTGGCAGTACAGATGGGTCTCACACGAGCATAAGGTTGAGTGAGAGAAGCCAGCCACAAAAGAGTGCGTGCTGAGTGACACCACTTATAGAAAGTTCTAGAATCAGCACAACTCATCCATGCTATTAAAAGGCAGGACAGTGATTACCTGTGGGGGATGGAGGGTGGATGGAAGCACAAGGGGAACTTCCGGGGTGATGGTCATGTTCCTGTTTCGTGATCTGATGGGTTCAGTTTGTAAAAATGTATCAAGTTGTACAGTGATGTGCACTCTTCTGTATATAGGCTCGTATTAGGGTTCTCCAGAGAAACAGAAAACAGAACCAATAGGGGTGTGTGTGTGTGTGTGTGTGTGTGTGTGTGTATGTGTGTAGAGAGAGACAGAGAGAGAGACAGAGAGAGCAGAGAAGAGGGGAGAGATTTATTTTATTTTAAGGAATTGGCTTACATGACTGGAGGCTGGCAAGTCCCAAATCTGCAGGCTAGGCTGGCAGGCCGGAGACCCAGAAAAGAGCTGACATTGCAGTTCAAGTCTGAAGGCCGCCTGCTGGCAGAACTCAGTCCTTTCCTATGAAGGCTTTTAATGGATTGACCAAGGCCCACCCACACGGTAATCAGATTGCTTCACTCTGTCTGCTGCTTTACCTTCGTGATCTGCTTTACTCAATTCGGCTGATTTAAATACTAATTTCATCTTTAAAAAGATGGTGGCCTAGCCAAGTTGACACATAGAATCAACTGTCACAATGCTATACCTCAATTAAAAAGTGATTAAAGTGGGGGGTGCTTTGGACTGAGGGTTGAGAACCACTAATTTAGTTGAAAGCTCATAAAGGGACCCACATTTTTTTTTTTGAGATGGAGTCTCGTTCTGTCTCCCAGTCTGGAGTGCAGTGGCGCGATCTGCCTCCCGGCTTCAAGCAATTCTCCTATCTCAGCCTCCTGAGTAGCTGGGACTACAGGCGCATCCTGCCACACCCAGCTAATTTTTTTGTGTTTTTAGTAGAGACAGGGTTTTGCCATGTTGGCCAGGCTGGTCTTGAACTCCTGATCTCAGGTGATCTGTGCGCCTCAGCCTCCCAAAGTGCTGGGGATTACAGGCGTGAGCCACTGTGCCCAGCCAGGGACCCACATTTTAATTACAGTCACCAAAGGGCCAGTTCTGTATTTGGTTGCACAAGCAGGAGTATTGTAATTGGATCAAGGAAGAGGATGTGTGTTCCCCCGTCCTCCCCCCTCCCTCCTCCACCCCTCCTCCCCCTTTCTGCTGATTTTTCATTACCTGGAGAATTTTGGTCATTTCTGAAGGCTATTCCTTTGTAGTGACCCAGCTTGTCATGGGAATTATGTGGCCAAGGGAGTAGCCAAGAAAGAATGACTGGTATCTCAAAGAAGCATGATTCACACAACAAAACAAAAGCCTTCAAAAAAATAGGTGCCCTTAACCTGATAAAGGGCATCGATGAAAAACCTACGGCTAACATCATACTTCCTGGCAAAAGATTAGATGTTTCCCTCCCAAAGATCAGGAACAAGACAGCGATGCCCATTCTTGCCACTTCTATTCAACATCGTACTGGAGGTTCTAACCAGAGCAATTAGTTAAGAATATGAAATAAAAGACATCCAGATGGGAAAGAAATAAAACCATATTTGCAGATGATATAATCTTTTATATACAAGAAAATGGTAAGGAATCAACTAGAAAATTACTAAAACTAATAAACAAATTCAGCAAGGTTGTGCAACCTGTATGTAAAATCAATACATAAAAAGCAATTATATTTCTATACACCAGCAGTGAACAATCTAAAATCAAATTAAGAAAACAATTTAATTTACAATAGCATCAACAAGAATAAATTCTTAAGCATAAATTTAACAAAAGGTATACAAGACTTGTATACATAAAACTACCAAATATTGTTGAAAGAAATGAAAGATCTAAATAAATGGAGGCAGACTCCATGTTCATGGATCAAAGGACTTAATATTATTAAGATGGCAATACTCTTGGAATTCGTCTAAAGGTTCAATGCAATCTCTGTCAAAATTCCAGCTGGTTTTTTTTTTTTTTTTTTTTTTTTTTTTGCAGAAATTGACAAGATGATCCTAAAATTCATATGGAATTGCAAGAGACCCCAAATAAACTAACTACAATGCTCAGGTAATCAAGACAGTTTGGTACCAGCCTAAGGATAGACATATAGATTAAGGGAATAAAATTGAGCATCCAGAGATAAACCTTTATGCTTATGGCCAATTGCCTTTCAACAATGGTACCAAGACCATTCATTCAACAGGGGAAAGAAGAGTCTTTCAACAAATGGTGCTAGGACAACTAGATATTCACATCCACACCATACACAAAAATCAACTCAAAATGGATCATAGACCTAAATGTAAGTTAAAAGTATAAAACTCTTAGAAAAAAACACAGGATTAAACTTTCATGACCTTGGGTTAATCTAAGTCTTCTTATATATAACATTAAAGGCACAAATGGCTAAAGAAAAAAAGACTGAACTTCATTACAATTAAAAAGTTTTCTGCTGCAAACAATATCATCAAGAAAGTGGAAAGACAACCCACATAAACTAAAAAAAAAGGAAAATCACATATCTTATTAAGGGATTTGTATCCAGAGTATATAAGGAAGCTTTGCAACTCATATACATAATAAAATGTAAGGGGCCAGGTGCAGTGGCTTACACCTGTAATCCCAGCACTTTGGGAGGCCAAGGCAGGTGGATCACTTGAGGTCAGGAGTTTGAGACCAACCTGGCCAACATGGTGAAACCCCATCTCTACCAAAAATACAAAAATTAGCTGGGCATGGTGGCTGGCACCTGTAGTCCCAGCTACTGGGTAGGCTGAGGCATGAGAATCACCTGAACTCGGGAGGTGGAAGTTGCAGTGAGCCGAGGGTGTGCCACTGCACTCCAGCCTGGGCAACAGAGTGAGACTCTGTCTCTAAATAAATAAATAAAAGTCAAATAACCTAAAAATGGGCAAAGGATTTGAAGAGATATTTCTCCAAAGAAGACATGCAAATGGCCAGTAAGCACATGAAAAGATGTTCAGCATCTTCAGTCATTAGGGAAATGTCTATCTAAACCATGAAATATGACTTCATACCCACTAGACTGGCTCTAACGAAAATGAGAGACAACATTAAGTTTTGGCGAGGATATGGAACAATTGGAAATTCATACATTGCTAGTGGGAATGTGAAATCGTGCAACAACTTTGGAAGGCGGTTCGGTAGTCCCTGAAAAAGTTAAACATTGAGTTACCATGTGATCCAGCAATTCCACTTCTAGGTATATAGATCCAAGAGAAATGTTTTTTTCTCTGCTAAAAATTCCTTTATTAGAGAAGAAGAGGAAGACAAGTACCAGGAGATAACCAACAATAACTCCCACCACCACCCTTTTCTTTTTTTTTTTCTTTCGTTTTTTTTTTTTTTTGTATTGATATGGAGTCTCACTCTGTCACCCAGGCTGTAGTGCAGTGGTGTGACCTTGGCTCACTGCATCCTCCGCCTCCTGGATTCAAGCAATTCTCATACTTCAGCCTCCTGAGTGTCTGGGATTGACTACAGGCATGTGCCACCAGGTCCAGCTAATTTTTTTGTATTTTTAATAAAGACGGGGTTTCACCATGTTGGCCAGGCTGGTCTCGAACTCCTGACCTCAGGTGATCCACCCGCCTCGGCCTCCCAAAGTGCTGGGATTACAGGCATGAGCCACCACGCCCGGCCTCTTTTTCAAACAGAAGTAGTCCAATCCGGCAAAAATATCAATCCTTGGATTTGGAGACCAAACTCGTAACAGGCTTCTCTGACTTTCCCAGACATCTTCCATCCACACATAGACGGAGCCAGAGACTGTAATAAATCAATGTCAGGGGGAGGAAACGCCAAGATTGATGACACATGTGTCAGAATGTCTGAGTAAATTCCTGACTTTTCACCTGAGTGAGCTCTTGGAGGAGTAAACTGTTCTGCTGGCCAAAGGCAGGCGGCAATATCAAAACTCCACGTACACGCTCCAGTTGACTGAATACCATGAAGCGTTCTCAGCACAACAATATAGAAAAACTTCAAAGGAAGGATTCTTCCTCCAAATTCCACCAGTTACATCACTTGGGCCTGAAACCATCTTGTTAGACTACATGTTGAGGCTCGTCATTCTAGATTTGTTTGGTGCTGTCTTTGCATTCAAGTCTTGTTTTCCAGAAGAAATGCAGGCACAATCCAATTGCAATTTTATCATCATGCTTTTTGGATGTTACAGTAAGCCTCCATTCCCCTTCCTTCTCCTTCCCAAGTACCACTACAGCCTGCTCGGCCCCCGACCAACACCCCAACTTTCACTGACACAAGCCTCCCCAAGAGAAATTAAAATATACATCCGCACAAAAACACGTACACAAATGTTCACAGTATCATTATTCACAAGAGTTTAAAAGTGGAAACAAGCCAGGCTCAGTAGCCCACGACTGTAATCCTAACACTTTGGGAGGCTGAGGCAGGAGGATCGCTTCAGCCCAGGAGTTTGAGATCAGGTTAGGCAACATAGCGAGACCTTGTCTCTACAATAAAATAAAATAAGATAAAATTAGCCAAGTGTGGTAGCACGCATCTGTAGTCCCAGCTACTCAGGAGGCTAAGGGGGGAGGATCGCTTGAGCCCAGGAGGTTGAGACTGCAGTGAGCTGTGATTGTGCCACTGCACTGCAGCCTGGGCTACAGAACAAGACCCTGTCTCTAAAAATAAAATAAAAGTGGAGAGTACCCGAATGTCTATCAGCTGATGAATGGATAAATAAAATGCGGTATATTCATATAACAGAACATTATCCAGTAATAAAAAGAAATACAATTCTGATATGTGCCACGACATGGATGAACCTTGAAAACATTATGCTAAGTGAAAGAAGGCAGCCACAAAAGATAACATATTGTATAATTTGATTTATATGAAATGCCCAGAATAAGTAAACCTATAAAGATAGGAAATAGGTTCACGGTTGCCTAGGAGTGGGGAGAGAGGTAAGGAATTGACTCCTAATGGGCATGAAATTTCTTTTTGGGGTGAAGAAATGTTCCAAAATTAGATGATGATGATAGATCTACAACTTTGTGAATACACTAAACGTCAAATTGTACACTTTAAACATGGTATGTTCATTATGTCTCAGTAAAACTATTTAAATAAACAAAAAAAAATGAATTCTTGACTTATAAGTTCCATGGTAGAGATTTAGTCTAAGGAAATAGTTGCCAACAGGCTCAAAGATGTAGCTTATATCACCCAGAGTGCAGGTGCAGGACACAGAAACCACATTCACTACTTTCAACATAGGGAGATTTAATGCGAGAAGTTGTGTTCTTGCAAAATCATGGAAAATTCTGAAGCAAGGGACCTGGGCTTCTAGGAGCGATTCTTAGAATGTCACCGCTAAACTGGCCTGCCCAGGAAAGCTGCTGCCTCTGCCACCACCCAGAAGCTTGGGAACTATTGTCTTCAGGAGTTTGTCACCTTAGCTTCACTCCAGCCATCAGATGCGGCTGATGCCCCATCACCACTTCTCAACACCCAAGAGTTGGTGACCAGGCACTGTAGACACACCTGTGGGAGGTCTCAATGCCTTCACAACCAGCAAAAGGAGGAAGATGACCTCTCTCTTACTTTTGCCTTCAAAACCTCACACAAATGCATTTAATGGGAACTACTTAATTGGTCTCTAAACCCTAGCTGCAAGGGAGTTGGGAAATGCAATCTTCACCCTTCCAGCCCCTGCAGTTGAGGAAGGCATATAAGAGGGGGTTGAAATTGATATGGAATAAGCCAATCCACCTTATGAGCCCAAGGCTACAGGGATGGCACTGTTTGCAGTAGTGAAAAAATGGGAAGCAACCTAAATGCGCAAGAAAAGTGGGGCTTGACAAATTCAGCCATGTGATGAAATTCTTGATAGCCAATAAATATGTTGTAGAAATACATGTGATTTGAAAATGTTAGGCACACAGTGAAAAAAGGCAAGGGACAAAAGAGTGCTTAGAGGCAACTTTCATGACAGTAGGAATCGCATCCTCTGGTCCGCTGCCTGCCACATGCTTGGCACAGGGTGAATGTTCAACAAACATTTCCTGGACAATTGAGTGATTCCATTTTTAGAAACTAAATACATAATTATGTGAGTTTGTATCTACACATACACCTAAATATGATATAGCAACACTGAACAAGATAAAACAAAATGTTAACAGTTGTTCTCTTTGTTGGTGATACTTGGATTGACTTTAACTTTCATCTTTTGGCTGTTCTGTATTTTATAAATTTTAAACAGTGAGCATGTATTACGATTAATTAGGGGGAAACCACAGATGTTCTGTTGAAGCCACAGAAAGAAAACAGGCCTGCCTCATTTCTTCATCTCCCCCAGGGCCTGGCACAGAGCTGGGTCCAGAGTGGGCACCAAGCCACGCTTGGTGACCAAGTTGACCTCCGTTTGCTGCCTGAGAGATTTCAGGGTCTTTCTTCAGGAACTCCTGGGTAGAGTTGGGTTTCTAAGATAATCTAGACTCTAACATAGTAGTGCTTCTCCCCATCTAAAACTGGCCAAGCATCAAAGCCATGTGACCTTTCCCAAGTGCCAGCCTTGAGCGCTTGCTGAGGCTGTCCCAGGGTGACTTCAAGCTCAAGGATCTTTAAGAGCTAGATCAACTACTCAGCCCTGCCCCTCCCGTGCACCCATCAGGCCCTGGGGCCATTGCTGCTTTGATCTACCAAGCCAGGCCTGACATCACTGCTCCCAGCTGTGCTCAGTCAGGCAGAGGCTTTTTAGGGATTGAGAGGAGCGTTGGTCTGTCCTCTGGGGCTGCCCCTTGGTATCATGAGAAGTCTCTCAGGGGGTGCTTTGTTTGTTCCACTTTCACTTACACAGCTGTTAAGGTCTTAGGTCACACGAAGAAGGGAGTAGGGACCAGAATGAGAAAAACGAGAGTCCCAGTTGGCTCTGTGCCATCCAGAACCACACAGGTTAGTGAGGTAAATTATGAGCCTTGCTTTCCACAACGAGCTCTGCCTCACACTTTCTGCCGGTGGACAGGGCACTGATAATGGCAGACCCTCTTCTTCCTTGGGGCCTTTGGGAGAATTGGAGGAGATGCCCGAGTGCTTGATAATCAGTGCCAGCCATCACTCCATTTATCACTCCCATTAGACAGATGGGGAAACCGAAGCTCCAGAGAGGAAGGACACTGCCAGGGTCACACAACTGGAAAAGGAATGTGTAACAGGAGAGTTTCCATATCAACCACGATATTTGGAGCCTGCAGGGCAGGTCCGAAGGGGAGGAGCAGAGAGAGGGATGTCACAGAGAACTGGGAACTGGTCCCACTGGGAACAGCTCACCCCACAGGATCTGCAAACATACTCCAGCCTCAGGCTCAGCCCCACCTACACAGACCAAGGTGGGAGCAAATGCTTCTGTCCCTGATGAACGGTGGGTGCCATTTCCCTTTCTGGCCTCAATTTGCTCTTCTTTTAAAAAGGGCCCAGGGATGATGATAATCACTAAATTCAAGATCTAAAATTCTGGCCAGGCATGGTGGCTCACACCTGTAATCCCAGCACTTTGGGAGGTCAAGGTGGGTGGATCACATGAGGTCAGGAGTTCAAGACCAGCCTGGCCAATATGGTGAAATGTACTAAAAATACAAAATAATTGGCTGGGCGTGGTGGCGCAGACCTGTAGTCCCAGCTACTCAGGAGGCTGAGGAAGGAGAATGGCTCGAACCTAGGAGGCAGAGGTTGCAGTGAGCCGAGATTGCACCATTGCACTCCAGCCTGGGCAATAGAGCAAGACTCTGCCTCAAAAAAAAAAAAAAAAAAAAAAATCTAAAATTCCATGATAAACAATTCCAGCACTATCTTCCCAGAATGCAGCCTTGACTATGCCACTTCCCTGCTTTAAACTTTCCCATGGCTTCCCGTGTCCTAAACTGAGCCTGGTAGACAGAGACGTTTGTTGTCCGAGCCCCACTAACCACTCCAGCCTTGACATTCCTTCCAAGTACCCCCAAAACCCCAGCCATACCGTTCGACTCCTTCTTCCTGTGAATTCTCTACACCATTCCTCACTTCTGTAACTTTACCCCTGTGTGCACAGACAAGTCTGTTTGCATGTCTGTTAGGCTGTTCTTACGTTGCTATAAAGGAATGTCTGAAGCTGGGTAATTTATAAAGAAAAGAGGTTTAATTGGCTCAGGGTTCTGCAGGCCATACAAGCGTGGTGCTGACATCCACTTGGCTTCTAGGGAGGCCTCAGGGAGCTTTTACTCATGGTAGAAGGTGAAGGTGAAGTGGGAGCAGGTATATCACATAGTGGGAGCAGGTGCAAGAGAGAGAGGGGGAAGATGCCGCACACCTTTAAACAGCCGGATCCCGTTAGAACTCACTCACTATCATGAGGACAGTGCCGGGGCTATGAGGCTAAACCACTCATGAGAAATCCACTGTTTTAAACAATTTTACTCGAAGTTCCAGGATACATGTGCTGAACGTGCAGGTTTGTTACATAGGTATACGTGTGTCATGGTGGTTTGCTGCACCTATCAACCCATCATCTAGGTTTTGAGCCCCGCATGCCTTAGGTATTTGTCCTAATGCTCTTCCTCCCCTTTCTCCCCACCCCTCAACAGGCCCCAGGGTGTGATGTTCCCCTCCCCGTGTCCATGTGTTCTCATCGTTCAACTCCCACTTATGAGTGAGAACATGCGGTGTTTGGTTTTCTGTTCCTGTGTTAGTTTGCTGAGGATGATGGTTTCCAGTTTCATCCACATCCCTACAAAGGACATGAACTCACTCTTTTTTATGGCTGCAGAAAAATCCACTTTTCATGACCCAATCACCTCCCACCAGGCCCCACCTTCAACACTGGGGATTACAATTCGACATGAGACTTAGAGCAGACAACATCCAAAATCTATCAGTGTGAAATGCTCCTCTTTGCCTTATCTGCATAATTCATATTCATACTGCAAAACCCACATTGTGTCACCTTCTCCATGGAGGCTGTCCTGATCTGCCACACAGAGATAATCCCTTTTTTATCTGGGGGTCTCTCAGGTCCCAAGCCTTCTTCCGCTACGACCCTGAACACAGGTTGTGAAAATTAATTGTTGTTGTTCTTGTTTTGTTGTTGTTGTTGTTGTTGTTATTGTTTTGAGACAGGGTCTCACTCTGTTGCCCAGACTGGTATGCAATGGCATGATCATGGCACACTGCAGTCTCAGCTTCCTAGGCTCAAGCAATCCTCCTGCTTCAGCCTCCCTTAAGTAGCTAGGTTTACAGGCATGTGCCACCATGCCTGGCTAATATTTTATTTTTATTTTTGTAAAGACGAAGTCTCACTGTGTTGCCCAAGCTGGTTTTGAACTCTCGGGCTCAAGTGATCTACCCAACTTGGCCTCCCAAAGTGTTGGGATTACCCGGGTTAGCCATCACACCAGGCCAGGAATTACTATTTGCATAGTGAGCACCTTGCCATCTGTTTTGTCCACTAAGCTGAGAGTTCCTTGCCAGCAGAAACTGTCTTACTCACAGTTAAGCCTACAGTAGGAACTCGATAAATGTTCAATAAAGAAATTATTCAATAAGTCAATTAATCTTTCAAAAACCCCATAGCTCTCTCTCTAACTGTTTATGGGTCTTTGGACAATGGGACTCCTCTCTGGCCTCAATGTTCCCAGCTCTACAATGGCAGGGTTGACCAGACAGTTTCTGAGGGCATGACCACTTTCTCCCCACAAGCTACAATGAGTCAGGGACCCCAGTAACATCATCAGCTCACTTAGAGCCCATTTGGCTAAAGAGGAAATTGAGACACAGTTAAGCAATCTCCAGGGTCACACAGCATCTAATGTGTGTGGGCCAAATCTCTGTCCCTTCATCACCAAGTTCCCTCCACACTCTCCAGAGCCTGCCATGTGGATGCAGCACAGACTTCTCAGGCGCCACACTATACCCAGGCCACCAAGTCAAAGAACAGCACTCCAGGCCGAGGGAACGACCAGTGCAAAAGTTCTAAACAGAGGACACGCCTGGCAAGCTGAAGGAATGGCAGGGAGGCCAGCGTGCCGGGGCCAAGTGAGCAGGGAGTGGTCAGAGAGAAAGTCCGAGAACAACGGGATCAGATGGTGGAGGTCTTGGGGACCTGATGAGAACTTTGGCTTTAATCAGAGTGAAGCAGGGGGTTACTGCAGGCTCTTGAGCAGAGGAGTGGCAGGAACTGACTTAAGTTTTAAAGAGATTCCTTTGGCTGTTGTGTGGAATACAGATTGGAAGTGGGGAGCAAGGGGGAAAACAGGGAGCCCTAGTCCAGGTGAAAGAAACTGGTGGTTTGCACCAGAATGATGGTGGCAGAGGCAGAGGTTGTGAGAAGTGGCCAGATTCTAGAGACATTTTAAAGGCAGGGCAACCAGGATTTCCTGACAAATTGAGGTGGGATCTGAGAGAGAGGAGTCAAGGCTGACCCTGGGGACTGAGCATAGGGAATGGTGGTGTTGCTTCCACCGAGATGGGGATACTGCGGGGGAGTGAATAGCGGGTGGGGCACAGCAGGAATTTTGAGGAGGCGATTGGAAACCTGGACCTGGGATTTAAGAGTGAGGACAGGACTGAAGATGCAAATGTGGGAGCCTTCAGCACATAGATGGCATTTAAAGTCAGGGCTGGTGAGTAGACTGAAGACGATGCATGTACATTTCAGGGCCCCTGCACTCAGTAAGCCCTTGGCAAATGATGGCCAAGCGGCCGTTGATGAGGCGGCTGTCGTCGAGACGTGATCCTGGGGTTAAGCTGTGAAGGATAAAAAAGCACAAGAAACAGTGTGCACAAAGGGGGTGTGAGCAGGGTCCTCCCACCTCCCAGCCCAGCCTCCGTCCTCTCCCACCTGGACAACAATACCACCCACCTCCTCCTGCTGCCCTTCTCATCCTTACTCCCTCCCTAGCTAATGCTGGTATTTTGCAAAAAGTGCGGGCTTGGCACCTGGGCAGATCTGGTCCTGGGCAAGTGCCTCACTTTCCCCATCTGTAGTCTGTGCCAGAGCATGGGACCAGGACCCACAGGGAAGGGATCAGATCCAGTATGAATCCACCCAGACAGATCACAGGGCCCACCCCAGCTCAAGAAGTTCCCCCAGTGACCAGAGGCATGCTCCTTGCTCTCCCTGACCCCTACTCTTTTTTTTTTTTTTTTGAGATGGAGTCTCGTTCTGTTGCCCAGACTGGAGTGCAGTAGTGCAGTCTCGGCTCACTGCAAGCTCCACCTCCCGGGTTCATGCCATTCTCCTGCCTCAGCCTCCCGAGTAGCTGAGACCACAGGCATCCGCCACCATACTCGGCTAATTTTTTGTATTTTTGGTAGAGGTGGAATTTCACCGTGTTAGCCAGGATGGTCTTGATCTCCTGAGCTCGTGATCTGCCCGCCTCGGCCTCCCAAAGTGCTGGGATTACAGGTGTGAGCCACCGCACCCGGCCTCTGACCCCTACTCTTTACATCTGGAAGTTGGGTGATGGAGCCATTCATCATCTAGACATAGAACTACCTGAGAGAAGGATTAACTTACGGTCCTTGTGTGGCCAGATGCGGCTGAGAACAAACAAACAATCAAAAGGCAATCACAGCCAGGCGCTGTGGCTCACGTCTGTAATCCTAGCACTTTGGGAGGCCAAGGCGGGCAGATCACCTGAGGTCAGGAGTTCGAACCCAGCCTGGCCAACATGGTGAAACCCCATCTCTATGAAAAATACAAAAATTAGCCGGGCATGGTGGCTCATGCCTGTAATCTCAGCTACTCAGGAGGCTGAGGCAGGAGAATTGCTTGAATCCAGGAGGTGGAGGTTGCAGTGAGCTGAGATCAAGCCACTGCACTCCAGCCTGGGCGATAGAGCAAAAGTCTCCATCTCAAAAAAAAAAAAAAAAGAAAAGAAAAGAAAAAAAAAGGAGGTGGAGGGCAATCACATGCATAAAGCTTCTTCACACAGAGCCTGGCACACAGGAGGTGAACAATGACCATGCTCTCTCACCTACCCTCAGAGCTGACTTGCAGGGGGGCAGTTGGAATCGAGGTCCTCAAAGCCCATAGAAGTAATTATAAGAGTACTAAAAACAGTCAACATCTGCAGCTTTTCCCTGCGCCAAACACTAAACCCTGCAATAACTCATTTATTCTTAACTACTCTGTGAGCTTGGTCCTCTCGTTACCCCCATTATCAGGGTGTGGAAACTGAGGTCAGAGACATGAAGAAATTTGCAGTAGGTTGTACAGCTAGGAGCTGTCGGGCCTTGAAACCCTCAGTCATTCTGCCTCTGAGCTTCCTGATGGGCCTGGGTACTGTCCTGTGAGCCGTGGGAAGGGAGGTGACCTGGGAAGCAGGTGAGTCCGGCTCATAGGTGAGGCCCCCGTCGCTTCCTTCCTCCTACCTCTCTGTGCCCACAGCTGGCTGCCGCTTAGGAAACCATAGGGTTAATCTAATTGGAGGTTCCAGGATCGTGCATGCACAGGGTGATTTATTTTATTTTAAAAAGCTTAAAAAAGAAACCACCCTGTCAAGTCTTGTTTAGAAAACTGGACATTCTGAAAATATTGGTGAAGAGAGGGGGCTGCACCCCTTAGAAGATTCTCAGCAGAGGGGGTGATGTTAATCCAAGGTGACAGGGGCTTTTTCTTTTCTTTTCGTTTTTTAGGCCAGAAAGGCAGGAAGTGCAAATTGCTCTTCTAGGGGTCAACCAGCCCTGGGCACAAGCTCAGGAGGCCGCCTGTGGGAACTGATTGGGGAGTAAGTGCTGGGCTCCCCCTCCCCCTCCCCCACCAGCTCCTTTTTGCTGGAATTCTTCATCCGAAAAGAAGGCCCTGATGACTCCACTTTCACAGCCACCGCATGTGAGCATCACGGACGCTAGGGGCATCAGAAATTCTTTACTTGGTCCAAACATGTCATTTCACAAATGGGAAACTGAGGCCCAGAGAATAAACTCCTTTGAGTGAGGCATTTATTCGATCACCCGTCAGTCAATAAAAACTTGTTAGAACCTTCCTTGTGAAAGTTCCCCTCCCACCAAGGTGACTAGGAAATTAGAAAGGTGGCTGTGGCTTCCTTTGTGACTTTGATTTAGATTTGAGTACCTGATGTGTGGTCTGGGGCAGGTTATTTAGGCTCTCCAAGCCTCCGTTTCCTTGGTAAAATGAGGTCAATAATCCATAAACCCCATAGAGTCACTGGGAGAATTAGACGAGGGAGATGTCACTGTCCCATTCTTTTCCATAGGTTTGTTGATACTGTCAAACTGTCAATCAAGTGGTCCCACCCAACTCTAGTTAAGGGCAGGTCTGGGACCCAAACCTGGTTTGGGTTGCATGAATGAAAAGAGGCTCAGTGCAGCTTAACCACAACCAAAAAATTAGCTGGAAGGATATGGGGATGGCTCACAGGTATTTGCCCAAGAGAAGTGAAGACATCTGTCCACACAATGAGCGGTACCTCTATGTGCATGGCAGCTCCATTCATAATCACCTAGAACAACCCCAGGGTCCTTCAACTGGTTAATGTACAAATAAATTGTGGTATATTCATGCGACAGAATAGTACTCAGTAATAAAAAGGAATGAACCGCTGATACCTGCAACAACAGGGATGAATCAAATACATTACGGTAAGCGAAGGAAGCCAGACACAAAAGGCTGTATACTGCGTGATTTCATGCCTATGACATTCTGGAAAGACAAAACCATCGGCGCAGTAACCAGATCAGTAGTTGCCAGGGGCGGAGGGTAGGGGGAGAGAATTGCCTGCAAAAGGGCATGAGGGGAATTTGGGGGGTGATGGAAATGTTCTATATCATGATTGTGGTGTAGTAACACGACTATATATGTTTGTCGAGTCACAGAACTGTATTGCATGATATGGGAGAATTGCACTGTATGTAATACAACATGGGTGAATTGTATTGTATGTAATACAACACGGGTGAATTGTATTGTATGTAAATTTTAACTCCATAAATATGACTTTTAAAAAATCAAATAAACAGCTAAAAAGCCCAACTTTAGAAAAGACGAGAGCTGACGTAGTTCTAGACATGAACCAGCAAACTTCAACCATTATTTAGAACTTGTGTCAGAGTTGTAAGAGTCAAAGTCCCAGAAGAGCTTCTGATAGGCTGAGTTTGGGTCCCAGACCTGTCCTTAACTAGAGTTGGGTGGGGCCACTTGATTGACAGTTTGACAGTATCAACAAACCTATAGAAAAGAGCAGTCAGCCAGAAGCAAAACAAAGGACTCGCTGTGCCTACAAAGAGGACACCACCAACTAGAGATGCCTGTACATGTGTGTGGGGTTTATTATTCTGGAGACTGAGCCCTGCCCTTCCAGGACTGAGGCCAAACCTCCCGTCTCCTGTGATGCTGGCACGAGGTGACAGCAGCCCCTCTGCAGGTGCGAAGACAGGGATTTAAACTAACTGGGTCAAGCTGAATGTTCCTTCAGACCTACAAGCACTCAGTTCAGCCAGACGTCACTCAAGCAGCTCATCAGACAGGCGGGAGAAACAAGTGGTCAGTTTAGCCAAACTTGTGTTCAATTTAGTCAAACGAGCTCCGCCACTGCCCCCAAAGGGTCATTTATTTCCATGAATGAAAGTGTGTTTGACTCTTATTGACTGAACTGGGTGTGCCAGGCAGACACAGCCAATGACTCAGCCTTGTGGGAGGGATGTAGGGGAATGCTGTAGTATGCTGGTGCTTCATCCCTCCGTGTCTCCAGCAGCCCCACATGGCCATGGGAGCTTGGCCAGGCACCCACGACGCAGGCTTAATTCCCCTTGCATGATATTCCAGCAAGCACTTCTCGGCACCCCTGCTTCACTCTTTCTGAGCTGTGTGACCTTGGGCAATACACTGCACCTCTCTGAACCTTCATTGACACAAAATCACAAAATAGAAGATTTTCAAGCACTTTCCAGGGTGGTGCTGCAGGAGCACTTTGAGACATAAACAGTTTGTGAAGTAAACAGAAACTTGGTGTAGCCTTCAAAATTACGTTTCTTAGATGTGATTCAATTCTCATCTTGAATTTCTTATTTATTCATGTGCTTGTTTTTGGGTTTGGTTCTGCAAGACTGTGCCAATATTAACAAAAGTATTTTAGGGGTTGATTGTGGGCTTTGTGGGGGGCACATTCACTTTCTCCTTTATCTTCGACTTTACTTTTTTCTATCTACTTTGCCAGAATTTATTTATTTTGGAGTATCTCCTTTTTTAATAAAAGCTTAATTCTAAATGTAAAACAGGTTATTCTTTTTTTTGTAAAATTAATCTTTAATTACCTAAGTGATAGATAACATTATTTCTTCACAGAAGACTTTTCTCACCTTCCAGGGAATACTGAAATCACCTTTCATTACTACCGTCTGTCCCCTGGTTATGGCCCCCCATATCCCCTCCCACCCTGCCAGCAATTTGGAGTGGATTTTTCCAAACCTTCTTCTGTATGTTTACATTTATGTACTGTATCTGTTCCCATAGAAATTGAACAGTCTGGTGGAATCGTACTTCATGCAATGTCCTGCAGTGTGCTTTCTTCGCTCTACATTATGACTTGGAATTCTTTTCGTGTCCACACACAGGAGACTGTCTCTTCTTTCTTTCAACTGCTGAGTAATATTTCCAGGCATGGCTGCTTTATCCAACCCCCTCTACTGGGCACTTAGGTTGTGATGGGTTTTTGCCATAACAGACAATGCTGTAAAGACCCCTCCTAGAGACATCTCCTTGGGCACATACATGTGCAGTTTCTCTTAGATTTTTTTTTTATTTGAGAATGAGACAATATTTGCAAAGACTTTCAGAGCTTTATTCCTGGCTTTTTTATTTTAAATCTTTCAAACATTTTTGAAAACCACGTTTTGAGATATATTTCACATACCATAAAAATCATGCATTTAAGTGTACAATTCAATGGCTTTTAGTCTATTTGCGGATTTGTGCAAACATCACCACCATCCAATTTTAGAATGTTTTCTTTACTCCCGAAAAGAAACCCTGTACCCATTAGCAATTACTCCTCATTCCTCCCTCTTCCTTTCTCCCTTCCCTTGGCTCCTGACAACCCCTGATGTACCCTCCATATCTATGCATTTGCCTATTGTGGGTGTTTTGTATAAATGGAATCAGACGATATGTGGTCTTTCGTGACTGGCTGTGTTCACTTAGCATGATGGTTTGGAAGTTCATCCTTGTTGTAGCATGTGTCAATCCATCTTTCCTTTTTATTGCTGAGTAATCAACCACCTTTATTTGAATGCTTACTGTCTGCCAAGAATGGTGATAACCTTCACAAAAATCCTGTAATGTAGGCACTGTTTTTATCACCCCCATTTCACAGAGGGGACAACTGAGGCTTGGAGATGTGCTGTGATTCATTCAAGATCACACAGGACAGTCGATGGCAGAGCTGGATTTGAACCCAGGCCCGTGTCCTTGTAGTTGAACCTTGCTACTGCTAGAAGAACCCAGAAGGGAGTGAAAAGTGTCTTGTGGGCTTAATGTGCAAGTCACAAAGTCTCTCTACTCATAGGATGGCTCTGGGTCACCACGGCAATCATTGACAATTGCCCTGCTCTATCTGCACAGAATGAGCAGGACTGTTTATCCCAACACCAAATGACGCCATCTGTTGTCAATGTCAGAGCTCCGGTCCTGCTTGTGTGGTTTTTCTGACCCTCTCAGCACCTCCCACCTCTAGTGTTTCCTGAGCCCTAATGTCTCCTCATCTTTTGGAGTTGTCATATCAGATGACCATCTTTGTTAGGGTCGTGTGCTAGGGAAGGGATAATCGGATTGTCAGTTTGAGTCCTATGAGAAAAGCAAATCTTGCTGCCAGAGATGGCCAGAACTCTGTTCTCCAAAAAAATCCTAAAACTCCCCGTTCCCTCGGGTGTCTGGATTGCTAGGAACTGGAGCCACATCATAATAACAATAATAGAATTGACTTATTTTCCTTATCTCCCGTTTCTTCTGATCTCATCCTTTGAGCCCAGCAGGATGGCGTGTCGTGTTGAGTCCTTTTTGTAGAAGAGGAGGCCACAGCCAATAAGAGGAGGGCAAGTTGGAGCCTGGAGCTGTGGCCCCTGCCACAGGGACTCACTGCCGGTTCCAGCATCTGAGCCTCATCTTCCTTCCCACTCCTTGTTAAATGCAACACCCAATTCCAAGTTACATAAAAACAGCTTTCTCAAATTTCAAAACTTACCACTGCCAGTCCCCCAGTCATAGACCCCCATATCTCCTCCCACCACTGCCAGCAATTTGGACTGGAGTTTTCCAAACCTTCTTCTGTATGTTTATATGTATGTACTGTATGTATATTTACTTATCTGTTCCCATAGAAATTGAACAGTCTTGTGGAATCATACCTCATGCAACGTCCTGGCTGGTACAGGGCCACTGCTTACTTCTATAGTGTTTGGAACCCCACCCTGACTCTGCCCTGACTTGCTGTGTGGCCTGGGGAAAGGCTGTTGCCCCCTCTGAGGCCCAGCGGTGGGTATTCCTACTCTGCTACCCACACATCCCCAGGTCTGTCCTTTGTTTTTCTCCCAGTGGTTGTCCTGGGATTGTAGAAGATATGATTGGAGGGTAAGTCAGACCCAGATCTTTCATCTCTGGTGCAGACAGCAAAGGCTGCGAGAGGCCCTAGCGCCTCACCCCGATTCCTGGTCCTACCAGGGGCAACTGGCACCACAAGTCCTATCAGAGCTCCCGGGCCAACCCCAAGAACCTGGCTTGGGCTTGAACAAGTTGTCTCTCTCTCCTCCTTAGAACCCCTGGTACGGTCATTAATTCATTCAACAAGCCTTTATTGAGCAGCTACTGAGAGCCAGGTGGGTGGAGGGAGACAGAGATACACAAACACTAGAACTTATACAAGTTACGCTGTGACTATGTCCTGTGGGTGTGGGGCCAATAGAGCAAGAAGGAAGTCTCTGGGTGGGTTTCCGGAGGATGGGTAAAGCCTGGGTTAAACTTCGATAGGTGAAGAGGGAAGGCCATCCTGGGTAGAGGACACAGCTGGAGCAAAGCCCTAGAGGTGGGTGTTTGCAGGGCTCATTTGAGGGCAAGTACCATGCCTGGTGAGGCTGGAAGGGATGAATGTGGAAGATGCGATTGAAGGGTAAGCTGGGTCAGCCCTGCAGGGCCTCCAGTGCCTCATGAGGTCTGGGATGTGATTCTCACTTTCACAGAAACAGAAACTGATGCTTCAGAGAAGTGAATAAAAGTGCCTACCCATGGCCCATCAAGCTCAAGGGGCTGGGACCCCGTGCCGGCTGCAGGGACGGTGGAAGGGGGATGCACTACACCTGGAGGGTGGTACATTGTGGAGTCAGAGCTGAGGACAAGACAACCAGGTCAGTTTCTCCATCTGCAAAGTGGACACGCTGGAAGAATCCTCCCTCCCTCCACAGATGCCCTGTTCTCTGTCCTCCACAGCCTGGGAGACCCAGATCCTGCCCCAGACAGGCCATTCTCTCAAAGGGCTTGAAAGGTCACACCTGCCTCCTGACATTTTCCTTAAGTCCGCAACCTAACACCCCTGCCCCACCCCATCCCACCTCAGGAGAGCCTGCCCCACCCTCCCTATGCTCCCTCACACCAGACACTGCTCATCCCGGTTAGTCAGTAGTTGGTAGAAAAGCCTCCAGATGCCCTGGCACACTCCTGCCCACCCCGCCCTCCCTCCCTCTCACATCAGCTGTCTACGTCTGTCTCTGGCCTGGAGGCACCTTGTCCTTGAGGAGTGGCTGAGCTGAGCCAGGGCCCGAGAGCCTGGTCATGCTGTGTGACCTTAGGCAGTTTCTCCAACCTTGCTGAACTTTAATCTTGTTTCTGTGTTTCCTTCCTTCCTTCTATTCTTTCTCCAGCTGTGGGTAACTCATTCCTCCCTCAGGTCATAAACATTTATTAAGCATCCAGTGTATACCACATGCCATGTGTTAGGAGCACAAGCTGCAGTCCTCGGAGGCCTCACTTGCTAAAAGCTGTAGAACTGGACATGGCCCAGGCCCCTGAGGACTGCCCTGCAGGGCACGGGGAGACAGGACTGACCTCTGAACCTTGGCGGAGCCAGCACAGGCCCTGCTTTCCCACTTCCTGACTGTGTGGCCTTGGGTGAGGCACTTCCCCTCTCTGAACCCAGGGTTCCTCATTTAACAAATGATAAGAATCATACTGTGAGGTTTAAATGGAATATCTGGCTGGTAGTGGGTTATTCCAAAGTTTCTAAATATTCACCTTTGTCTCCACCTTGAGGCTTGAGAATCCTTGTGGAAGGGACTGAATCTCTCTAACGCTGGGATTCTAGGCATCAGTGGCTGTGAGAACAAGATTTATTTGTGAGACAGAGAGTCTTTCTGAGCAACACCCACCAAATAAATATGCTACATTGACTGCAACCTGCTTCACCCACACACGGGGACTCTCCCTTTTCTGGAGAGGGTCCTGACTCTTGATGACATCATCATAAAGCTTAGGTGACATTTACTGAGTACTTACTATGTGACCTGTAAGCACTGTAGAAACATGATCTCTAATCCCCAGTGGCAGGGACTCTTACGATACCAATTTTATAGAGGAGGAAACTGAAGCTCAGAGAGGCCTAGTAACTTATCCAGAGTCACACAGCCAAGAGTGACCTCACAGCCCTCCTGCTCTAAGCATTGCACAACACTTCCCCTGAATAGATGACAAAGGGCCCTGATTGCAGTGTCTGGGGATCTTGAGGCCATGATCACCCTCTCTGGGACTCAGGGGAGTTTTGAAACCTTTACAGCCCCGGTGAGGTAAGACAGGGCACAGTTTCCCAGTCCCTTTGAACAAATGGGAAAACTGAAACCCAGAGAGGGGCAAGGGTGCCTGGTCACTGGGACTGGAATCCAGGTCTCTGGGCCAAGCCTGGGTTCTGGCCTCTGTCTGCCAACTTCCTAGAAGCCAGTCCTGACCCCGGCTGGCCACATCCTGGGGTTGCTCAACGCCATGCGTCACTCAGGTGGCCATAGTTCTGTGGAATGTGGGAGAGGAAGTGGGGGCAGCTGGCTGGGTGCGGGACAGGCCTGGAATTCTGTGCTAAGCCCTGTGCTGGGATCCAGGAATAATCTAATGGGATTCTTCTCACAGCCAGCATCCATTGAGGGCTGACTGTTTGGCTGCTGCTGTACAAACTCTCCATGAATTAGCTCACTCAGTCCTCATGACACTCTGGGGAGTGGGTACCAATACTGCCCCCATTTTACAAATGAGGAAACTGAGGCACAGAGGTTAAGTGACTTGCTGTGTAGTGGACATGGCTACACAGTGAGGAGGCCAAAATTTAAACCCAGAGCTGCGTGACATACCCACTCTGTGTAATGAACTAAGTCCAGGCCTGCAGGAAGAGGGAATAACAATGTTCAGAATGGAGCTGGTGCTGCTGCTGATAGAATTGATGATTTCTCAAATCAAACACTTTTGGGGGCTGGTGGTGAGCCAGGCACCATGCTGGACACTGTGGTCAAGAAGAGTTTAAAAATCTCTCGTGGGCTGGGCACAGTGGTTCATGACTATAATCCCAGCACTTTGGGAGGTCGAGGCGTGCAGATCACTAGAGCTCAGGAGTTTGAGACCAGCCTGGGCAACATAGTGAGACCTCCATCTCTACAAAAATTAGAAATATTAACTGGGCATGGTGGCGCACTCCTGTAGTCCCAGCTACTCAGGGAAGCTGAGGCAGGAGGATCGCTTGAGCCCGAGGGATGGAGGCTGCAGTGAGCAAAGATCACACCACTACACGATCTGGGTGACAGAGTGGGACCCTGTCTCAAAAAAATAAAATACTTAGGTGGCTCCCTGTCTTCTAGGGAGCTCCCAGGCTGAGGGTTTTAAAGGAAAAAATACCTGGTAGAAAAGGCCAAACCCATCCTTTCATCTGGGGCAGGGCTAACGCCTGTGGAAACACAGCCTTTGTTCTGCAGAACTGACTGTCCCCATGCCTCCCGTCTCTCCTTGAGGTCCCGAAATAGCCAGGTGCTGGGATACTTGATATTTCCATGCCAAATCTCAGGGCCCCAGTTATTGCATGCTCACCACGTATAAGGCACCCAAACTTGGTCATTTAGATTGAGTCTTACTCAGGCCTGTGAGGGAGGGATTCTTTCCCCCATTTTGCAGAGGAGGAAACTGAGGCAAAATCCTGCCCATGGCCACACAGCTGGTCAGGGGCAGAGTGGGAACTTGAACCCCGGCCTCTTGACCGACTTCCCTCTCGGTCGGGTGATTCTCCTCACGCTGCTCTTTCCTCCAAGCTTTCACCAGCTGCAGGGAGCAGTTTCTGCAACAATCTCTATAAAATGGGGCAATTACGGGTCAGCTGGGCCCAACACTCTTTGTGGGTTTGTTCACTGAGACTCCAGCCAGAGCCCGTTTGACCCAGGGAGAAATATCCACTGAAGCAACACGGGTTGTTTTCCCTGAGCCATATGTCACCTAGGAATGGAGACGGGGGCTACTTCTATCTTCCAAATTCATCAATAGATGTAGAGCTTGTTCCGGAATGTACAGCTTGTTCTGGAATGTAGAGCTTGCTCCGGAATGTAGAGCTTGTTTTGGAAAAAGTGCCAGGGAAGCCCCGTGGGCCTCTGTCTCTCCGGGAACCCTTCCCGCTCAGGGCTCACAGTGGATCCGGAAGCACAGGAGACCAAGAGACCAGAGATACCAGGATGAGAGATAGGACCCCTGGTTGCCAGGTTCGAGAAGTCCTAGGCTGAGTCCCTGGAAAGTTAGTCTTGCTCCTTTCTGGCACACAGTGGGGCCTCAAGAAAGCTCAGTGGATGGATGGATTGAGGGAGGGAGGGAAGAGAAGGCCGAGGGAGGGATGGATGAAGGGATGAGTGGATGGATAGGTGGGGGGGTAGGTGATGCATGGGTGAGTGGATGGATGGGTAGATGGATGGCTGATTAGATGGATGGCTGATTAGACAGATACAAGGATGGGTGAGATCGGAGGATTATCTGGGTTTTGCTACAGGAAGGGACATGGGTGTGTCTGTTTTTGCAGGTGTGTCTGCATGTCTGTACCTGAGTCCATGCCTGCATGTGTGTCTACCTCTGAGTAGCCACATCTTTGTGTGTCTGTGGGTGCCCTCTCTGATTTTGCGTCCACATCTGACAGTGGCATTGGTGTCTAGGAGGTCTGTGTGTGTGCCAGGTGCCTCTGGACACCTGCTCATCTGTGTCCACAGCTGTGTGTGGCTCGCGGTCAAGGCTACCTGGCTGTGTCAGGCTGTATCTATGTCCTGGTGTGTGTCTGCCATTCGAATCTGAATTTGTATCCATGTCACTGTGTCTGCGTGGCCAGCCGTGTTTGGTGTATCTGTGGGAGTGTATCTGTGTTTGTGTGTGTATCTCCACAGCCCTGTCTTGGTGTGTCTGCGTCTGCTCTCTGTGTATGTATATCTGAGTATGTGTGTGAGTGTGTGCGTGTGTGTGTGTGTGTGTGTGTGTGTGTGTTGGGGGTGGGGAGGTGTTCTTGATCCCAGATCTGACCTAAGAGTCCACATCTGTGTGTCCAGGTGCACCCCGGTTCCGTTGTGTGTTTCTATGAGGGTGCTGCGTGTGTCTGTATCTGAGTGTGTGTGTCCAGGTGTCTGTTCTCCAAGGTCTGAGTCTGTGGGTCCAGGTGTGTCTGTATCCTGGGCTAGTTGTGTGTCCCTGTCCGCTCCCCCAGGGGGCGCCCTCGTCCGGCCGCCGTCCCTCCCTCGGGCTCCGGTCCCCTGGGTGAGCCCCAGCGCTGGCGGCGTGGGCCCGGGACTGGGCAATGGGTGGCCTCCCAGGTCGCCGCCTTCCCGCGGGGCCCCGCCCCCGGCCCGCCCCAAAGCGGGCTATAAGTTAGCGCCGCTCTCCGCCTCGGCAGTGCCAGCCGCCAGTGGTCGCACTTGGAGGGTCTCGCCGCCAGTGGAAGGAGCCACCGCCCCCGCCCGACCATGGCCGAGGGTGAGTATCAGAGTCACCGCAGCCGCCACTCAGGGGCCCCGGGGCATTGGGGGTCAGGACCCGGTGGGAGCTGAATCCCTAAGTCCTGATTTGGAGAGCAACAGGCAGACCGGGCTGGGTGAGGAGGCGTCTCAATGCTGCTTGGAGCCTCAGTTTCCCCATCCACACTGCATAACCATTAACCCTTGCCTCCCTGGATCAGGTGAGGCAATGGAACGCGACGGGGTGTTGTAAACTGTAAAGTACTGTCCTGGCGGACCACTGGCACGTGTCCTCAGTCAGTCAGTGGGGGCTGGCTCTCTGATGTGTGCCTGGAGCTGTGCAGGGGGTGCTGGCCTGGCCTCAGAACACTTAGGTTTGGGTGGTTCTTGCCAGCCAGGACCAGGTGGTGTGCATGCCACGCCGGTGGTGTGCAAGCCAAGCCTGGCTGAGTCCTTGGCTCCAGCGGCCAGAGAGGAGCTTTCGGCATCCTATCCAGGAGCCTTCGGAAATCAGGCTTGTTCTTCCCGCCCTCACGTTCTGCAACCCTAGACCTTGGCCAATTGTTGAGTCTCACCTATAAAATAAGGACAACAGTGTCCTTATTTTATAGGACAAGGTTTATGAGATTTGTTTTCCCCCAAGACCCCCACCCATCTGTCACCCTGACCGTGCCCTGGTCCTCTGCTCCAGCCTTTGGTGCATCTGTGAGGAACGAGAGGAGTGGAACAGAGGCTTAACTAATTTCATACTGGTGCCCCTGACTCCCTCCCCACACACAAGCAGCACTCTCGTAGGTCCCAGCTGGAGGGATTTCTACAATGGAGGATGTCACTGCTGGACCCAGAATCCCAGCTGGCTCTTGGGTCAAGTTCATCTGGGGATGGCTTCTGCACCCATTGCAACCCCCAGGAAGGGGTGTGGGACAGGGACATGGGGCAGGTGGAGCAGGAATGGGTGGCAGGAACTGTGGACCCACCTGACCCTGCTGTGTGATCTCAGCCACCTGCCTCCCTCGGGCCCAGCTCCCAACACACTGTGATGTGTCGCCTCGGTGGCCGCTTGTCCTCAATGCATCTTCTCACCCCCATGCTCAAAAGCAGGGCTCAGTGGGGCTGGGAGATCCTGGAGATGCCAGTTATGATGAGCCTCCAGCCCCATGTCACAGTGGCCACTTCTGACAGAGGTCTCACTGGCCTAGAAGGCCTAGGCCCTTTCTAAGTGCAGAAATCCTATAAATCCTACAATTCTAGACCTGCATCTTTGGAGCTGGGCGTGATTTCTGGAAACCCTTCTTCGGACAACAGATGGAGAAAATGCCCCAGCTCCCACAGCCCAGGGACTGGCCGTATCTCCAGGGTCTTCCATGGGAACAACAATGGCCTCTTTCCTGCTCAAGCTCCCTGGGTCTGAAGTTTCCAAAAACATTTCCTCGCCGCAATAGGCCAGCAGGAAGTTTTTCCTTCTGGCCACTGAGGTCTCTTCTGTTGTGATTACACGGGGACCGACATCCCTGATACTTCAGTGGCGCAGAACTATCTGCCCCCAGGTTTGAGAACAACACAGGACATGGTGGCGAAGGGGTGGTCATAAGAGGGGCTGGAGAAAAAACTGAGCTGTAGTGAGGTGGTTCCCAGGGCAGAATCCTACAGAATCCTACAGCTCTGGATTCCAATCCCAAAGCAGCCACTTGCTCTGGGACCTGGAGCCACCTGGTGTCTTTGTCTACAAAATGGGAATCATGATAGCATCTATGTAAGCGGAGTTGTTTTGGGATTTAAGTCGAGATAATTCACATACAAGGCACTTTGCATCTCATTTTTGGAATAGTCGATGGTGAGCAGGAGACCTGGGCTCTCCCACTGCAAGGACCAACTTGCGGCGTGACTTTGAACAAATTCCTGCCCCTGGGCCTCACTTGGACCACATGCTGTCCAGTGGCTCCACACTCAGAGTCTGTCTTGCCCACTCCTCCCACCTTAAGGGCTTCCCCATCCTGACCTTGAGCTTGCCAAGGTTTATGAGATTTGTTTTCCCCCAAGACCCCCACCCATCTGTCACCCTGACCGTGCCCTGGTCCTCTGCTCCATCTGAAACTGTAAATGGAACTTTCACGTATCAAGCTTCTGTCCTGGGCTGGGCCGTGGGGAAGGGGGTTCCCAACACATCTTCTAGACTCACAGCAGCCCCTTGAGACTTCAGAGGAGGAGTCACAGAGAGGGAGAGACACTTATCCAGGCTCACACAGCAACACAGCAGAACTAAAACCTACCTCTGGAAGTCTCCAAAGCACCTATCATGTTAAAAATGTTTTGTTTTGGAGAATATTGAACATACACAAAAATAGACAGAATTGTTTAATAAATTCCTATGTCCTCATCACCCAGCACTGACCACCGTGGTGTCTCCTGCCCCTGCGCACCTTCATCTCAGACATCACATCATGTCATCTGTCAATGTTTCAGTATATGCCTTTAAAGGATAAGGACTCTCTTTTTTTTAACACAAACAAATTAACAAAAATTCTTTGATATCACCATTATGCCATCAGTATTTAAATTTCCAGTTGTCTCATACATGTAATAAATGTTTTAAAATACTTTTTTGAAATCAAGATCCAAATAGATCAATACATCACAACGGGTTTAAGTTTCTCTTTATAGGTTCTCTCTTCAATGTTTTTTTCATTTTCTTTCTTGCAATCTATTTATTAAAGAAACCGGACCCTTTGTCAATAATTTCCCAGTATATGAAGTTTGTCAACTGCATCCTGGTTCTGTGTTTAACTTGTTCCTCAGCCCTGGGTATTTCCTGTAAATTGAACATTGGATCTAAAGGCAAAGGCCATGTAATTGACCTGTACCAAATACTGCCCCTGCTTAAACCAAAAGAACCCTCTGATAGCAATAGAATAGCTCGTGTTTATTGAGTATTTATTACACAACAGACATTGTACTAAGTGTTTTACATGCATTAATTCATTTCTTGCTCACACCAGCCCTGGGAGGTAGATACTGCTGGTCCCATGGCTGCTGGAGGTCACACAGCTAGGAAGTGCCACAGGGGGTCACGACCTTGTGATTAAAAGATTTAGGCAAAGCTGGGCACTGTGGCTCGCACCTGCACTTTGGTAGGTCAAGGCAGGAGCCATCACTTGGCCCAGGAGTTCGAGAGCAGCCTGGGCAACATGGCAAAACCAAAAATGAAGAAATTAGCTGGGCACATACCTATAGTCCCAGCTCACTGATAAATGAAAAAATTAGTGGTGCACGCCTGTCCTCTCAGCTACTCAGGAGGCTGGGGTGGGACGATCCCTTGAGCCCAGGAATTCAAGGCTACAGTGAGCTATGATCACACCACTGCACTCCAGCCTGGGCAACAAAGCAAGACCTTTTCTCAATTAAATTAAAAAGAAAAAAAAGAGTTAGGGAGATTGGGCCCCACCTAGCCCCCGTGTGACCAGGGCTGGGGAGACAGGTCAGTCGAAACAATGGCTGTGCTTTGTGGGGAGTAAGAGGGCACAAGGCCCCCATGTCTAGGGAGGGCAGGTGCATCACTGGAGGTCTGAAGGATGCCCCCGAGGCTCATGCGTCTCCTTCTGTTTCCATAGAGCTGGTCTTAGAGAGGTGTGATCTGGAGCTGGAGACCAATGGCCGAGACCACCACACGGCCGACCTGTGCCGGGAGAAGCTGGTGGTGCGACGGGGCCAGCCCTTCTGGCTGACCCTGCACTTTGAGGGCCGCAACTACGAGGCCAGTGTAGACAGTCTCACCTTCAGTGTCGTGACCGGTGAGTACCTGCAACCCCACTCCACCACCACCACCACCACCACCACTTCCTCTCCACCCCGACATGCCCCAGAACCCTGACAGAGAACAGGACAAATAACTTTACCTTCTTTGTTCCCTGGGAGATTGCCACCTGTCATCAGCCCCATTTTAGAGATGAGGGAACTGAGGCCCGGAAAGGAAGGAGATGTCATGGCAGACCACCAGCTTTGTGAGCAAGTCTGTGCCTCTGGAACCCTGAGCTTCTGAAAGCCTATTATCACCAGGGTTGCAGGTCAGCCTTCAACCAGGAAAGTTGATCAGGATCCCATCCACAGGCTGGGCGTGGTGGCTCACACCTGTAATCCCAGCACTTTGGGAGGCTGAGGAGGGCGGATCACCTGAGGTTGGGAGTTCAAGACCAGCCTGACCAACGTGGAGAAACCCTGTCTGTAGTAAAAAAATTCCTATCCACAAGCCAGGCATGGTGGTACATGTCTGTAATCCCAGCTATTTGGGAGGCTGAGGTGAGAGGATCATTTGAGCCTAGGACTTTGAATCCAGCCTGGACAACATAGCAAGACACCACCTTAAAAGAAAAAAGAAAAAGATCCTGTCTGCCCTTTCCCATATCAAAACAACTTTCTAATCTCTCTGCTGCCTGAAATCCACGCAACCCAGCCAGGCACTGGGATCAGGCCCAAATCAGGCCTGGGTGGCAGAGAAAAAGCCCAGCTAGCTTCAGCCTTCCATGTGGGCAGTTCTGGGTCCCAGCAGTTCATTCTCCAAGCATTAGGAGGCTGCCTCAATCTCCGGGGCTGGACAGAAAGACTAGGATTCTAGCGCAGGCTGGGCTGCCTACCTGCTGTGTGACCTTAGGCAAATTACTTAACCTCTCTGAGCCTCTGAGGTTTCATCATCTGAAAGCCCTCACATTGGAAGGTTGTTAAGTGTCTGCTATGGGGGAGGGCCTGCAGATATTTGCAGCTGTTACTTATCTTTGTACTGGGGCCCCAGGGATAGGTAAAGGGACACCAAGTCCCCAGGCGTCTCATCCCCAGATGCGTGATGCGCAATTTTCTTTGTTGGCCATTCCTGGGAAAATGGCCTCAAATGCCAAATCAGTGGGTCTGGTTTCTGGTGGCAGCCATTCCCTTGAGGTCAGTGAGGGGCCACCTGGCTAGGACTCGGGTTGGGAAAGGCCAGCTCTTTCTGAAGTCTCTGAGGGCAGAGATGGCAGCAAGCATTCCTTGGCTGAGGCCTGCATTGAACTAGAAGGCTGTTGATAAGGCTTATCATGGGGACTGCAGCCTAGCCTCGGATAGCTCCTCCATCCTTCTCCTCCCTGCCCCTGCCCTCCTGGTGGAGACACACCCACTGCCCAGGGGCTCCCCCACAAGCACACTGGCCCCCAAAGTTCTCTTGCTAACAGAGCCAAGGAGCCCCCAGCAAGTCTCTGACCCTCCAGTCTCAGTTTCCCCCTTTACGAAGTGAAAAGTTAGGGTACATGGCAGTTAAGGGCTGGGTCTGGTGGCCTGAGAAGAGTCAGACTTGTGATAGTGAAAATCACAACATCTGTGGGGCACCCACTGAACGCATGCTTGTCTTGAATCCTCGCAGCTTAGAAGTTATAAAGGACTCCATTTTGCAGATGGGAAAGCTGAGGCTCAGAAAGGTCAAGTCACTGGCTCAGGAAGGTCAGTCACACAGTGAGTCAGGGACACAGAAGGCTTCAAACCCCGACTGCAGAGTGAGGCTTTTCATCCCTATGTCCCTGCAGCAGGCGCATTTATCACAAGTGCCTGCCAGGGCTCAGTGTGTTCCTCTGTGAAATGGAATGGTAGATGAGCTGCTGGCTTGGGCAGCCTGTGATTTCTACTTTCTTTTTTATTTATTTTTCTTTCTTTCTTTCTTTCTTTTTTAAAACTTTTATTTTAGGTTCATGGGTACACGTGCAGGTTTGTTATATAGGTAAACTCGTGTCACGGGGGTTTGTGGTACCGATTATTTTGTCACCCAGGTGCTAAGTCTAGTACCCAAGCGTTATTTTTTCTGCTCCTCTCCCTCCTCTCACCCTCCACCCTCAAGGAGGCCCCAGTGTGTGTTGTTTCCCTCTATGCGTCCATATGTTCTCGTCATTTCTCTCCCACTTATAAGTGAGAACATGGGGGATTTGCTTTTCTGCTCCTGCGTTCGTTCGCTGAGGATAAGGCTGCCTTCTTTCCTCTTCTTTCACTCCAGATGTCCCCTTTCTTATTTCTCCTTCTCCAATTGTCTGGGCAGCGTAGTGTTAGGTAATTAGGGCCCTGAGTTTGGGGTTGGGTGAAGGGCTGCTGCTGACCTTCCCACCTCAGCAAGCTAATCTCTGTCCTCCAGTCTCCACCAACTTATCTCAAACCATAACCAACCTGCCCCGGTCACTTCCGCAGCCCCTGTAGGCAGCCACGGAAGAGCCCAGATCTCTGAGTACAGAGTGCACACAGCTTCCCTGTCCAAGCAACCAAGAAATTCCCGGGGCCCGGAGAAGCCTGAGGGACAATACCAGGAAACCAGGCCCTCCCCCAACTCCAGGCCTGGCCTGGGTCAGCGCCCGGCTCAAGGCCTGGCCAGCTGACTCTGCTCCTGTGTGGGAACATTGTAGCTTGTGATGGGAAACTGAGGCCCAGAGAAGCAGGAGAGCTGGCTAAGGTCACTCAGCGAATGGAGCATGTGGCCTGACCCCACACATTCTTAGATGTTGTGTGTTTTCACCCAGACAGTTTGAGACCCGACAGACTCCGTTATGGGGTCCAGGCCACACTAGACAAATGCCATCCTTGTCAGAGGGATAAAGTTCCCTCCAAGGTGGGGTCGGGGTTTGAGGGGGTGTGGCAGTCACAATGGGAGTGAAGTCAGCCTGGAGGAGTGAAGGGAACCCTTATGAGGCTGATAGAAGGCTTTACTCTGGAAGGTCCTGCCCACCCACCCCATCCCAGCCCGGCCACCATGGTCTGGGATAGTGGCCAGGACCCCCAGGCTCCCTGTGGTCATTTGGGCCCAGAGTGGCCCTCATGGTGCCTCTGGTCTCACAAAGAGGATGGTGTAGAACCGCAGCCAAGGAATTTGTGAAGTCAGCTTACGTGAGCAGCGGGTGGACCGTGGGACAGCCTGTCCTTCTCCTGTTCCCCCAGGATCTGGGAAGAAAGGGGTGTGTGAGTGTGTGTGCATGGCTGCCCCAAGATAGAGAGAAAGGGAAATGCGTTTCCTGACTTGTCCCCAAGGGTGACATGTCAACAGCGACAGTGATGATGGGATCTGGCCCAGGCCTGTTGCCACAGAGACCAGATCATTGATCCTCCGAGCAGGGACATTTCTGAGATTGGAAAGAGCACCCTTAAGAATTATGATGGGACCACAGGCGTAAACTGAGGCTGTCCTGAGCAAACTGTGATGCTTGGTCACCCCAGCACCACCCCTCTCAACCTCAGTTTCCAAATCTGTGAAGTTCTTCAATCGAACTAGACAATTTCTACATTCCACTCCAGTCCTCACGATCTGCTATTTGGCCTGAGAATTCAGACTTTTAATGGCCCCTTTTAATAACACTGACGATAGCTCACATTTCCTGCATGATTACTGTGAGCTGGTCACTGTTCAAAATGCTTTCTATGAACTCTCTCACGGAACCCTCTAAACAGAGCCAGGAGGCGTTCATGAAAACTGAACAAGACTAACTATTGTTTCCTGAGCACTTACTATACACCAGGTGCCTTGTGGGATGCTTTGTATGCCTGTCCTCTTTAAGCTTCACAACAACCTTATAGGGAGGTACTGCTACTGGCCTCATTTTACAGATGAGAAAACTGTGGCATAGAGAAGCTAAGTAACTTGTCGAAGTTCAGAGAGCCAGTTTCGAACCTGAGATTGGACTCTCCCAGGCATGTGGCCTAAGCCTGTTTTCTTCTTGGATAAGAAAGCAGATCAGAGAGGCCTGGTGATGTGGCCCAGGTCACACAGTGCTCAGGGGCAGAGTCAGGGAGCCAGACGTAGGGTGGGTCTGGGACCCCAGGCCTGCATGGCTCCTCCCCAAATGCCAGCTCTGGAAGTCAGGGAGCATTCAAAGGCTTCCAGTCGGCCCCTGGCACTTGGACAGGGCCTGAGAGGCCTGTGTCATGCCTGTTAGTTCATGGTTACATTTGAGCTGGGTGTGGGTGGGGCTGGCTGGCAGGGAGGAGGGGGCTGGGGGCTGGGAGGGAGCCCCTGGGTGAGCAGGCCCCAATAATGTCCACGGTGGGTGGGCAGAGCTGCAAGGAGGGAGATGGAAGAATAAAAATAAACTTTCCTGGGCACCCGCCCAGCCAGGCAGAGAACGTCCTCTGTCTTCTCTCCACCACCCATGTCCAGAAAGTGACCAGCCCCTCCTCGCCCTGCCCATGACTCAGACCTGCCTGTGGGGGCGGGCCCTCCCCTCCACCTGGAAAAGCAGCTGCTTTGAGAGTGTGCCCATCACTGTGCCTTTGAGAACCCGGCTGGGGAGTGTCCTCTTTGGGAAGAAGAGGCACCGTAGAAGACAACTGAGAGCTAAAGACCCACTTCAGATGCGACCTTTGCCACAAACTCCTAGGATATCCTTGGGAGACCGCTTTGCTCTGAGCCTCAGTTTTCTCACCTGGGCAAGGGGTCTCAAAGGAAGCAGGTGCTTCATGAAGTGTAAAAGGCTGTAGGAAGGTGAGGGGTCGTTATGACCAGCATCTCGGAACTGCCTATGGAGATGTGGGGGACAGCAGATGGGGGGCCTGGGGAGACAGACACCTTGAGGCTGTGTGGGCCAGCCAGCATCCTCCGCTGGCCTACAGCAAGGGGCTCTCAGAGGACCGAGGTCCCTTCCTGCTCAGCGTCTGGGCTTCCTTCTCTGAGAGAAAAAGCGGGACGCTAGCAGGTAGAGGATGTAGGCAGGAAAGGAGGGCCCTAGGGCATGTTGCCTAATCCTTGTCTATGCTACACAAATGGGGCCAGGTGATCCCAGAGAGAGGGATGGGCTTGTCCCGAGTCACATCATTGCAGAGCAGTGGAACTGAGCCTTGGCTCTGGGCCACATGGCCCCTCTCTCAGGAGGACTCTTTAGTTGAGGACATGCTGTATGCCTGTGGCTTTTTATGCATTCCCACAAAACCACCCTAAAAGGCTGGGGTTCTGAGCCCCCCTTTACAGATGAGGAAACTGAGGCTCAGGGAGACAAACTTCTTGCCAAACTTATTTCAGTGGTTAGTGGCAGAACTAGGCCTGGAGCCCAAGCTGGGGGACCCCACGTAGGTGCCCTGCCCTGCCAGCCCTGCTACCCCTAGCTCACGGCTACTGCTTCTCCCTCCACAGGCCCAGCCCCTAGCCAGGAGGCCGGGACCAAGGCCCGTTTTCCACTAAGAGATGCTGTGGAGGAGGGTGACTGGACAGCCACCGTGGTGGACCAGCAAGACTGCACCCTCTCGCTGCAGCTCACCACCCCGGCCAACGCCCCCATCGGCCTGTATCGCCTCAGCCTGGAGGCCTCCACTGGCTACCAGGGATCCAGCTTTGTGCTGGGCCACTTCATTTTGCTCTTCAACGCCTGGTGCCCAGGTGAGCCACACGCCATCCACTCACAGCGTTGGGGTGGGCAGGGCTGGATCCGCCCATGGAGGAGGCTACTGGAGGTGAGAAGAACAGGGGATAAGAGACACACATCAAAGTGGACTGAGTGAGGCCCACTGTGCTCCAGCCTCACAAAACCCTCAAGACATGAGTACTCCTGTTATCCCTGTTTATAGAAACAAAATGAGGCCGGGCTCAGTGATCCATGCCTGTAATCTCGGTTCTTTGGGAGGCTGAGGAGGGAGAATCACTTGAGCGAGCCAGGAGTTAAAGACCAGCCTGGGCAACAGAGCAAGACCCTGTCTCTACAAAAAAAAATTTTAACAGTAGCTGGGTGTGGTAGTGCACGCCTGTGGTCCCAGCTAATTGGGAGGTTGAGGTGGGAGGATCACTTGTGTCCAGGAAGTCGAGGCTGCAGTGAGCTATGATTATACCACTGCACTCCAGGCTGGTTATCAGGGTGAGACCCTGTCTCTAAAAAAATAAAAATAAAAAGAAGCAGAATGATATGCCCAATTCCACATATTTACCAAGGGACTTCACTCGCTGTTTGAGGCCTGTATATTCCCAGACCACTATGAACTGGGGCTTAGCGGTGACTTGGTTTCAAAAGCCCCACATCAGGAATAGGGTGCCCAGCTGATGCCTAGGCCCAGGCACTGTGTCCTGGTTCTGTTTCATGGGGCCCTGTTTTTTGTGTGTTTTTTGTTTTGTTTTGTTTTGTTTTTGAGACGGAGTTTTGCTCTTGTTGCCTGGGCTGGAGTGCAATGGTACAATCTCAGCTCACTGCAACCTCTGCCCACCAGGTTCAAGCAATCCTCCTGCCTCAGCCTCCCCAGTAGCTGGGATTACAGGCATGTGCCACCACGCCTGGCTAATTTTTGTATTTTTAGTAGAAACGGAGTTTCACCACATTGGCCAGGCTGGTCCCGAGCTACCGTCCTCAGGTGATCCACCCGCCTCGGCCTGCCAAAGTGCTGGGATTACAGGCGTGAGCCACCGTGCCCGGCTGAGGTGGGAGGCCCTGTTTTAAATCTCACCCAGACTGGTTTGGGGAAGGGAAACCCGGAGGTGAGGTTGGGGGGAGGGCTGGGGGAGGGGGGTGAGTAGGAGCAGTTAGACCGTCCAGCTGCCTCCTTATACACTATCTCAGTCGGGCCTCTCAACAATCCCAAGGGGGAGATGACACTTCCCCACTTCACACACAGGAAACTGAGGCTCAGAGTGGTGAAGTGGCCTTTGGAATCTCTTTGAATAAATAAGTGGACAACCTTGGACAAAACTAGAAAGTCAGAGGGGAGAGCTTGGAACAAAGGAAACTGACTTGAGCAAGGGGGAGGAGGCAGGGGTTGCCAGTCACCTCCCCAGGCCTCGATTTTCCCATCTAACTAGCAAGGCAGTCAGATCTAATGATCTGTTTCCTTCCTATTCTAATGAAACAAAGCAGGGAAAGAAGCATCATGGGCCAGGCCCCTCCTGGGAATCGGGTGTCCCTCTTCAAAAGGGCAGAAATTCTGGCCTCCTGGCTGTTAGACAACCACCTTCTTGCTGGCCCACTGCTTTATCTTTTTTCTTCTCTATTTTGAGGCATTTTATATTTGAGCAGAAAGCTTTTAAAATTTTTCACCTTTCCATATTTTGATTTTTATTTCCCAGTATAACAGTAAACCATGACAGCATTCTCTTTAGAAAAGCTTCAAGCCCAGGTGCAGTGTAATCCCACACCTGTAATCCCACACCTGTAATCCCGGCACTTTGAGAGGCTGAGGCAGGGGGATCACTTGAGGCAGGAGTTCAAGACCAGCCTGGCCAACATGGCGAAACCCACCGTCTCTATAAAAAATACAAAAATTAGACCGATGTGATGACACACATCTGTAGTCCCAACTACTCAGGAGGTTAAGGTGGGAGGATCGCTTGAGTCCAGGAGGTTGAGGCTGCAGTTAGCTGGGATTGTGCCACTGCACTCCAGCCTGGGTGACAGAGCAAGACTCTGTCTCCAAAAAAGGGGAGAGAAGGGGAGGGCTTCAAGACTACAGAGAAATGGCCTCCCCCTTTGACCCCTCCTCCTTGGGGGACACCATTGTTAGATATTTTGCGGGGGCTCACCTCCTTAGGTCAGTCTGTATGTGCCTGGAGAAATTGCTGTATTTTATAGGTCTCTGTCTCTCTATCACAAACATAAAAGGATCCCACTGTATACATTAACCTACAACTTGGTTTTTTCCCCTCACAATACACCGTGAGGCTCTGTCCACATTGGTCTGCATACATCTGCTCATTCATTCTTTTTTTTTTTTTCTTTTTTTTGAGACCAAGGCTCTCTCTGTCACCCAGGCTGGAGTGCAGTGGTGCAATCTCGCCTCACTCCAACCTCTGCCTCCCGGGTTGAAATGATTCTCATGCCTCAGCCTCCCGAGTACCTGGGATTACAGGCATGCACCACCACGCCGGGCTAATTTTTGTATTTTTAGTAGAGACAGAGTTTCACCATGTTGGCCAGGCTGGTCTCAAACTCCTGATCTCAGGTGATCCGCCCACCTCGGCCTCCCAAAGTGCTAGGATTACAGGCGTGAGCCACCACGCCCGGCCACATCTGCTCATTCTTTCTAAGGGCGTTGAGTGTCCTGTTTCTTGCCCATGTGGATGGTCCAGCCCCCACTGATGGACATGAGGTTGTGCCTGGAGGCTCATGGCACGCAGGGACCATGCGTCAACGAGCACCCTTGCTTCATACCCTGTGGCCAATGGAATGATTTCTCGGGACAGAAGTGGCCTTACTGGATCCCCCCCCCCGCCCCATAGGTTTGTTTTGAATTTTAGTCAATCTGCAGAGGGTAGCAACTAGTTGGCAGCTCTGCCAACAGGACAGGAACACGCCGGTGTCCCCACCCTCGTCCACACCACAAGGTTTCAGAGTTCAGGGAATGGGAAGCGTGGTTCTGGGGGATGGCCCCCTTCCTCCTGCTTGGCCTCACCCGGCGGCGGGTTGGAGTGGCGGTCAGCCAAGCGGCACAGTGACTAAAGTGACCCACATCCCGGGGCGGGAACTGTGGAGCTGGTGATGCAGAGGCAGGAAGTTGGGCTGGGGTGAGCGCAGGGGCGCTGCGGGAGGAAATCAGTCTGATGGGTGGGAAAGGGCCGGGTCTGCCTGGAAAATGGGACCCTCCTGTATGTCAGTTCCAAGACCAATATGATCGAGTGCCAGTTATATGCAAGGCTTCACGTCCCCAGTGCCCCCACCTTTACCAGATGGGGACCTGAGCTGGGGATGTCACAGTCTTGGCATCCTGAGCTGGGGTGGGGACAATTCAACAAGTGCTGACACTCATTCTAATGTTGAAACACTGTGGGTTCTTCTTTCTCTTTCATTCTTATCCCACACCCCCCGGCTGCTGCAGAGCCATTATAGTTCATTGACTTCAAGGTTAATTTTTATAGAAGTTTCCAGAGCCAAAGATCAGAATACACAAGAGACTTGGCCTCTTTCCCATTTTTCCTCACTACGATGAAAGTCAGGGCTGCTGGTTGCTGCAGACGGGCATGACAAAGCCCAGGGGTCTGAGGGGCCGGCAGCTGCTTCCTTCCCAGGCCAGCTTCTCCATTAGACCCGGCAGGCACTGTGCCTGGGGCCTGAGAAACTCTTAGGGGCCCGTGAACATGTTTTAATGTAATTTAAAATCAGGAGAAAAAAATGAACATTTAAGTTGAACAATAGGTTTTAATATGTAATATTGAGATAGCTGTAATTAACCAAGGCAGTCATAACATTCAATTACCTTTTTTCTAATGGAGGAAGGAATGCATGAAGTCAAGAGTGCCTGGGGCTCACCAAAGTCATAATGGGGCTCCAGATTGCCCCTTCTTGGCCTCAGTTTCTTCACCGGTTAAGTGGAGTCAGTAAAGCCAGCCTGACCTTTGGGCTCCTACCATCTTGCCCCAACTTCCTCAGCTCCTTCTTCTCCCCTCACTGGCCACAGACAACTAAATGCCCTGCATTTTCCAGCAGCCAAAGCTTTGTGCTTTCTGGTCCTCTGCTTAGAATGCTACCCTCCAGGTTCCAACTCTCTAAAACTTAATCATTTTTTAAGACAACATTCAGATGCCACCTCCTCCAGGGAGCCCTCTGTAACTCTCTCAAGCTGGACAGGACCCCACCTCTCCTGAGCTGCAGGAACCCTTTCTTGGCCTTCCCCTCTGCTACTGAGTTCTCTCTGCCTTGAATCATGCGCCTCCCTCACGCTACCTCAGGGCTTTCGTTTCCAAAGCACCTTTCAGATCTGCATTTTGGGCTGACACAGTGAGGTGTTAAGGTGGGCAGAGAAGGCAAAGTAGCCTACCCAGGGTCACACAGCAAGTGAGAATCAGGAGTTTCCTGACTCCCGGTCCAGTGCTCCTGTGTCCTTAGTCTCAGTTTTCCTAGCTATAAAATATTCCTGAGCCTTAGTTTTCTGGTCTTTAAAATGGGGCTTTCAAGGATCCCTTCCTCATAAGGCTCTTCTGGAGATTAAATTTATTAATACAGGTCATACATTTATCACAGGTCCTGGCACACAGTGAGTGTTGAAGAAATGGCAGCCTTTGTTGTCACTAACCGATAACACCTTATCTCATTGACGTGGGATTATTCATTAATGGTTACTTTTTCTAATTAAAAGAAGGATGGATCCCTGAGACGCTGGCTTGGCCTAGGGAATTGGCACCCTTGACTCCAGATTTGCAGGGACCCTGGGCCTCCGCAGACCCAGAGCTGAGGTCCCTTTCTTCCTGCCTGCAGCGGATGCTGTGTACCTGGACTCGGAAGAGGAGCGGCAGGAGTATGTCCTCACCCAGCAGGGCTTTATCTACCAGGGCTCGGCCAAGTTCATCAAGAACATACCTTGGAATTTTGGGCAGGTAAGGGCCACACCCTGTCTCTCCCAACCATCTCAGGCCCTTCTGTGTGCCCGGCCCTGTGTCTGGGGGCAGCCAAAGCTGCACAGGTGGGAGTGAGTCACAGAGTCACCCACTTCATGCTGTCAGGGATGCAAAGGCCCTGAAACAGCTGAAGGTTCAGAGAGGGCCAAGGCTGCCCTGAGGTCACACAGCAAAGGCGGCAGCCTTGGATTCAAGGTGGAGAAAGAACTAGGAGAGCCTTTGGGAACTGTGAAGCTGGTTGGTATCCTGGGAGGGGGAAGAGGGAACAGTAAAGCTCATGTATTGAAACAATAGGCAGTACTTGGAGTTGTGCTGGGGTGAGCCCTGTGTGCTAGGCATGTGCTAAGAAGAGGCTTTAAACCCTCACCCAGATCAGTGGTTCTCAGGATCACTGAGAGTCTTAAAACACTAGGGGTTGAGAATTTGCTCTTCAAACAAGTTCCCAGGTGATGCTGATGCTGCTTGTCTAATAACCATACTTTGGGAACTGCTGATCTGGTTGTATCTGCTAGCTGCTGCTGCATAACAAGCCTGAAATTTAGGGGCTAAAAACAACAATCACTTATTATTTCTCACAAGTCTGTGGGTCAGCCATGCATGGCTGTCTAGGCTGGGCTTGGCTGGAGTCAGTAAAGCCAGCCTGACCTTTAGGCTCCTACCATCTGGCTCAGCCAATGGCTCATCTGTTTCACGTGGTTTCTCACTCCCCAGTGGGCCAGCCTGGGCTGGTTCTCTAAACTGGTGATGATAAATTTCATTTATCATCCAGCCACCTGTACAAATTCTTGAGACTCTGCTGGGAAAACTCACAAAGCAAGAACCATTGCACCCCTGGCCCCTCAACCTCCTGGTGTGTTAGGAGGTATTGGCCTCCTGGGGTGGGGTTCACCCTGAGGCTTCCCCCAGCAGCCTCTGGGTCAGGTTTCAATGTTCAATGACCCTCTAGGGAGGGTCCTACCCTGAAACCATAGGGAAATCTTCCCTGTATGATCTCAGGCTTTGACCAAAGTTTTCTCATCTGAATATCATGATGATAATTGCAAAACTAACTGCTCAGCAACCCCGTAGCCTGCTGTGGGATATAAATGAAATGGTGGTATGACCGTGATGCATAAAATACATCAGAAAATGAATTGGCTCTGATTTTTCATGGCTTTTTATTCTCTCCTGAGAAGGAGAACAAAGTCAAGTTCTTCCTTTATTTCCCAGGGTCCTGTTTTTTTTTTTTTTTTTTTTTTTGAGGCGGAGTCTCGCTCTGTTGCCCAGGCTGGAGTGCAGTGGTGCAATCTCGGCTCACTACAAGATCTGCCTCCTGGGTTCACGCCATTCTCCTGCTTCAGCCTCCCGAGTAGCTGGGACTACAGACGCCCACCACCACACCCGGCTAATTTTTTGTATTTTTTTAGTAGAGACGGGGTTTCACCGTGTTAACCAGGATGGTCTCGATCTCCTGACCTCGTGATCCGCCTGCCTCAGCCTCCCAAAGTGCTGGGATTACAGGCGTGAGCCACCGCGCCCGGCCCACAGGGTCTTGTTTTGTATCCGGTCTTGTGCTGGGCTGTGGGACATGGCCTTTGCAAAGCTTCTGGAGGTGATCACAGTCCAGGAAGATGAGACCTAGAGGAAGGAAGGAATAACAGCCTATGGGGATCAGGGGGTACTTCTTGAAGTAGGGAATATTTGAGCTGGGCTTTGAAGAACAAATAGGAGTTTGCCATGCAAGGAGGTGTGTGCACGACATACTAGGCCAAGGGAACTATGCAAGTGAAAGCTCAGAGGTTGGAAAGTTTATGTCGTGCCTGAGAGGTATATTGTAGCTTGGGGCATACCTTGTGTGTGAAGGAGCCCCAAGAGATGAGGTGGGAGAAGCCAGCAGTGTCCAGTTTGTGGAACAGCCCTGAACATTAGGCCGATGGCAATAGGGAGCCACAGAGGGTTCACACCGTGGAAGGCTGTTGTGCAGCTTGGAGGGAGATCTGGCCCAGGAAAGGACCACAGAAGTGGGGGGAAAAGAGCAGACAGAAGGGCCCCTGGAGGTGGGTGGTCCAGTGGAAGGTGGCAAGAAGGGGTCCTGCTTTTGAGAAAGATGACATTTGAATGGCAAGGATGAGGAGGTGTGAGCCCTGCAGAGAGCAGCGGGAAGAGCATTCTGAGCAGAGAAATAGCACATGCAAGGGCCCTGGGGCAGTGAGCCTGGGCAGAGTGAGTGTGGGTGTGAGTGGTGAGAGATGAGGTCAAAAAGGGGATGGGAGCAGATCATGAAGGGCCTTGAAGTTTGCACGGTGAAGTCTAGGTTTTACTGTGGATACGGTTGAAACAGAAGAGTGATGGGACTGGATTTCTGTATTTAGAATCTGTCTCAGTTCCCATCAGAGCAGCGTGTGTGGGCTGGGTTGGAGGGGGACGAGGGGGCTGACATCAGCTCTGCAGGGTGGGTCACGCCTTGGGGAAGTGGGAGATTTGGCTGAGCAAGAGGAGAAAGGGACAGTGACAGGGCCCAAGGTGACTCTGAGGGGGAGCCCCAGGGACACCGGGCTGCCCACTCCATGGGCTCCTGCTCCAGATTTCCAGGTTCCCCCAACCAGGCCCTGGATGAAAATTGTTACCCTCTTCGTCACACACTCATGGCTCACCCAGTCATTGTCCCACTCCATTCCCTCCTGTGCCAAGAGAAGCTGCCACCAGAGAGATTTGGTAGACTCGGCCGGAGTGTCCCAGTCTGCTGTGTGGGACAGAGTGGGAAACAGCTGCTGGAGGCTTCAACGCAGGCTTCCTGGAGGAGGTGCCTTCCCAGCTCCCTCTTTCTCCTCTTGTTTCCTCTGACACAGTTTGAAGATGGGATCCTAGACATCTGCCTGATCCTTCTAGATGTCAACCCCAAGTTCCTGAAGAACGCCGGCCGTGACTGCTCCCGCCGCAGCAGCCCCGTCTACGTGGGCCGGGTGGTGAGTGGCATGGTGAGTGAGTGGCATGGCCCATCCAGGGGCGGGGCCTACAGGGGGCTCCCGCAGGCCTCTCCCTCGCAGTGGAGACACAGGCTAGGCGCGGTGGGGGACCCGGGAGATGGGTAAGTCTTGGGGAAAAGACCTTATATTGGAAAGATAAGATTTGCACAGATGAGGGTGATGCTATGGGGTCCCCCAGAGCAATTAATTTATTCATTTCTTCAGTAAATATTTATCAAGTACCACTTATGTCCTAAGCACTGGGGAGACAGCTGTGTGCAAGTCCTGTGTGATCTCTAGCTTTATGGAGACTGTGTTATAGAGGGGAGGGGAGGGGAGGGGAGACAGACACTAACCAAACTACCATATGAACGAGCAGGCAGTTCACATGGTTCATAAATGATGGTGCACGCTCTGAAGGAACCCGAGGTGTGAGAGCGTTGGACTGCAGGGCCAGGCTCAGGGAGGGGCTGAGGGGCTCCCTAAGGTGGTACCCAGGAGAAGGGCATTCCAGGCAGAGGGCACAGCTGTGCAAAGGCCCTGAGAAGGGAGCGACTTTGGCAGGTTTGAGGAAGGAAGAGAGGCCAGTGTGCCTGGAGTGGAGTGAGCAGGGCCCGTGGGTGCAGAGGAAGCTGCAGAGGTGGGCAGGGGTGAGACCAGAAGGGCCTCTTGGATCATGGTCAGGAGGCTGATTTTATTCTCGAGGTAATGGGAGTTTAGGGGGAACGACACAATCTGGGGTGGGGGGCCCAAGCGGGTCTTTGTAAAACTTAGATCACACCATGTCACTCCCGAGCAATCCTGTGTTCATAGGACAGAGTCACATCCCCAGTATCGCGTTCAAGTCCTTGACCCTGCCCCACCTCCTTCTTCCCCATCTCCCTCCTGTCCCCCGGCTCCAGCCCCCACCATCTGCCGCACACCAGTCTGTCACACGATGGCCCCTTTGCACCTGCTCTTTCCTCACCCTGGAGCTCCCCTCCCCAGCTTTCACCCCCTGCTGTACTCAGGCTCACCCAGGCGGCACAGCCGACACCCCATCCCAGGCTCAGTCCCCGTGCTGCCCCACTGGTTGCAGGTCAACTGCAACGATGACCAGGGTGTGCTGCTGGGACGCTGGGACAACAACTACGGGGACGGCGTCAGCCCCATGTCCTGGATCGGCAGCGTGGACATCCTGCGGCGCTGGAAGAACCACGGCTGCCAGCGCGTCAAGTATGGCCAGTGCTGGGTCTTCGCCGCCGTGGCCTGCACAGGTGAGCTGCACGCTGGGATGTGGGTCATGAGCCCTGGGAGGGGGCACGAAGAGCACTGGAGTAGGAATCAGGACATCCCTGCCCTGGTCCTGCCCCCTGCCACCAACACTCTCAATGCGCTATGTGGCCTAGAGCCTGTGACCACCCTCTCCGGTCCTTTATCCAATAGCCATCCCTCCAGTGGTTGTTAGGATCAAGGGCTATCATTGGAGAGACTGCATGGGCTCAGGGCTGAGAACTTGGGCACTGGAGCCCACGTTCTCAAAAACTCAGGATTTTTAACTTGAGTTAAAAACCCCCTCCCTCCCACCACTTGCTCTGTGACCTTGAGCAAATGACTTCTTTCTGAACCTCAGTTTCCTCGTCTGGAAAATGGGGACAACATCAAGACCTTCCTCCTAGAGTGGGTGTGACATGAAGCTACTCAGCACAGAACCTAGCCCAGTGTCACTCTCGGCAAATATTAGCCAGTAATAACTGGATCCTAACAGTAATATCAGTGTCAAGAAAGAAAGCATGTTCTAAAATGTAGAGGGGGAATATCGAGCAATTTAAAACCAAAAAAGTAAAATAAATCTAAAACAAAAATCTTCAAAATTTAAGGCCAGAAAATGTCGATGATTGTTGCCAGGCTGATGATGGTGCTTATGAGAATGGGTTAGCATCACATGCTGGCTAAGAACGTAGACTCAAGACATGAGGATTGCTTGAGGCCGGGAGTTTGAGACCAGCCTGGGCAATATAGTGAGACCTTGTCTCTACAAAAAAATAAAATAAAATAAAAATTAGCAGGCATGGTTGTGTGTCTGGAGTCTTGGCTACTCAGAAGGCTGAGGCAGGAAGATCGCTTGACCCCTGGAGGTTGGCTGCAATGAGCTATGATTGCACCATTGCACTCCAGCCTGGGCAACGGAGCAAGATCCTCTCTCAAAAAAAAAAAAAAAAAAAAAAAAAGAGAGAGAGCACAAATTCTGAAGTCAAGGCCTGGGTTCAAATCCTAGCTCTGCTTCTTACCAGCTGTGTGTCCTTAGGTAAATCACTTAACTCCTCTGAACCACAGTTCCATTGTATGTAAAATGGGCACAACGGTAGTACCTTTATACTGGGATGGTTGTGAGGATTAAATGAGTTAATATGTGTGAGGTAGCTGAGCGTGGTGGTGGTGCACCTGTAGTCTTAGCTGTTTGGGAGGCTGAGGCAGGGGGATCACTTGAGCCCAGGAGGTCGAGGCTGCGGTGAGTCATGATTGCACCACTGTACTCCAGCCTGGGTGACAGAGCGAGACCTCATCTCTAAATAAATAAATGAATGTGGGAAGTGCTTAAAATGATTTTGGGTGCATAATAGAAAATACTTATGTGATGATACTATTTATTGTCACGACTATTATTATTACCAGGCTCAATCTAAAAGGCTGGTCTGGGGCTTCCAGCTTTTCTGATTCCAAAACCAGTGCTAAGGCCCAGGAAAGGGTGCCTGGCAGGGCCCCCAGCACATCCTCCACACCAGCAGGCTGGGTCAGGGCAGCCTAACCTAGGTTCTCAGCTCGGCTGTCCTTGCCTTCTGACTCCTGCCTCTCTGCCTGGGACTGCCTGTTCCCCGTGACCTCTGAATTCCTTTTTCTTGTGGAAACTCCTTCATGCCAGACACTTCCCTCTGAGAGCCCTAAAACACCTCTTTTCAAAGAAGCCCATGGGTTTTCCTGGAAAAACCCCGAAATCCAAGACCTGGATCCCCAGGCTCACCGGCAGAAACCCTGGTCATCCTGGTCACCCTGGGCTGTGGCCGCCTGAAGATTGAGCAGCAGATCCTGCCCCTCAGCTGCCCACTGCAGGGCTGTGTTCTGGTCCCCGCAGCCTCTTCCCAGGCTGTGTAGGATGGAGCCAGGGAAAACTTGGCCAAGAAAAGGGCTGTCTGACCACTGTGGCCGTGGAGTTCACGTGGGGAGCCAATGGTGAATTGGCCCATGAACTCTGGAGCTGGACTGCCTGGGTTTGAATCCAGCTCTGCCACTAACCCCTGGGTGGACTTGGGCAAGAGAATTGATGCCTCCAAGCCTCAATTTCCTCATCTATAAAATGGAGACAATGGTGACTGATCTCATTCATAGGAAGCTCTTAATACCAGGGAGAGATCACTTAGCACAGTCTCTGGCTCCGGTTAGGCTTGGGTTTGGGGATTTCCAGGGGAGCCTGGCATTCCAGCTTTCTTAGCCGGATCCCTCACTGTACTTCCTCAATGTCCATGAATCAGCCAGCACTGATGGACGACGTTTGCCGTAACGGGCACCATGACACACTGTGCTGTTCCCGAGCACCCCCTCAATGCTTGCTCTGGGAATGGGCAGACAAGGCTGTGCCCACACCCGCGGCCTCTCTCTGAATCACCACAAATCCCCACAAGCTGCTATTATTAGCTTGTCTTACTGAGGAGGAAATGGAGGCTCAGAGAGGGGAGTGGCTTGCCCAAGGTCATACAGCTGGTGAGCAGCAGGGTCAGTCTCTGATCCAGGTGTGCACGGTGCTGGGGCAGCCTCCTGTTAGACTGATGAGGAGGCCTCCCGGGACACCACCCCTGGGGCAAGAGTGGCACTTGGCTCCCTGGAAAGCAGAGACAGACCTCCCCCGTCCTCCGGTCTGTCCTCAGGCCCACTGCATGGTGGGATAAGACCTGTGGTTAGGACACCAGCCTTCACTGAGGGCAGCCTTAGGGCTGAGCCCTGCCCAGGCCTCAGGGGGACAGAAACCAGGCAAGAGGGGGAGGTCATAGCTGTTCCTTCCTCCTTCCTCGAAGCTCCTACAAATCTCCTGGCAGGAATCCAGGGCCAACCAGTAAGCTCTTACCCTGGCCTATCGATGGTGGCCCCAGGGCAAAGGTCGCATCCCTTCTCCCCCACTCCCAAACTCAACTTCAATCAAAACTAAAAGTAAAACAAAAGTCCCACAGATTACCTTATTACGCCTAATCTTGTTTCTCTTCATTTTTTAGATATTTTTTTCTGGGAATCTGTTACTTTTACAATACACATAAAAAGCACATTTTTAAAATGAGAGAGTAAAAGCACCCATAATTCCGTCTGCCAGGAGCACCCAGTGGGCCGTGTGGGTGAGATCCACACCGGGATTTTCCTCCCTCCCCTGTGCTCCTCGCCTCTCTGAGCTGAGCTCAGCTTGCAGATGCCAGTCAATGTCCTGTTGCTGTTTAACCTGTCATTGCAACATCAGCCCCTTTCCCAGCAAACAGGGCGTTGGCAGGTATGCAGGGCCCTCCCTCCGGACAAGTCTGAGGACCCTGATCTGTGCTGCGACCTATTTATAGGGCCACGTGCATCCGTGTTCTTGTACATTGGGAATGATGATGAGTCCTCAGTGGCATCACTAATGCACAAAGAGATGGAACCAAGGCCCAGAGACATGAAGGGACTGGTCCCAGGTCACACAGCTGAAAGCAGCTGGGTCTCCCGACCTCTGTGCCCTCCTCTGCCTGTTCTGCTGTTTGAGTCTTTAAGTCCCTATCTTGGGGAGAGTCAGTCATTCAATCACTCCTTCCCTCCCTCCCTCTTTCCTCTCCTCTCTCCTTCCTCCACTCCTTCATCCCATTTGACAAAATAGTCAATGACAGGCCTGTGCTGGGCTCCAGGATCTAACATAAGACAGATCCCTCACTGGCCTTGGAGGACTAATTAAAGAATCCCTCACATGCCTGTACACTGGAAGGATGAAGGATCTCCAGCCGTGCTATGAATGCAAATGATGGGGCAACCTGAACCTGGCAGGCAGCCTTCCAGGCAGAGGGAATTGCAGACACCGATGCCTTGAAGCTGGCAGAGGCAGAGCATGCTGGAGGCCAGTGTGGAGGAGCACAGCGTGCGAGGAGGGGTTCAGGGGCCAGACCCTGCAGGGCCAAGGGCCATGGCCAGGGCACTGGCCTTGACCTCAAGGGCCATGGGGAACCAAGGACAATTGATCACAGGAGTGGTGACATCAGATTTGTACTTTATTTCATTTTGAGATGGAGTCTCACTCTGTCGCCCAGGCTGGAGTGCAGTGGTGCAATCTTGGCTCACCACAACCTCCGCCTCCCAGGTTCAAGCAATTCTCCTGCCTCAGCCTCCTCCTGAGTAGCTGGGATTACAGGCGTGCACCACCATGCCTGGCTAATTTTTGTATTTTTAGTAGAGACGGGGTTTCACCATATTGGCCAGGCTGGTCTCAAACTCTTGACCTCAGGCCCCCCTCGGCCTCTCAAAGTGCTGGGATTATAGGCGTGAGCCACCACGCCTGGCCGGGGTTTGTATTTTAGAGTCTCCTTCTGGCAACTGTGATGTGAGGGGCATAGAATGGACATGGGGTGACCAGAGAGGTGGGCGCCATTGTCCCGGCAGGAAGGGCTGGCTCATGTTCTCAGCACTTGGACAGCAGGTACAGTGTTCCCTGGAATGCAGATGGGCAGGTGGAGGCCCAGAGCAGGGCGGATGTCTCCAGGACCTCACCCCGCTTTCCACTCCTCTCCAACAGTGCTGAGGTGCCTGGGCATCCCTACCCGCGTCGTGACCAACTACAACTCGGCCCATGACCAGAACAGCAACCTTCTCATCGAGTACTTCCGCAATGAGTTTGGGGAGATCCAGGGTGACAAGAGCGAGATGATCTGGTGAGGTGGGGGCCAGGGTGGGATCGGAGCCCAGTAGGGAGGGCCCCATGGAGAGGAAACCTTGGAGGGCTTCTTGGAGGAGGTCACATTTGAATTGGGCCTTAAAAGTTCAGCAGTATTTGAGCAGGCTTGGGGAAGGCCTAGAGGGAAAGTCAACCACATACATGATGGGGCCTCAGGAAGAATCATGCTGCAAATGTTGTCGGGAGTCTGGAATGCCACATTAGGGGGCCCAGGCTTGATTCCAAAAGCAATAGGTTGTCACTCAAGGATTCAGAGTGGGAGAGGGCGGGGCTGACAACTGCCAGGAGGGCTAGAGGGGAAGAGATGGGCGGGGGGCTGGGGCGTGGTCCAGGTGGGGAGTGATAAGCCCTGAACGGACAGAAAAGAAGGGATGGAGCCAAGAAATTAGGAGGTCAAAGGGGCCACTGAGAGGGGCAAGGAGGGGAGAGGAGTTGAGAAGGGCTCTGAGGTGTAGGAGTGGGCGCCTTGGCTAGAGAGGGTGCTGTGAGATGGGCCCCCGTGGGGGGAAGAACAAGGCAGTGGGGAGACACCCTGGGCTCAGTTTGGGACGAGGCGAGCTTGCATCTGGGGACATGAATGCATGGTCTGCCCGTGGGAGGTGGCGATGAATGTTGCTCATGTTCTGCTTCATTCCCGCCCCCCTATCCCCCTCAGGAACTTCCACTGCTGGGTGGAGTCGTGGATGACCAGGCCGGACCTGCAGCCGGGGTACGAGGGCTGGCAGGCCCTGGACCCAACGCCCCAGGAGAAGAGCGAAGGTGCGTGGGCGGGCACTGTCGCGTCAAACAGATGGGGAAGACGAGGCTTGGAGAGTTAAAGTGACTCAGCTGGAGGGCGGCAGAACTAGGAGCTCACCCGGAGACCACTGATGGGTCCACAGAAGGGTGGGGGACCTCACTTACATCTTAATAACACACTTCTTGATAAATCTCAAAAATAATTCACGTGCATTGCGGAAAGCAGGAAATACAGAGAAGCTCAAAGAAAAAAATCAAATAGCATCTTTGTCTCCTCCCTCTAAAATAAGCAGCATTAACATTCACACGAGCTTCCACTGATTTCAAATCGTGTATTTGTATGCGGGTGTATATGTGTGTGTTTATATATGTATGTATATAAACACACATATATATATGTAGTACCTGTGTGTTTGAAAGAGAGAGTACACTAAGGCACAATTTTGTGATGCATATGGACACTTTCTAGGAATATTTTTAAATGTATAAAATATAATACATAGCGTTACAAAGAAAACCAATTACATTAAAATACAGTTGTCACAAGTTTTAAAAAATGAATTTATGATATAATAACATATGCTTCTTTATAGAACAAGATCTAGCGGTAGAGTCAGTAAGTTCCATAATATAGTTGTAGAGATAATTTATGAGCATAAATTAATTTCCTGCCATCTGGGACAGCTGTAAGGTTGTAATGACCACGCCTGTGGTTCTTATGAGTGACAAGTCCTAAGTGCTCCTCAGGCTGCTATGGTCATTTCCTGCTTTTGCAATTGAAGAAAGTGCTATGGTGAAAACAAAGATACCCTTTTTTCCCCATCATAGGGTTCATAGACCCCTGAATTCTGTTGGTAGTGCCTTGGGGGGATCCGTGGGCCCTGGTTTAAGACCTCCAGCGGCATGGAACATTTTTTCCCAGCTCTGTCCACTTCTGGATAAAGCATTGGCATTTCTCCAGCAGATAGTTTTCTGTGATTTGAATTTTTATTTAATGTGACCGTGGTCCATCACATGGATGTGCTAGACTGTATCTATCCAGCCTCTAGTCCTCAGCATTGGAAGTCTGCGGACAGTGTGGGGCGGTTATCAACCACACTTACGTAAACATCAGGCACCCGTATTCACTTGGAGAACACACACGCCCTGGGGCTGGCCCCATGCGGGGCACTGAGCTCCACTCTCAGTATGAGCAGGAAACGAGACAGATGTCCTCCTTGCTAACATGTTGCCTGTCCTTGGCTCCATAATTTCCTCAGGATGTCTGGGATACATTTCCATTTTATTTATCAAATACTTGCATAGCATTTAGTATAGGCTATGAGCTTTACATCTATAATTCAGGAATGCTCATTAGGTGGTCCAGATCTTATCTCCACATGAAACTGCCGCTTCGAGAAGTTAGTGACTGGCCCAAAGTCACCAGCTAATAACAGGCTGAGCTGGGATTTGAACCTTAAAAGTTGTGCTCCAGAGCCCCTATTCTGAACCCTTGCCCTGTGGTGCCCTCCTGGAAGTGGAGTCCTTCCGTCAGAGGGCCGCGTGGTCTTGAGGTTTTTGGCTACATGTGATTGAATTGTGGAGCGTTTTAGAGGACACCACCCAACCTTCACCCAGGCCCATCCCTTCCCCTTTCTACCTCTGCCAGGGACGTACTGCTGTGGCCCAGTTCCAGTTCGTGCCATCAAGGAGGGCGACCTGAGCACCAAGTACGATGCGCCCTTTGTCTTTGCGGAGGTCAATGCCGACGTGGTAGACTGGATCCAGCAGGACGATGGGTCTGTGCACAAATCCATCAACCGTTCCCTGATCGTTGGGCTGAAGATCAGCACTAAGAGCGTGGGCCGAGACGAGCGGGAGGATATCACCCACACCTACAAATACCCAGAGGGTATGTGCCCTCAGAGTCTTTAATGCAGCCTTGAAGATAAGCATCCAGTTTTCCCAGCCCGGCAGGCTCGTGTATGTGTGTGCGTGTGTTTTAATTGGTAGCCTACGTACAGCAATGGCCCCGTAGGCTATACTCCATCTTCAGCAATGCCTTAGAAACAGGAGCAAACATGTTGAGGGACAGTGGTAGAGGATTATTCATTTAGGGAAAGAGTTCTCTGCTACTGATGTTAAATCAGTTGCAGGGGAAAGGACTTGATTTATTTTTAAAAATTGGATTTGAGCACATCGAACAGCCAATTCAATATGGTATCTAATTTCTAAGCAAATACTAAGCATAGCAAAGCATACAGAGGGGACTAAGAAACCATAGTTCCTGCCTTGGCCTGACCCTCACTGACTTTCCAGGGTTGCCTGGCCATACTCTAGCTGAAAGGGATAACACAGAATGAAATGATGCTCTCCCCATCCCCTGAAAGGTCTAGAGCTGATAGTTTCATAGAATAAATAGATATGCACCCAACAACACTGGGAGAAAAAAATCAAAGGAGCACAGGAGAGAGGCAAATGGAATATAAGGAAGGGAGCAATCAGAGACAGGGAGGGAAAGGATTTTAGGTAGAAGTAATCCCTGTGTAATTGCTTGAAGGTAAGAAAGATTGCACTGTATTCGTGCCTAGTATGCACCAAGCACTGTTGTAGGCACTGGATAAGTAAAACACAGCCTTAGCCCTCGAGCAGCTCAAGAAGGTAAGTTTGAAACAGAAAACAACACAGGGGAAGGAGTGGTCAGAGAGGGCTTCCTGGAGGAGGGGTCATTTGGGGTTGAGTCTTGAGGGATGTATAGGAGTTCACTAGTGGAAAATTAATGAAATGCTGTGTCCTTCTGGCCCAGAAATGTAGAGAAGGGGCTCCTTCATGGCTGCCCTGAGTCATCAGGCCTCTGCGAAGACAGCTCGCCCTGTTGCAGCCCCCTTCCTGTGATCTATTCCAGCTGTGATTGAGGCTCTCTTCTCAACCCCTACAGGGTCCTCAGAGGAGAGGGAGGCCTTCACAAGGGCGAACCACCTGAACAAACTGGCCGAGAAGGAGGAGACAGGGATGGCCATGCGGATCCGTGTGGGCCAGAGCATGAACATGGGCAGTGACTTTGACGTCTTTGCCCACATCACCAACAACACCGCTGAGGAGTACGTCTGCCGCCTCCTGCTCTGTGCCCGCACCGTCAGCTACAATGGGATCTTGGGGCCCGAGTGTGGCACCAAGTACCTGCTCAACCTCAACCTGGAGCCTTTCTCTGGTAAAGCCCTGTGTTCCTGGAGCATTTGTTGACCGCCAACTGACAACATGCTAGGTAGTGACCTAACCACTTAGCATGTGTGATTTCACCCCACAGACACTTACATGGCGCTGACTCTGGGGCAGGCCCTGTCCTAAGCACTTTATAAATATCAACCCACTTAATTCTTATTGCAAGAGTGAGGGGGTGGATTCTAACATGGCTCCGTTTTCCAGATGAGTAGACTGAGGCACAGAGAGGTTAAGTAATTTTCTTAAGGTTGCACAGTTGGGGAGTTAACCTGTCCTCACAGCAGCTATACTGTTTGGTTTCACCTCATCTTCGTGTGACCCCTGACTGCTTTCACAGACCCTCTGCTGCCCTCTCCCAGTGAATTCCACTGTCTCCAGCCCCTCATGCCTCAGCAGCCTCTCTCCATGGGCCCTTCGAGAACCTCTCCTGTGCCTCTGGTTGCTCTCGGCCTCAAAGAAAAGTCTCTAACCCAGCGCCTTGGAAAGTGCCTGTTGCACTTTCCACAGTGATGGAGACGTGCTGAGTCTGCACCGCCTATCCAGCATGGCTGCCACCAGCTGCACGTGGCTGCTAAGCGCTTGAAATGTGGCTGGTGCAACCGTAGAACTAAAGTTTGTTTGTTTGTTTGCTTGTTTTTTTATTTTTTTTGAGATGGAGTCTTACTCTGTTGCCCAGTCTGCAGTGCAGTGGCACGATCTCAGCTCACTGCAATCTCAGCCTCCCAAGTAGCTGGGATTACAGGCGTGCACCACCATGCCCAGCTAATTTTTGTGTTTTTAGTAGAGATGGGATTTCACCATGTTGGCCAGGCTGGTCTCGGACTCCTGGCCTCAAGTGATCTACCTGCCTCGGCCTCCCAAAGTGCTGGGATTATAGGTGTGAGCCACCGCACCTGGCCAAAACTAAAGTTTTAATTGTGTTGAAAGTTAGACAGCCACATGTGGCCAGAAGCTGCTATGTTGGGCAGAGCAGATCGGCGAGCCAAAGGTGGGAGCGTCCAGGCCTCTGCAGGGAGAAGTGCTTTCTTCCTGGACTTGATTGTCCCTCTCCAGTGTCCCCAGCACCAGCCTAGTTGCCTTTTTAGGCAGATCCCCTTCGCAGTGACATGGTGTCATTAGACCACCCAACCCAGCCCCGAGCCAAGACTTTGTCACCAGGCTTCCTGCACAGTGGTTGTCCTCTGGGTCCCTTCCACTGTCTGGCTTTGTCACTGTGCCTGGTTATCTTCCTAAATATAAGCTTGAGGCCCTCAGAGGAGCCGTGGCCACTGAGGTCACATAGCGAGGCAGTGAGGGACCAGGAATCAAGCCCAGGGCTCCGCCCAGCAGCCCCACCACCACCCAGCAGCCCCATCCCACTTTCTGCCATTTGGAGCCCTGCAGGTGTGAGGAGGGCAGAGGGGTTTCCAGGCTAGGAGAGGACCTGGGAGCTGCAGAATGAGACATTGGCCATCCTCTGAGGGGCAGTGGAATCAAGTAGGACATCGTCTTTGGGCAGCATCTCGCTGTGTCACCAGAGCAAATGGCCACTCCCCTGCACCTTAGCGTCCCCATCAGGCTCCTGGGGGTCATGATCCAACAGTGCAGGACCATCGGGGGTAAGAGAGTGTGCACACAGTAGGCACTCATGCCTGGGATTCAGTGTGGCCACACCTGGAGATGCTGGAGAGCCCTCGGGTGGGGCATGGTTTGTGTTTACAGAGTTTGTTTCCCCGTCTGTTTTCCCCGGACTCCTGCCTGTCAAACCAGTGGTCGTCCCTCTCCTCTATGACAGTGCCTGGACCCTTGGTGCCCATGGGCTGGCGTCTGGGGCACAGCTTTCACCCTCCTAAGAAAGCAGGTCTGTGTTGCGGGCGGGGCGTCTGCAGTGTTGACAGTTGCTGCCTCCTGGTTTTTCTATCTTGGGCCCACCGTGGGCACTCCTGGAGCTGCACGCCCTGGGCACACCCACTGTCCGGCCCGGGGCAGACTCCTCAGCAGGGGCCAGGCCCTCAGAGGGCAGATCCTCTTGGTACCAGGACAGGGCCCAACACTGAAGCTGTTGAAAGACATTTCCCGAGGCCAGGAAGACCTGGCTTTGAATCTCAGCTCTGCTGCCCTCTGAATGCACCACCTTGGGCGCGGTGAACATGCTCTCTGAGTCTTAGGTCATGCTCGCCTGTTACATGGGGTGATGACATGCCTGCCTGATGCGCCCGCAGCCGTGAGGACTGAGGGAGAGGATGCGTGCTCAGGAGGTATCTGGAAAGGGCACAGCAGCACCAGCACACGGTGGGGCCCTCACTCCTCCCTGAGTGCGAGTGCTAAGAGGCGTGGGGAGGCGAGAAGCCCGGGACCTTTCCTGAACACCTTCTGTCCCAGGCAGTGGTGTCAGCCCTGGGCTCGGGGGTTCCTGTGTCCCTGACACCTCGGTGGTGTAGAAAGGACCCGGCCCTCGCTGCTCATCCAGGCCCCGAGAGTCCGAGACAGGATCCATCTCTACAGGCGTGTGGGGGTTCAGGACACAAGGACACCCAAGTTCTAGTTCCTGCTGCCTGCTGCCTGCTGCCTGGCTGTGGGCTCCTGGGTATTCCTCTCCTCCAGCAAGGCTATGGGTTCCCCATTCACACAAAGGGGAAGGTGCTTTCCTCTTTTAAGAGCCCTTCCAGCCCTGTTTTGTGTGTGTGTATGTGTGTGTGTGTGTGTGTGTGTGTGTGTATACATTTAGGAGGTCCAAGTGCGGTTTTGTTACACGGATATATTGAGCAGTGGTGAAGTCTTGGGCTTGACATTGGAGACCCAGTCCCATCGTTTCAGTGCACACCCACCAGCTCCTTCTCGTGCTCAGAGCTGCTCCAAGGGGAGAAAGTGTCTGTCCTAGAATGAGTGGCATGAGGTGAACTCCAGGCCTGGGCCAGACACACCAAAATCACTTCCTCCCAGGCCTCTGTGGAGTCAGCCCTCACCTCTAAGTCACCATCGGGACCCTGAGAGCATTGTTCCGCACTGGCATCAGCCAAGCATGCTGACTTTTCTCATCCTCCCAGGAACATGCTCACCACAGAGGGTGAGCAGCAGGTCCCTCCTGTTGGGGATCCACTGGAGACATAGCCTTCAGGGAGAGGAAGGGGAGGACAGAAGGTCCTGGGCATTGGCCTCTGGCTGGAAAGTGAGGCTGGTCCAAGTCCCCTGTTGGAACCTCCAATGCCAAGCTCAAGCTGAGATGCGTTCCCTCTAAGCCCCCATACTGTGGTTGAGTTACTTGTTATTCTTTGATGATAAGATCTGGGGAATTTCCGTGTGCTGGTGGACAGGAAGCCAGGCCCTGGATGGCTGAAAGGAATCCAGTTGCCCCCACCCCTGCCTCCTTTCTCTGCTGCTTCTTTCTCTTCTCCTTCCTGCCTCCACCCTTTCATGCTCTCTCCTCCCTCATCCCTCCAGGTGGGTCACAGGAATGCAGCCAATGTGGCCTCGGTGACTGTCCCCAGAGTAACCTTCTAGAACAGGGCAAATTGTCTAAAGAATGGTTGAGACTGACCATACAGGTTTCCTCTTCCCAGCCAGCATCTGGCCCAAGACCAAGGCCGTGGCCACTGGCTTGTGGACGGAGACTTTCAAAGGTCCAGCCCTGCCCTGGCCTCCACCTCCTAGAATAGTCGACAGTTGGGCCACATCCTCCAAGCCCCCGGAGGATAATGTTTTTCTTCTTTCCTGTGGAGCTAGCTAGAATTTCCACTCTGCACCACCAGGTCTTGACCTAGTAATTTTCACCCTCTTTTGTCCTTTTTGGCACAAAAGTTTGGTTTTCTTCCCCAGATCACATCATCTGATGAGAGGTTGGAGCAGATCCACCCAGGGAATGAAAGGCCAAAGAGGTGGGCAGGTCGGGGCAGCATTTTCCAAAGAGGAGGACGCAGACCACCAGTGTTCACGGTCAAAGGTTCAAGGTCAAAGCCTGAACCTTGAATCCCACAGTGAGAAAGTGACTGTCTCCTCGGGTCTCAATCCGTCCTTCTGGTGACCTCCTGGGGAAAGTCTCTGAGGGTGCTGATTTGCCTCTGGCCTCCTAAGCCTTGCCAATCTCCCTCTTTAGCAGTAGACTCAGGTCTGAAACTCAGAGTCCACAGCACATCACTGTATCTGGCCAGAATTGAATATGCATGACTTTGTTTGTATTTTCTCTCTTTTTTTCCCCCTTGAGACAGGGTCTCACTCTGTTGCCCAGGCTGGAGTGCAGTGGTGCAATCACGGCTCACTGCAGCCTCGACCTTCCAGGCCCAAGCGATCCTCCCACCTCAGCCTCCCAAGTAGCTGGAACTATAGGCTCACCCCACCACTCCCGGCTTGAATTTTTGTATTTTTTATAGAGACGGGGTCTCACTATGTTGCTCAGGCTGGTCTCAAACTCCTGGGCTCAAGCAATCCTCCTGCCTCAGCCTCCCAAAGTGCTGGGATTACAGGCGCGAGCCACTACACCCAACTACTTGTATTTATTTACTGCTCCTCCCTGCCTCCTACAAACAGACCCCAGGTCTGTTTTCTTAAATGCTAAACTACATGAATCCTTAAAATGCTAAACTGCTAAGGTCCTCCAGCCTCAGTGTTCTTTTCAGAAACATGGGGCTAAGAACCACACTTCAGTGGGTAGCTTTGTTCCTGCCATCTTCTTTCTCATCCCCATATCACTGTGCGGCTTTTGCTCTGCAACGACCCTTGGTCTTACCTCTGCCCAGCAGGTGATAAGATCTGGGAACAGAGAGGAAACAGAGGGGAAACAGAGAGGGGAGGTCATCTCCCCGGGCTCACACAGCCAGTGAGTGGCCAGACAGGGCCTGAGGCAAGTCTCCCAATCTGAGCACTTACTGGCAGAGGTGATTCTTCATCTGTGCAACGGGTACAGCATCACGAGCCTCGTGGAGGGAAATGACCTTATGTCCATGAGAGGCATTCTTCAGTGAGTGTGGACCATATTGTTGGACTCTAAGATCTGGATTATTAGTCCAGATGCCTGCACAGTACATATCAGCTGTGTGACCTAGGACAACGTTATTTCACCTGCTGGAGACTCAGTTTTCTCATCTGTAAGTTGGGTGGTAATACACGTACAAGCCTTTTAGGGTTGTCATGTAGGTGAAGTAGGAGCCCGCCGTGGGAAGTGCAGTGCCTGGTGCAGCAAGCAGATGTCGGCTCTGATCCTCCCCAGGATGAAGGGCCCGCGGCTC